>NC_000024.10:14112314-14721862 GCF_000001405.40 Homo sapiens
AGAGGAAAAGAAAGTACCAACTATGTTCATTAGGAACCATGTTGATAATGGAGCATGATTGGCAAACAAGACATTGGCACTTGGTGGCATTAATAATCAGAAATCACTAAATATTGAAGTGTATAGAATACAGTTAATATGTATTTAGAGGAAAGTTCATATTCATAAGAGTTTTCCACATGAAACAAATAAATAAAAATATATTCTCTCAACTTACTTTGTTACAAATAGGAAACAAAAACTGGACAAAGCTGAAAAGCACAATGAACTAAGTATCAATAAATGTGGGAATTAATGAGTTAGAATAAAATCTGAATCTTTAAAAGAAAACCATAAATGACAAGTTAAGATAAATGTGACAGCTGAATATATAACCTATTTCTCTGCTCCTGACACAAGAAAGAAAAATTAAACAAGGAAAATGTAAGAAAATAATAAAGATCATTATATATTATGCGGTGTGGCATAAACTATTTTTATTGAATAGCTGATTTTTCACAATTCAGTTCCTCTAATGCCAAATTCTCCTAAGGCAAGTTATTACTTTTTCATATTCTCAGTTTGCCAAATTTGCCAAAAACATGTTTAAGGAATTCATCTTAAATATAGTGAATGAATTTGAGTTATTTTTCCTCACTAAGTCTTTCCTAATGAAGGGTTCTTATCCAAACCACACAATATAAAAATTATTTTAATCTTCTTTTTTTACAACTAGTAGTGGCAGGTGCACAGAAGAAAGGTCATTGCTGTAGGGATTAATTCTCTCAAACAACCTGTGTTGAGAGGAGCTACATGGACTTAATCACTTTTTGTGGGTATATTCTTCTTCCATATCATTGAATAATAAATATTTAACTCTAAAATTTTCAAATAAATTCATATTAAAACAATAGAATTTTTTATCTATGATATAGTGGTATTAGACTATCAAGTATTATTAATCATATCAGCTATTATACTTTAGGGAGGGTTTTTTTTTAAAACCTATTAAATCCTTTAATCAACCAAGAGTACTCCAAAACATGTAAGAAATTGTCAGATAAATACACAAAGTGCATACCACGGGACTGATAAACAAATTACAATAATAGAAATCAAAACATGGCAACTGACACAGTTGTGAATTTCTTGAGGTGGTAAATACTTACAATCCTCTCATCATCCTTGTAAGGCAGATGTGACAATCTCTGCTTTGCACAGGAAATATTTGAGAATAAAGATTATTAGAGTGGATAAGAAATACTCTATATTTAATCTCACTAAGCAATGGCAGAGTAAGAATTTGAATCCTAATCTCTGTAACTCCATCCAAACCTTCATTACTTTCCATACTGTCAGACTAAGAATAAGTCAAGGATATAATAAAAAATGTCACATAAGATCATTTTAAATACAAACAGGCAGAGTCTGTACATAAATGCACAGAAGCATCTTTACAGAGAGTTTTGAGTATGCAGAGACTAATTGTCCACCAACAGATGAATGAATAAAGCAAATGTGACACTGATTCACAATACAGTACTATTTGGCTATAAAAGAGAATAAGATCCTGTCATTTGCAACAATATGGATGGAACTGGCAATCATTATGTTAAATGAAATAAGTCAGGTACAGAAAGACAAACATCACATGTTCTTATTTATTTGTGGGATCTAAAAACTAAAACAGTTGAACTCATGGAGACAAGGAGTAGAAGGATGGTTACTAGAGGCTGGGAAAGGTAGTTCAGGGGTAGAGGAGATGAAGATAGTTAATGGATATCAAAAAAATAGGAAGAATGAATAAGACCTAGTATTTGATAGCACAACAGAGTGACTACAGAACATAATAATTTAATTGTGCATTTTAAGATAACCAAAAGAATACAATTGGATCATTTATAACACAAAGGAAAAATGCTTGAGGAAATGGATACCTTATTTTCCATAATGTGATTATGATGTATTGCATGCTTATAGCAAAATATCTCATGTACCCCATAAATACATACATGTGTCCACAAAAATTTAAAATGTATTAAAAAATAAAATAATCAATATAATATTTTAAAATATGCACAGGTTGTCTCTAATGACTAGTTCTGCCATTTCTTACAGATCAGTCTAATTTTTCTTGTTATATGTTAGCTTTATATATATATATTTATATATCATAAAAAGAGAAAACTAAAATACATAATACCAGAAAATTAAATCAATGTGTAATTAAATCTTTAAATCAATATGTAGACAAAACTGTATAAAATATAACAAGGAGGCAAAAAAAGAAATTAAAAATTTAGGCATGAGAAATTGAATAGGACAGAGAAAAGATATTAAACAATTTTAAGGCAACACTATGTGCAAATCCCCAAAGACAAATTAGAAAATATTAGAGAAATATCATTAGAAAATATAAATTATCAAAATTACACCTATAGTTAAAGTTGGAATGTGTATAAATCAATAAAGAAAAAAATGGAAAGGCAAAACAAAAAAAAAAGGAAATTACATTCGAGAGTCTGGGATCACACAGAGTACATTGTAACTCAAATAAAAAAATAAAATCAATTTATGCCTTGCATATGCACACACATACACAGTGGGAACCCATTGTATTGTCAGACTCTTGATCTGATGAATACAGAGTGGAAAGGCATAGTACATTTCAGTGCATTTAACTCTTGCACCTTGCTTTTAACTCTTTTTCAGAAAGCTAAAATGTAGAACAGATACAAAGGGAGCTGTTCTATTTGGAAAGGAGAATTGTGGGTGGGAGAGAAGGCAGGACAGCAAGTGGAACATCACCTACTGTTCTCAGTTGCTTGGCAGAACCTCAACCCTCATTAAATCCACTTCATTGCCTCTTCCACAACTGCACCTGAACAGCCATATATAGCTGGAGAAAAACTCACAACCCAGTGGATCAGTCTCTTTAAAGACAATATCATTATTTTCAAGGGGGCTTTCCTGAGCTTATTTACTTCCCTAAATACCCAAAGCATTCAGTCATCAAAATTGATTTCATGCTGGAACCACCTAGGTAGTTTTAAAAGACACTGACGCTGGGGTCGCAATCCCCAAAAAAATTCTTAGGAAATTGGTCTTGGGTGTGGCCCGGGCATGCCGATTATTAAAATAGTTCTGATTAATTCCAGAGGCAAATTTGAGAGAAGCTTACTTAGAAATCACTTGGAGATGTTACTGAAATACAGATTTTGACTTTTTTGATGTGGGGCAATTCTTCATTTCTAACAAGCTTCAAGTCACACCGATGTTGCTGGTCTATAGACCACATTCTGAATAGCAGGGACCTAGAGTCTTATTTCTCACCTTCTCCTGTCTCCTCAGAAATGTCCAATAGTCCTTCTGTCTTCCATTCTCACTCTAAGTGCATGACCTTGGTTCCCATTTTACTAGGAAAATCCAAGCCCATCAGTAGGGAGATTTTACAAGCTCTGACCTCCACCCTACCCACCTACAAGCCCATCATGCCCACATACTCTGCCTTCACTCCTGTGACTTCAAACCACCTTTGTTCCTATCTAATGAAAGCACCCATCTTTTACAGCAGAGTGGACCTCTCTATCTCTTTGACAAATCTCCCTCTCTCTGTCATCACCTCATCACCAAGGATGAGACTACTACATTCAGAAGCATGCTAGAACCCTATAATCCTAACAGAAAGCAAGGAAGGAAGGAAGGAAGGAAGGAAGAAAGGAAAGAAGGAAGGAAGGAAGGAAGGAAGGAAGGAAGGCAGGCCAGCCAGAGGGGAGGGGAGGGGTCACCTCTTCTGTAAGGAGCAATATGGAGGGAGGGAGGGAGGGAGAGAGGGAAGGAGGAGAGGGGAGGGGGGTCACCTGTCCCGTAAGGAGCAATATGGAGTGAGGGAGGGAGGGAGGGAAAGAGGGGAGGGGAGGGGAGGGGAAAGAAGGAGGGAAGGAAAAAAGAAAGGGGGGAAGGGATGGAGGGAGGGAGAGAGGAAGGAAGGAAGGAGGAAGGGAGGGAAGGAAGTAAGGAAGGAATCTCTTTCTTATCACAATTTCATTTTCTAAATCAGGTTTTCTTCACAACTGACCAGTGAACATGACGTTTTTCTCAGTCACCAATGACCTTCACATTGCTGCATGTAATGCTAATCTCAGCCCTGAGCTGACTGAACCTACACCAGTGTGTGAATTAATAAGTATTCTTTCTCAGGCAAAAGGAGAGAGAATGGAAATAAAGTATCATGGGCAGAGGAAGGTAGTAGGAGAATTGACTGCATCATCTGAAAGGAGTCATAGTTTTAAGTGGTCTTGAATAATTAAAAAACTCAAAAAAACTTATTCCAAGTTGTTTTTAATTCTACTGAGGGCAGGTAAAGAAATTTAATATTAAAAGGTACAGAACATAAAAAAGATTGAGGATTGTCTTATTACAGTCAAGGAAAAGGAAGTGGGAGAAAATGGATGAATGAAATCTTAGAAGGAATAGGGCCAGATTTTGACAGACTTTTCTCCACAAAGGAGAAGTTAAGCTAAAATGAAGGGACACAGCTTTGCCCAGTGATACCAAAATTTGGAGGGTGAAAAGTGTTTAAAGATTATGCAAATTGCACTGACATTTGCAAGCAACAATGCGTGTATTCCTTTAGCAATATAGGGGAAAATATCTCAGGTAGGTCTCAACCTTTTATTTTGGAAAAATCTTTAGTTTAATATGATTGAAGTTGTATATATATACACATATGTGTGGTATTATTTATGTATACATATTCTAATGAAATCGTCCTATTTGGACTACAATGAAAACCAGTAGTTCTTTCCTATACACTTCTCCATTTCTGGCACTGCAAATGCAGGCATTTTAACTATTATAGCTGTTTTTTGAAGATATTTACTTTCTTTTTTAAAAATACCCAGAATTTTTTATTTTTTGTTTCAAAAATTATCTAGCTATTACTTATTGGTTTATCTCTCTTATCATTTCCACTACTACTTTGCCTCTTCTACTCCCTCTCCGCTTATAATGAACACAAGAATTGGCTAAATCAAGTATACTTTGTTTATGTTATTAAGGCTGTATTTCAATTGTTCACAGTCAAACCATGTGATAAACAATTATTGCATTCCTTTCTATTAAAGTTCTTTTGTTTTCCTTGGAGTAAGCAATTACCTTTTGTTTACTTCTGTAATTTTTATGTATTTTCTTGAATTGTCTCCGCTTCTACCACAGAAATATATGCCTGTTTTCAAAAGAAACAGAAACACCTGTGTCTTCTTGGACCACTGAATTCACTGGGTCCGGACATGCTGCATAGTTTTGATATTTTAATTTCTTGTCACCATATTTCTCTCGTAATTTCTTTAGTTTCTCACTTGTGTTGGCACTACTACATCTTTACGCTCAGTCCTTTTCTATTTTGGTAAAGCACACCCTTTAGTAATTTCCTCAGAAAAGATGATACATTTTTCAGACTTTATATCTGAAAATATTTGTAGTGTATACTCATATTTGACTGGTAAATTTACCTGGCCTTGTATAATATTCTAGGTGGAAAATAATTTTCACCTAGGTTGTTTAAAGAATTGTTTTATTGGCTCCTACCCTCAAGCATTTTTTTTGCAAAATTCCTTTATTTATTTATTTATTTTTATTTGTTTTATTTATTTTTTTGAGACAGAGTCTCACTCCATAGCCAGGCTGTACTGCAATGGTGCGATCTCTGCTCACTGTGACCTCCGCCTCCTGGATTCAAGTGATTCTACTGCCTCAGCCTCCCAAGTAGCTGGGACTACAGGCATGTACCACCATGCCTAGCTAATTTTTGTATTTTTGGTAGAGACAAGGTTTCATCATGTTGGCCAGGATAGTCTCCATCCCTTGACTTCATGATCTGCCAGCTTTGGCCTCCCAAAGGGCTGGGATTACAGGCATGAGCCACTGTGCCTGATCAGTTAAATTCTTTATATACAATCATTAACCACTTGGTTGTTTTTCCTCTTTTTCACCAATTGCTGACAGTAAGAATTCCTCTCTCAAGAAATTTACCAACGCAAAGGAAACAAATTTAGATGCTGACAGTGATGGTCACCTTGTGAAATAGCAAGATCTTTAGTGAATTATTGTACCATAAAGGTCACCATTAGAAAACAAGAGCTACCAATTGACATTTTAGTGTGTCACTCTCAACATGGAATGAGCTGTCCATGCAGACCAGATAGTTGACACAGGTTTTAACATGATATATAGACTAAGGCAAACAAAATAGAGATTTAAGAGGAAAGAAAAAGAGACTCAGAGGAAAAAGGAAAACCACCCTTAAGGGAGAATATCTTTGCTATTTCTTCTTTTTTCTCTTCTGACGTTAGGTGCTTAGTGCATTAATTTTGAGCCTTCTATCTTTACAAATATAAAAGAGAAAGTGAATTTTATGGTATAAAATATTAAAGTACAAAAGATTTGAGTTTATGGACAAAGGTAAGGAACATGTTCTAAAATAAAATCAGCATAGAGCTCAGACATGTTAGACTATTAAGTGAGCCTCACTCTGACATTTTGCCTAGTGCTGAGTGCTACTAATAATTTCATACAGTCAAAACAAAGTCTGGAACCATCAACATTCCTCCTTGAATCATTTCTTGCTTTATTAGGACATGTTCTGACCCTGGGTTTAAAATAGGAGATCTCCAAGTGGTGCTTGTGGGAGAACCCTTTATGCAAAAGAGAGATGCTTCTTTCTTGAGACATTTCCAATTAGAATCGGCTACATAGCTTATGTAACATTTTTCAGGGATCCATGTCCCTAAGCCTATAAACAATACTAGCCAGACCAGTTACAGTGTGCTAAAAGTGGATCATAAAAACTTGGTAATAATATCTCCCACTAGAAAATACAATTATAGTATTTTCCTGGAGGTCTGACATGTGCAAGCTTACAGGTAAATTTCCCAAGTCACCTTTCTTTCTCTTCCTTGGTGCCCCCAGTTAAACAAGAAAAAGAATTCCTAAACTGCTGTTAGCCTTTTCTTTACTAAGGGTTTTAAGATTTTGGCGTTGAGATATTTTTTCCTAAACTAGGTTTTTTAAATTGAACATTAAAAAATATAAAGTATGAGCAGAGATTTTGAGTGTTCATATAATTTTAGGAAGTTAGGTGAGCTATTATTAATATTTAAGATATGCACACAAGAAAACAATAATAAAAGTGTGCTGTGAATGGCTTAGCAAGCAGTAGGCACTTGTCTAATAGAAAAATTATTTAGAGATTGAGAGGTAGCTCTGAATGCATCCTGTGTGCTTGTTAATCATTATTTTGAAAAGTCTGGAGACATGGTCCCTATTGCCTTTAAATTTCTTTACATAGGTAATAGCATAATTTCTGACAAAGGGTAAGTGTTTTCAGTTTAATAATCATAGCAATTTCTTTTGAGCTATTACCCTATTCTTAGACAATATTCCAAAAATAGTCCTCACAGGTTTCAGACTGTAACACCTGCAAACCAGATGAACACCCCCGTAACAGTTGTATGCATTGGGAAATGTTATTCTCAAAAAACAATAACTTCTGAAATTAAATTGAGTGTGGGGTAAATGAATCACTATACTTCTGAGTGAGGAAAAGTTGTATAAATCAATGGTACTCTCTAAGTAATATATGAGAGTGGACACTCAATCTGTTTCACATTAAGTTTGGGGCCAGGAGAGTGGGTTTGGGTTAGGAGTAGAGATTAATGATACTGTGTATATGTCCTACTCTGTGGGTTAATAGCTCAGTGTTCACTGGGGAAGTCAGTGATAGAAAGCAGTGGACATTGCATGTAAAGTTAGATATTTTGAAAGCATGTTCAATAGAAATTAGTTAAGTACTCCAGTGTGCATGATTAAATAAGTCTTTTGGGGTAAACTAGTAAACTGTCTGAAAAGGAAATGAAAGAAAAATGAAATGAATTATAAGCAACAATGGCAGAAACAACTATAGACTATGTTGTGACCAGGGCTTGTGCCAAGTGGGGCCAAAACACTTCTGTGTCCTTTATATGTAATTCTTCTCACTTTCTTGTGTCATCCAATCAGTATTTGTCAGGGCTGGTACCTATAAAGAATGATACTTGAGTCCTCAAATAGGAGAGTAAATTAGTCAAGAGAAAGTCCAAGGCTGGTGGGAATGGGGTCTTGGAAGTGAGAACAGTGAGGAGAACTAACTGGAGAGGAGGGTAGAATTATGGGAATATGATGGTGAGCAACGGCAAAGCCATCCCTGTCTTTATTGGGATGCAGCCATATGGGGAGAAACAGACACATTTTCAAAAGCTACTACAACATCATATGATGAATGTCTGAAGATGTAAGTACATGTGAGTTCACCTGAAAGGTCCCTGATATGGTTTAGCTCTGTATCCCTGCCCAAATCTCACATCGAATTGTAATTCCCAATGTGGGGAGAGGGAGCTGGTGGAAGATGATTGGACCATGATAGTGGATTTCCCATTGCTGTTCTCATGATAGTAAGTCAGTTCTCACAAAAACTGATTGTTTAAAAGTGGGTAGTACTTCCACTTTTTCTCTGTCTCTCTGTTTCTCCTCCTCTGCCATATTAAGACTTGCTTGCTTCACCTTTGCCCGCTGCCATGATTGTAAGTTTACTGAGGCCTTCCAGCCATGCTTCCTTTACAGCCTGTGGAACTATGCATAAGTTAAACCTCTTTTCTTCATAAATTATCCAGTCTCAGGTAGTTGTTTATAGCTGTGTGAGAATGGACTAATACAGCCACTAAATTAGTTACAGGTGTAAGTCAAACTTCATGAAGAAACTGACATCTATCAGGAGACAGGAATTTGAAAAGGAGCAGATGAAAAGTGGCAGCAAATATTTAAAAAGTACTTCTATTTTGGAAAAGATGATGTTTCCTTGTGATTTGAAATAGGAATTGGCATGACATATGTGATAATCCAGAGAAAAGAATACGGAAGAAATGGATAAATACTGAATAGCAGAACATCCAGACAAAAGAAAACATTCAAAGGCCTTTGACCTTTAAAGAACAGGTTTAACTGAATATGACACTTGGGGATCTCCAGAAAATAGATCCTGAAAGACCATCAGTATCATCTTCTATCACCCACTGCAACAGACTGAATGTTTATGTCACCAAAATTCCTATGTTGAAACCATAACCCCTGGCCAGGTGTAGTAGCTCACCCCTGTAATCCCAGAATTTTGAGAGGCAGTTTGTCTTACCTTTGGAAGGCAAAGGCAAGTGGATTGCTTGAGATGAGGAGTTCAAGACCAGACTAGGCAACACAGTGAAACTCCTTCCCTACTAAAAATGCAAAAATTAACCAGGCAGTGTGACACATGCCTTCAGTCCCAGCTACTTGGGGAGCTGAGGTGGAAAGATGAATTCAGCATGGGAGGTCAAGGCTGCAGTGAGCCTTGATCTTGCCACTGCACTCTAACCTGGGCAAGCAAGAGACCCTGTCTCAAAACAACAGAAACAAAACCAAAAAGGAAAGAAAAATAAATCCTAACTCCCACAGGATGATATTGGGAGGCAGGGGCTTTGAGAGGTGATTAGGTCCATGAGGGAAAAGCCTTCATGAATGGGATTAGTGCCCTTATAAAAGGAACCCCAGGGAACTCCCTTGCTCCTTCCACCCTGTGAGGGCATAACAAGAAGGCACAATTTCTGTGAGCCAGGAAGTTCATCCAGCAGACACAGAATATGTCATGCCTTGATCTTGGACTTCCAGCCTATGACGGTGAGCAATAAATGTTGTTTATAGGCCACCCACTTTATGATGTCATTATAGCAGCCTTAACTAACTAATCTACAACTTTCCCACCTGGGCATTCAAAGCCGTACAACCACTCTTGACTTTGTTCCAGATCAAATAGCAACAGCTTAACAGCTGGTAGGATATGGGGTAGAGAACTCAGTGGAATTATCAAATGGTAATGGAAGGCTGTAAATTGCTACAAGCATTTCAAGGTGCAGTTTACCTTAAGGTCTGCTAAGAGCCTTACAAATATTTATACAAGGTATTATTGTCTCCATCCTACATAAGATGGAACCACAGTTCAGAACAGTATGTTGATCAACTTGAAGTCACATGTCAGAGCTTGGATTTGAACTCACATTTGCCTGGTTTCAGTGCACTCGTTCCTTCCATTGCATCTCACTCTCAGCAAAGCCAGGATATAATCCTAAATTATACTATACAATGTTATGGTACTGATTTTGCTTATGTAAAAGATGTTTCTTTCTATTATGCAAAGACAAGACACTAGGAACTCACATCCATGATAGAAATGGCTATTTTATATGAACATCATTTGCTTTCATCAAAGAAATGACATTGTGATGGGAAAATGGATTTAGTCATGGTATTCTGATTCCATCATAATAATGCTTTATATTTTTAAATGTGTTTGTGTTTTTGATGGATCAGGAAACAAGTAACCTGTGAGGAAGTTTAGACCAACACTGGGCTTAGTATATGTTCCAAATGCATTTATTTTATATTCACTTCTAATCCATATTGGATAAGAAAAACATAAATTTTAAAAAATGAAGCTCAATTGGTTAGTTCTCCCAATATAAAACCCATGATAAATGTATTATTAATTTTTTAGGAATTACGTCTTCATCTATGTAAATTAATAAGATCAAATCTAAGGACATATAAAAAATGACATGAAGGAGAAGCCCAATGCAAACACAATTGGAAACACAAGAAGAGAATGAATTTAGCCACAAGTTGTCAGTTTATATTGTTAAAACCTGATTAGAGAGTGAAAGTGAAATGCCAAATTAAAAATAACAGCCAGGCGTGGTGGCTCACGCCTGTAATCCCAGCACTTTGGGAGGTGGAGGCAGGCAGATCATGAGGTCAGGAGATCGAGACCATCCTGGCTAACACAGTGAATCCCTGTGTCTGCTAAAAATACAAAAAATTAGCCGGGCATGGTGGCGAGAGCCTGTAGTCCCAGCTACTTGGGAGGCTGAGGCAGGAGAATGGCGTGAACCCTGGTGTCAGAGCTTGCAGTGAGCCGAGATCGTGCCACTGCACTCCAGCCTGGGCAACAGAGAGAGACTCCATCTCAAAATATATAAATAAATAAATAAGAATAATTAACACCCTTTACCTGAACCAGAGCAAAAAATTAACCACACCTCACATCACATAAACTCAGCTTAACTATGTTATGGTGGTAGATTGGGGAAAGAGCCTAAAAAGATACAACAAAGTAACAAAGTTTATAACACTGCTAGTTGCAAATCATAGAAGGTTAACTCTAACAATTTTTATTTCAATAGTAAAGTCCTCTAGAAAGGTACATTATTAGACTCAATTTTTATGTCACAATCTTTGAAGTTGTGTCTTAAAACAAAATATATTATTCAAAATTGTTTTCAATATATTCATTTCTCTTATCGTATATGCGTATTTGTCTATTTTAAGAAATTGGAAAATAATTTGGTTGTGTAGGGAGTCAATACTGGGTCAATATTAGATTCACACACAATAAAAAAACCAGTCAAACAATTATAGCACATCACCACGTTAGTTATCTTTAAATCTTATAGATGGTACAATATGAGCATTGTGGCATTATTGTAACTGCAACGGATACGTTAAAATTAGAAATGTATATTAGTTCTCATTTTAACATTCATAGTTGTTGGTAGACCCATCTGAAAGATGTTCACCTTCAGTTTAATGATATATTTATGTGGATTCACAATTCTTATGAGCGTTAATGGAAACTTTGAAGCTTTAAAAAATGAAAAAGTAGGCTGGGTGCAGTGGCTCACACCTGTAATCCCAGCACTTTGGGAGGCTGAGGTAGGCAGATCACAATGTCAAGAGATCAATAACTTCCTGGCCAACATGGTGAAACCCCATCTCTACTAAAAATACAAAAATTAGCTGTGCATGGTGTCACGCACCTGAGTCCCAGCTACTCTGGAGACTGAGGCAGGAAAATTGCTTGAACCCAGGAGATGGAGGTTGCAGTGAGCTGAGATTGCACTGCTGCACTCCAGCCTGGTGAAAGAGCGAGACTCTGACTCAAAACAAACAAACAAACAAACAAACAAACAAACAGAAAAAGAAAAAAAATAGGATAATAGGAAGAGCTATTGGATGAGGTATTCAATTCATTCCTAAAATACAAAATACTGCTTGTTTTGACTCTTACAGCTGGAATAATTGGTGCAATTAAAATAATGAGATAGTCCAAACAGTGGTATATGCATTATAAATATAGAGTGATATGTAATTTGTAATTCCTATATCATTGTTATGCTGATATATTTCTAATTATAATGTTTTGAGCTAATAGGAATATGTTTTGTCATATGGATTATATTCTGGGAAAATTATCTGTTATGATAGCTAATTTGAAAACCTTTTTGAGTAGATATAAAATATAATATTAATGTGTATTTTGGAAAAAGAACTTTGGAAAACTGTTCAGAGGTATCTGCAAGCTGAATACATACATGCTCTATGACCCAACATTTTCATTCCTGTGTAAATATCCAACATAAGTGGGTATATGTTTTCACCAAAGACATATGTAAGAACAGTTATAGTGTCATCATGTAGTAATTTTAAGCTATACAGTTTTAAGGCTTTGGCCATCTGACCTGTTTGAGTGAGAAGGCAGCAATGATGATTTGAAAATTGGATATGGGCACTGCATGGCAGAATTAATACTTAATTATTACTTGCAATTGAAAACAAATTTGTTCATATCCTGAATAATATGATAGTTAATACTAGCTTACCAACATTTACTGACTGCTGTGTGGAAGAATAAATTGATTGCTTCTGTGAATATTTAGTCTTAGCACTTGATTTGTATTAACTCCTTTAATACTGAAAACAACTTTATGAAATATTATGCTCTTTTCAAAGGCCAGTAACATGAAATGTAAAAAGATGACTTATTCAAAATCAAGCAAATAGTAAGTAATAAGTGGCACAAAAAAATACATCAGGTAAATGTTAGGAAGACTGACTGTTAGATGGCTTCATTTTGTAGTGTCAGTGCTCATTTTTTTTTTTTTTTTGAGTAGGTATGTAAACTGCAATCTAAAATATCCAAAGAACTCAGACATGTGAAGATACCAGGGTAGATTATTCCAAGCAAAGGGAGCAGCTTCTAAAACAGGCTGCAGGCAGGATTCAGGGTTGAGTGTTTAATGAACTGAAAAATTCAGCTAACAGAACTGAAGCAATCATGATTGAGAAGAGAGTGAGAGGCAAAGAGGTGGTAGAAATGTGTAAGTGCTAGTAACAAAAGAACTTCTCGGCTAGGTAAGAGTTTCACTTCCATTTTTAAGTGTGTTTGGAAGTGCTGGAGCATTTTGATCAAAGGAGCAATATTTTATTATCCAAAATGTGGGAATTTGGGATTAATGGTAGCTGGGAGACTTAGGAAACTTCTGTGAGAACAAAGATGAAAAATGATGGCTGCATGAAATAAGGTGACACTAACAGAAATGAAGAAAATTGAACAGATGTGAAGCATAATGTAAAACTAGAGCTGACAAGAGTTATTAATACAGCCTGTTAATGGATGTGGGTGGAGGTAAAGACAGGAATCACGTGTATATACCTGGGTGCACATGCTGTTCACTGAGACACAGAAACTGAAGATGAGAGTTGGAGTTTGTGTAGGATCTAGAACCAATAGCTTTATTTTGGACGTGCTCATTTTGAGTTGCCTTGTAGGCATCAAAATGTAGGTATGAATTAGCCCGTTAGATTTAGGAATTTAGAGAAGTCAGAGCAGGAGATAAGAATTTGAGGTCATCATGATATAAACACTATACATGACTGTGAGAATAGATAACATTGTCTGCAGAGACACAAGAGCTGGAGGAAAAACAGATGTCAAGAATGGGGCTTTGGGAGAATTTGATATCTGGAAAAGGAGAAGATGGCTAAGAAGAAACATTGACTATGTGTGTGCTGTTTTTCGAAATAAGAAAATGTGTTTATGACACAAATTGTTTAATAAAAAAGTATTAAGACAAAAATAACAGCTAAATAACATGCTTTTTGAAAAATTTCTAACATTTAACAAAATGGCAATCAAAATTTTAAAATTAAATATATATACAAGTATATGCTTTGTATATTTGTTTGATTGTGTTTCAGAGAAAGAAATCTCAGCTACCACAACATCTCAAACAAATATTTGTCATGTGGCATGAGGAGTTTAATTATCCTCCTGATAGCCAGTGTAAAGAGAGATCTAACTTAAGAAATATGTTTGTTTCCTTGTTCCAAAAGAAAAAAAAAACTCAATCAAGGACAATATCTTATTTTTTAAAGTAGTACTACTACAGTCTTCACACCTTTCAAGCTCATCTTTCTTTGGTTCAAACCCAAAGTGGCTACCTGATAAAGGATGGTGCATGATTACCTGATTCAGCAATGTTATGTTAATTTAGGTTTCTCAGGTGACCATCTCAAATGAATGCCAGATGGCACTTCAACCAGCTAATGGACCACAAAGAGCGGTTGGAACAGCATCTGCCTGGCACTCATCCCTTTGTTGAGGTACAATCAGATTATCTGAACTTCCTACTAACACATTACCTTGGAGTAAGAACCATCTGTTTCTGAAAGGTGTATTCATTCATGTTAATTTGTGTAAAAGCACAGTTCTTTGGGTGAGCACATAAGCTACAGATTTAACAATTTAACAGTTACTTTCTTCATACTTGTCCAAAGTGAATACTGCCATTCTCCCCAACTGATTATATAGTACAACAGTAATTTGTGAGGAAATGGTAGCAAAACACCATATCATCTCTTTGTAGGACAATCACCTTTAGAGTAATGCTTAATTGCTTTGAGTACACCACACTTCCTGGTCGAAATTTAGCCTGAGTGGTATTACACTATGAGTGACTTACAGTTTGACACTTCCATGCCTTGAGACTAAATAAAGGGATCTTGATGGGGATGCAGTGGCCATGTCAAGCCCACAGAATTTCTTAAAAGGAAGCCTCTTTATCTTTAACCTTGATTCTTAGATTCAGACATTGTCTTGTCCTGTATCACTGAAAGTAAAAGCGGAGCCTTGAGCCTTATTCCTACAATATCCTGTGTTGTGTTCATCAGAACACAACAAACACTTACCTCATGTAATTCTTGGGGCCCTTCCCCTATCTTTTTTTCCTAATAGCAGGTTTTGTATCCTATGCGTCATGCTTTTCAGAAAATTTGGAGTTTCAGCTTGTCATTTGCTCTTAATTTTATAAAGTACCAGTTAGGATAATAGTTAATGATATCTTGGAAGTCCTGAAAATTAAAAAAAAAGTAGAAATCTCATCACTTAGACATAATCATTTATTAACGTCTCTTAGGATTCTGAGTATTTTTCCTCCACCTTCATCTGATCCTCCTTCCTCTCCCCATTTTCCTTTTCTTCTTCCTTCTCTTTCTTCTTCTCCCTTCTCCTCCCCCCTTTCCTCTTCTTTTTCTCCATCTCCTCCATCTTCTTCCTCACCAGCAAGATATTTTGGTATAGCTGGTTCAATGAACAAAGACAGTGATCAACTCAACTTTTAGTCCTTCTCCAGTTCCTAGAGGGAGTTCCAATCCTCCAGTGACAAGGTTGGTTTCCCTGGCAACCAGCCCCATCCTGAGGCTTTTCAAGAGCCCACCAGAAGAACAAAATATTCTCCTATCACCCAGAACATTTCTAAGAATTTAAGAGCTCTGATCCAGGAACTGAAAGTCAAATAAAAGTATTAGAAAAAAAGATTCTTCTAGCACCTCTATCTAGAGGATTTTAGGTGTTCCTGGCAAGTTCTTTTGCCAGGAACTGAGGGCCGGAGACTAAACATGTTTTTTACTATGCTATAATACATGATATGGTTTGGCTGTGAACCCACCCAAATCTCAACTTGAATTGTAAGAAGGACCTTTCACCTCCCACCATGATTTTGGGACCTGTCCAGCCTTAGGGAACTGTAAGTTCAATTATACTGATTTTTCTTCCCAGTCTCAGGTATATCTTTATCAGTAGTGTTAATACAGACTAACACAGTAAATTGATGTAGAGGGGGGCACTACTGAAAAGGTACCCAAAAGTGTGGAAGCCACTTTGGAACTGGGTAACAAGCAGAGGTTGCAACAGTTTGGAGGGCTCAGAAGAAGACAGGAAAACGTGGGAAAGTTTTGAACTTCCTGGAGACTTGTTGAATGGCTTTACCCAAAATGCTGGTAGCGATGTGGATAGTAAGGTTTAGTCTGAGGCAGTCTTAGTTGAAAAGGAAGAACTTGTTGGGAACTGGAGTGAAGGTGACTGTTTTTATGTTTTATCAAAGAGTTTTGGGGTATATGCCCCTGCCCTACAGAATTGTGGAATTTTGAACTTAAGAAAGATGATTTAGGGTATCTGGAGGAAGACATTTCTGAGCAGCAAAGCATTCAAGAATTGTCTTGAGTACTGTTAAAGTCATTCAATTTTATAAGGGAAGCAGACTATAAAAGTTTGGTAAATTAGCAGCCCGACTATGCAATAGAAGAGAAATTCCTATTTTCTTGGGAGAAATTCAAGGTGGCTGCAGAAACTTGCATAAGGAGCAATGAGCCTAATGTTAATCTCCATGAGCATGGGGAGAATTTCTCCGGGTCATATCAGAGGCCTTCATGACAGACCCTCCCATGAAAGGCCTGGAATACCAGGAGGAGAAAGTGAATTTGTGGGCTGGGCTCAGGGTCCCCATCCTATGTGCAGACTAGGGACTTGGTGCCCTGTGTCCTAGCTGCTCCAGCTGTGGCTGAAAGGGGCTAACATAGAGCTTGGGCTGTGGCTTCAGAGGGTGGAAGCTCTTAACCTTGGCAGCTGCCTTGTGGTGTTAAGCCTGTGGGTGCACAGAAGTCAAGAATTGAAGTTTGGGAACGTCCAAGATTTCAGAAGATGTATGGAAACACCTGTATGCCCAGGCAAAAGTTTGCTGCAGGGGTGGGGCCCTCATGGATAACCTTTGGCTAGGGTTGTGTCAAAGGGAAATGTGGGGTTGGATCCCCTACACAGAGTCCCTACTGGGCTACTGCCCAGTGGATGTAGCCAGAAGAGGGCCACTGTCTTCCAGATCCCAGAATGGTAGATCCACCAACAGCTTGCACCATATGCCTAGAAAAGCTGCAGACACTCAATGCCAGCCCACGAAAGCAGCCCGGAGTGAGGCTGTACCCAGCAAAGCCACAGAGGCAGAGCTGCCCCAAATCATGGGAACCTACCTCTTGCATCAGTGTGACCTGGTGTGAGACCAGGAGACAAAGGAGACCATTTTGGAGCTTTATAATTTGACTTCCCTGCTGGATTTCAGACTTGCATGGGCCCTGTAACCCCTTTGTTTAGGCCAATTTCTCCCATTTGGAATGGCTGTATTTACCAAATACTTGTATCACCATTGTATCTAGGAAGTAACTAGCTTGCTTTAGATTTTACTGGCTCTTAGGCAGAAGGGACTTGCCTTGTCTCAGATGAGACTTTGGACTGTGGACTTTTGGGTTAATGATAAAATGAGTTAAGATTCTTTGGGGCTGTTGAAAAGATATGATTGGTTTTGAAATGTGAAAACATGAGATTTGTAGGGGAGCAGAGGTAGAATGATATGGTTTGCCTCTGTCCCCACCCAAATCTCAACTTGAATTATATCTCCCATAACTCCCACATGTTGTGGAAGGGACACGGGGGGAGGTAATTGAATCATGGGGAATGATCTTTCCCATGCTATTCTCATGATAGTGAATAAGTTTCAGGAGATCTGATGGGTTTATCCAGGTTCTTGATTTTGCTTCTTTTTCATTTTTCTCTTGCCTCTACCATGTAAGAACCATCTTTCACCTCTCATCATGATTATGAAGCCTCCCCAGTCTTATGGAAATGTAAGTTCAATTAAACTTCTTTTTATTCCAGTCTTGGGCATGTCAGCATGAAAACAGACTGATACAATACTACAGGCACTTTAGAGGAGTGTTGGATAGAACTGGAGACATATGTCCAGGGTCCTCCAAGCTAACTGCTAGGTCGTTACTAGAGTGCAGGTCTTTCCTCACTCAAACACAAAGGCAGGCCAGCAGCATCACACTGACCAACTTGAGAGGGAGAATAGACAGATATATCCCTGCTTTTATACTCAGGTCCCAGAAAAGTCTATTCTTTCACTGGGAAAAATTAAAATGGATGTTTGTTTTCTGTGGATGCTTTTTTTTTTTTTTTTTTGCATTACAGTTGAAGCTTTTTAAAAATTACGACCTCCTTCCCTCTTCACCTTCTCTTCCTCCTCCCGTACCTCCTCTTTCCCCATCTTCTTCTTTAACTCTCTCTGTCTCTCTTTCTATGTGTGGTGGCAGATACACATAAGGGTGTATAAAGAGGGGCATACATAGATCTATCTATCTGTCTATCTATCTATCTATCTGTCTATCTATTTTTCTATCTATCTATCTATCTATCTATCTATCTATCTATCTATCTTTAAAAATATGCATATCCCTAAAAACTTAATTAATAATATATAGATGGCGTGATAACCTTTACCTGTCAACATTATATTTTTGATCATTTACCCATGAACTCAAATGGGTTGAAAACATGACTCTTAACACCTGTATAGTACTCTCTTTTATGCAGAGTCCATGATATACCTACCTATTTGATATGGTTTAGCTCGGTGTCCCCACCCAAATCTAATCTAGAAATATACTCCCATAATTCCCACATGTTGTGAGAGGAACCTGGTGGGAGCTAATTTGAATAATGGGAGCTGGTCTTTCTTGCACTATTCTTGTGGTAGTGAATAAGTCTCGTGAAATCTGATGGTTTATCAGGGGTTTCCGCTTTTGCTTTCTCCTCTTTTTTTCTTGCTGTCACCATGTAAGAAGTGCCTTTTGCCTCCCACCATGATTCTGAGGCCTTGCCAGCCATGTGAAACTGCAAGTCCAATTAAACTTCTTTCTTCGCAGTCTCAGGTATGTCTTTAACAGCATCATGAGAAAGGACTAATACACTATTCATCTACATGGGGTATTTCAGTGTTTTCTGTTTTTTAAAATTTTGACAAGATTGGGTTTAGGATGCTTCTTTGACATGACTGTGACCCTGCATGTTGGTTTGCCAGAGCCCGTGTTACGTGATTGTGGAAGAAAAGCTCTTAATTTCATGTAGCAAGAACAAGAATTGACTTAATATTCGCTACTCAGAAAAATAAATGCATCAAATAACATCCATCCAACTGTGTATATGGAAGATGTCCGGAAAAACCATAAAACAATAAAATTATCTTTGTCCTTGTGACCAAGATGGAAAGAATAAGACGGATTTTTACCCAAATCAGACAGGTTATATAGCGTTACTTCGGTCCAAGTATGTTTTTTCAGCATGATCATTTTTCAGTGTTGCATAATCATTTTTAAAGCAGCATTTACTCTGAATAAATTTGAAGACCTCATCATTTTAATCCATTTTATATATGTTGATAATATGAGTGAGAGTTGTCTATGATCAGGAGAAAGATTTGGTGGATAAGAAAATCATGTGGCATGTTTAGAAGTTGGAGAGGAGAAATGAAGATTTTGTGACCTGAGGTCTGTTTTTAATCTATTTCTGAGTCACCTGCAATTTTGATGATCTTTTGGATTTTCCCCAAATTCATCAAGTGAACTCACTTTTTAATTATTGTTACCGACTGACCTAGTGCATTCAGAATATGGTTTTTGTATTTATTTCTGCTTTTCCTTTTGTGTCCTTTTTCTTCATAGATCTAATAACTCACTGATTCCTGTGATACTGTACTGTATGGATGCCTCCCTTTTCACTGTATTATCTAGAAATGAAATACAGTCCATAGCAGGATGCTTAAAGAGGAGTTTGCCAGGTAGGGTTACTTATGTCTTAGAATCATGTTCTAAGTCACATAACTGAGAAAATGACTTCTGGACACCCCAGGCAAACTTGAGATACTCAAAAATATGAGGCATAAACAGATCCAAAAAAAGACTGTACTCAGGCCGGGTGGTGGCTCATGATGGTCATGGTGGCTCACACCTGCAATCCCAGCACTTTGGGAGGCCAAGCAGGCAGATGACCTGAGGTCAGGAGTTTGAGAACAGCCTGACCAACCTGGAGAAATCTTGTTTCTACTAAAAATACAAAATTAGCCATGCATGGTGGCACATGCTGGTAATCCCAGCTACTCAGATGCTGAGGCAGGAGAGTTGCTTGAATCTAGGAGGCAGAGGTTGTGGTAAGCTGAGATCACTCCATTGCATTCCAGCCTCAGTAATGAGCAAAATCCATCTCAAAATATGAAAAAAAAGAGACTGTCCTTCTCACTGATTTGATGTTCGTATCAACTGAAAACCAAAAAGCTGTGAGGCAACGCTCAAATGAAAATGAAGACAAGGCACAACATAAAACATAAAAGATAAATCAAGACAAAGTTCATCAGGAAACTCCAAATAATTTGATACTCCAGATGGCTCATATTGAGTAGTTTAAGTGCTTGGATTGTGAACTTAGGTCAAAATTTGTTGATGGCTAAGCCAAAGAAATATAAACACACACTCATACACACACATACACATACATAAAGGGTGTGTGTGTGTGTGTGTGTGTGTGTGTGTGTATGCTTTACCATTAACTCACAAGGGTTGAGACATGACTTGACCTTGTGCAGCGGCTCACGCTGGTAATCCTAGCAGTTTGGGAGGCAGAGGTGGGGGGATTACCTGAGCTCAGAAGTTCAAGACCAGCCTGGGCAACATGATTAAATCCTGTCTCTACTAAAATACAAAAAATTCGCCGAGAGTGGTGGCACATACCTGTAATCCCAGCTACTGAGGAGGCTAAGGAAGGATGTAGGGAAAAGAAAGAGAGATCAGACTGTTACTGTGTCTATGTAGAAAGGAAAGACATAAGAGACTCCGTTTTGAAAAAGACCTGTACTTTAAACAGTTGCTTTGCTGAGATGTTGTTAATTTGTAGCTTTGCCCCAGACACTTTTAGCCAACCACTTTGACCCAACCTGGAGCTCACAAAAACATGTGTTGTATGAAATCAAGGTTTAAGGGATCTAGGGCTGTGCAGGATGTGCCTTGTTAACAAAATGTTTACAAGCAGTATACTTGGCAAAAGTCATAACCATTCTCTAGTCTCAATAAACCAGGGGCACAGTGCACTGCAGAAAGCTGCAGGGACCTCTGCCCTTGAAAGTGGGGTATTGTCCAAGGTTTCTCCCCATGTGATAGTCTGAAATATGGCCTCATGGGATGAAAAAGACCTGTCCCCTAGCCTGACACCCATAAAGGGTCTGTGCTGAGGTGGATTAGTAAAAGAGGAAAGCCTCTTGCAATTGAGATAGAGGAAGGCCACTGTCTGCTGCCTGCCCCTGGGAACTGAATGACTTAGTCTAAAAACCAATTGTACATTTGTTCAATTCTGAGATGAGAGAAAAACCGCCCTATGGTGGGAGGCAAGACATGTTTACAGCAATGCTGCCTTGTTATTCTTTACTCCACTGAGATGTTTGGGTGGAGAGAAACATAAATCTGGCTTACATGCATGTCCAGTCATAGTACCTTCCCTTGAACTTAATTATGACATAGATTCTATTGCTCAAGTGTTTGTTGCTGACCTTCTCCTTATTATCACACCACCCTCCTACTACATTCCTTTTTGCTGAAATAATGACAATAATCAATAAAACCTGAGGGAACTCAGACAACGGTACCAGTGCAGGTCCTTGGTATGCTCAGTGCTGGTCCCCTGGGCCCACTGTTGTTTCTCTAAACTTTGTCTCTGTGTCTTATTTTTCTTTCTCAGTCTCTTTTCCCACCCAACTAGAAATACTCACAGGTGTGGAGGGACAGGCCACCCCTTCAAATGAGAATAACTTGATCTCAAAGACAGGGCTTGCATGAACCACAATCATGCCACTACACTCCAGCATGGGTGATGGAGCAAAACTCTGTTCAGAAACAACAAAACAACAACAACAACAATGACAACAACAAAACATGACTCTTAACGTGTGTAATACTCTCTTCATGATTTACCTGCAAATATATACTTTTTGCTAATAGGAGAAACCATACACATTTATTCCTAGGGATGAATCTCTTCCTTCCCCTGATCCCCTGCTACTTTTCAAATTAAAATTCAAAGAATGTTTTATTGTGTAGACTTTTATGAGAGACAGTAGATGCAATGTGCAATAATTCATTTGCAAAATTATAAAAATACTATCCAAATCAATATCTATCTAATATGTTATCTAGGGAAGACCAGGATATAACATTGAATTCCTTCTCAATTAGTGTATTCATGAAGGCCCAAGAAGTGTGTATCTGCAATGCCCTGATAAACTGTTGACTTCAAAAAGACTGCACACAATTTGCTTTCAAGCATCAACAATCTGAAGTAAAACACTTGGCCTTTTTCAGAGTCTCCAGATATTTCTATCATTCCAAGAACCATATTTCCTTTGTAACAATAGTCCTGAATCTTCCTTCTGTTTTTGAACCTTTCCCTATCTGGTACTTGGGAAAACCATTTGCCAGGGAAGAAGGAGAATGACAGAATAGATATTGAGTGCCTCTTTCTGTTTTCATATCTCCTATTGAGAGGCTCAATATAAAGAGTTAGAAGGGTGACTCATTCCTGACAACTGCATATAATTGCAGGAGGGCATTCCTTCCTTCCTCTGAGGCTACCTTTCCTTATTCTATTTGATAGTCTCTATCAGTGCTAGAGGATTAATGATAGTTACCCAAAAGCTTCCCCTGTCTCTGAACACAGAAGATAATTACTATATTATCATCATCATCATATAAAAGAGTTTCTGGTACCATCAGCAACACAGCAATACATCCTTGTCCTTTCCTGATACACTGAAAGAATCAAAAGGAAAAGATTCATACCTCACACTCCATTTCAGCATGGCCACTGGAGCCCACATAGCATTAACCTCAAGAAAGTGACAGAAATGTCCTTACGCAAAGCACATCTCACTCAGCAAACTGCCTTCTGGGAAGAATCAATAACAATAAAAAAGTCTAAATTGCTACAAACCTATGCCCCAAAAGCGTTGCACATTTGCCACCAACAATTATTGAATACTTACAATTCTTGGTAAAGAATACAGTTCTCACACAAGGCTAATGGTGTATAATTGAGTCGGTACGAGCCAATAATTATCCTTTTTTTATAACCCTTTTGAGGATAATTTTGGCTTTAGTTACTTATGAATGCAAAATAACTCACATCTGTTTGCAGAAAAGTCCTTTTAAGGTAGTTGTGATCTTCCTATGTTGTTTCCTTAAAAATAGCAAGTTACACCAAAACTTGTCCTCTAGGTGGGATAGGATGGGTTTGTTTTCCTTTGCTTCCACCCATTACCCTTTCTTGCAACTGGTCTTTAATAGAGGAAAGTAAGATGTGTCACAAATATGCTCTGAAAACACTCAATACAGTAATAATCATTTTCTATGTATTTTACTCAAAGTAATCTGATGTGCCTAAATATCTTTTAAAGACTCAGATTCTGATTCTACTCCTTTCTCTTCAGTGCATACCTATGACCAAAGGGAGGAGAGGAACAAGGGGCCATGCTAGACTGTAGAAGGGCTTCATTTGGCCAGCCTGGGCCCCATGTTTACTGTGTCCTCTATCTTGTCTTTTTCCTCCTCTTCTTTCATTTTCTCTCCCTTTTCTTCCCTTTCACTCTCTTTCCCTCCCTTTCCCTCCCATCCCCCTCCCCTCCCCTTCCATCCTCCTCCCCTCCCCTTCCTTACTCCTGCCATTCCCATCCCCTCCCTCCCTCTCCACTTCCCTCTCCTCTGCTCCTCTCTGCCTCACCTCTCCTCCCTCCTTCCATCCCTCCCTCCTTCCCTCTCTCCTTCCTTCCCTCTGTCCTTCCCTTCCTTTCCTTCTTTCTCCTTCTTTCTTCTCTTCCTCTTATTCTTTTCTTCTTCTTCTCCTCGCCCTTCTCCTCCTCCTTCTCCTTCCCATTTTCCTTCTCTTTTCCCTTCTCCTTTTCCTTGTCTTTTCTCTTCTCCCTCTCCTCCTCACTCTTTCTCTTCCTTCTCTCCCCCTCCTCCTTTTCCCTCCTTCCCTGCTCTGTATCCTCCTTCTCCTTCTTCTCTTCCTGTTCCTTCTCCTCCTTTTCTTCCCTCTTATTCTCCTTCTTGCAATGGGCAAGCACTCCCCAGTTGCAGGCATCTCTGGTTCCCCACTGTTCACACAGCCTGAATCATGCCTGTGTGATAGCTGCCTGACTCCTGCAGGCATTTGAGTTTCCATCTCTGACTTAAATGATCATATGTGACACTTGTAAGATACAACTAAGAGGAGAAAGAAAAAATAATGTTGGTGATATGGGAGCAACTGAGATGTGAAACTAGGTACAACACTTACATATATTTACTAAAGATATCATAGTGTACTCTCACTGTTTTTTTATGTACCTTCTGTTTTGTTATGTGTACTCTCTCTGTTTTACACTATACTTTGAAATTCACGTGCTATCTTTTTTAAAGTCTCATGATGATGACATGAGTTATGTATTAACCCAACCCACGGAGGAAAAAAAATGAACACATACACACACACAAAAATAAAATAAAACCAGAATGAAATAACATCATGTATTCAAGTTGACATGTAAATTCTGTAAGGAGTAGATTCAGGATTGCAGCATGCTTGAAAATGGGAACCGTACATGTTTTTCCTCTCTGAAGCACACTCCTAAATATAATTTTGACATCACCCAAAACGCATCAGCTGAAAAAAATGGTATAGGTATGTGATCAATGTTGAAAGATTATAAAGAAAATAAAGACAAATACAGATTTTCTTTCAAAATATCAACATACTGGTTGTAGGCTCTTTTGGTCAAACTTGAAAGGAATAAAATTAAATAAATAATATAAATATAGTGAAAATGAATATGTGTGTGTGTTTATACACACACATACACATACCATGCATGCATACATGGATAGGGAGTCATTTTGACTCAGGAAAAAAAAAAACTAAACTAAATGTTTAAGGAATATGTCATTAATCTTATCATACACTCTCTAGCTGGAGGAATCCATGCCTTTCCCCAAATTTGTGTCAGTATCTCAGGTGATACCAATAATCAAACTCCATGCTTTCTACTGATGACAACCAAAAATGTCTCCAAACATTACCAAATGTCTCCTGAAGGCACAACCACCCCAGGTGTGTACCACTTCCTAGCTCCATCACATTCTATCACAATGTCCCCTTGAAACTCTTCCATATTTCCTACCAGTGTATTAAGAGCTCTGCAACCAATCTTCATCTAATTGCCAAAATGAAAAACTCACCAATTACTGTCAACTATTCCTTATGAGTAGTAACAGATTTAAAGTTTTTTCTGTTCCCATCACACCATTTCCAAGTCTTTGTAGAAGAAATCAGATATTATTATTGTCTAAATTCATTAACTTTGTATGCATCTTAGAATCATCCAAGGATTTGTTTAAAACTCCAAACTCCAGGTGACACCCCAGAAAATTAAATCAGAATATCAGGGGTTGAGGACACAGAGGCACTGTCTTTGAAGCTCCTCAGTTGACTCCAAAGCATGAAAACATTTGTAAACTGCTGGTCTAGATTTTTGGCCAAATTCAAGGATGAGCCATGACATTGGAAATGGGATGCCTATGTTGCATCCTGTACAAAATTTCCACATCATCTTGGGTATATGACTTCATTCAACTCTGTTTTTCTCTATAATTTTGGGCTATAAGGCTTACCTCATGTGACAACCATGAGACTTAAAAAGATGACATGAATTTCAAAATATAGTGAATGGAATCTATAACAATACAGTTGTTTCTACAATAACTATAATTTTTACTATTAATTATTCCTTTTCAATAATTATATTGAGCTCATTCTTTCCATTACAATGATGTTTTCAACAATTTCAGTCTAGAAAGCTGACTAAATAATTCAATCTAGGGATTATAAGTAGGATCATTATTTTAATCTATATGTTGGTAAACTGGAATATATATTCAAGTAATTATTTTTCAGAAGAGCTATTTATGTGGTATACTTTGTAAATCATAGCCTACCTGAGTGCACCTTTCTATTGCCATTATGCTTGAAGGAAATCTTTTTTTCAGGGAGTTGAATTGAATTATTGGCCTTGGAATCCTAACCTGTCAACACTCTGTAGATGTTACTTGATCTTTCATTGTTTGATATTACAGAGAAGCTTGGAGTCAGCCCAGGAATACTTCCATACCATGTCACATACTTTGTTTGCCATGGTGATTATAGATGTCATTTTACTTTTATTTAAACTGTGATGATATATCACATTTTGGTTTGGATCTACTTTTATTAAATTTTCCTCAAACCCAAGTGAACTCCATCAATCTGCAACTGTGTTTTTTTTTTTTTTTTTTTTTTTTTTTTATCTTAGAAGGGTTTTCTTGTGTTACAACGTTGACTATTATTTCTGGTCCATTTGCTTTCAAATCATCTTCAAGAACACTAATTTTAAGTTTCTTCTTTTCTTTGTCATTTGTATTTTTAATTTCTTTTTAAATTTATTCTATATGTCATTTTCTTTTCATTCTCGGAATGTATCCCATGTTGTACATGCCAGAAAATTGATTATTTTTGAGTTTCAGTTCCATTCTTTACCAATTCCAAAGCAAATTTAAATTTGATCATTGAGCTTTAAATTTTTTTAAGTCATATCCATATTCATTTTATTCTGTTCTTTTCTAATACTGCATGCTTGTTGTTGTATTTGCAATAGTGGGAGAATAAAATAAATCTCAATATTCTGGAATCCAAATATTTACATTACAATTATAAAAATAACCCCAAATCCTTACAAGCCTTATTATGTGCCAGGAATATCTAGAACATTTTCTAAAATGATTCTTTAGGAAAAGCAGCTCTTACCCTTCAAATATTTCTCTTTTTCAAAGTTAAGGTACAGGCACGTCTAGAGATTTCTGTATCTTACATGTACTTCTCTGAAAAGCAATCTCTTTTTGTAACCATTTACACTTCTATAGATAACCCATACCAAATTAGAAAAAAAAAAAGAAGGCCTATATTTATCCCTGCAGTGAAATAGTTTTGTGTTGCATACCAGATTAACCCATGCTGTGAAGAACAGAGACAGTGAAGCACTAAGTTAGAGAGCAAATCTCACCTAAAGTCTGAGAAAGAAAACGTTTTTCTTCAAGTGCAAGTCCACACTCCCATTTGTGAAGCTTTTGTCTCTTTTCCTTCCTGTGATCTGTCTCTATGGCATTCTTTCCTGTTATAAAATCAACTATTTTCCAACAAAGTGTAGGGCCTTGTGACGTGGCCAAGTGACTTTTAGACAGAAAGCAGCTGTAAGACAATGGGCTGTTGGGCAAGCTTGTTAATGCATAGCTTTGCTTCTTCTCAAACCTTAGGCTTGTGCTTAAAAACTACCAATTCAGTGACATTAATTTCATGATGATGGCTTCACAGGCACTGTGTTAAGTGCTCACATTGCCTGAATTCTTTCCATCTGTATGACAACCACATGAGGTAAGTGCTCATAATACCTCCATCTACAGATGAAAAAATAGAAGTACAAGGAAGTTAGGTAATTTTTCAGATATACAATGGAAAATGATTTTATAACAGGAAAGAATGGAAAAGACCCAGTGGAAAAGATTCCATAAACTTATCCACATGAAGGGTTATATTGGGTGTATTGATCAAACAGCAATTACTGATTGAATGCTTACCATATGTAAGGAAGTCACAGGTTTTGGAAAGTATTAAGCAATCTCTGCGAGCAGCTTACAGATTAAGAATAAGGCTTTCCTGAAGAAGGATGGAGCCTCCTCACTGAAGAACATGGTTTTGCATGTCACCCCAGGTAACGGTAATGTGATTATCTAAGTGAGTATAAAGACTGAAAAAGTTATATAGTGAATGGAGTGAATCACAGGGGACACATACTAGAGGCAAAAACCCTGAGTCCCAGGAATAAGACTCTTTCAGGGAAAAAGATAATTTCCATTTTATGGTTGCCTTCTTGCACCTGTCATTGGGTTGGATACTCTGCAAACATTGTTTTGCTTCATTATCTGAATATGTTTATGCAGACATAAGAAGGGAGGAAGCATGTAGAGTCCAGTCCAGACTTGGCTTTGACACCCCACTTGTATATCTGAAAAATTACCTAACTTCCCTGTATCTGCACTTCTTTACCTGTAGATGGAGAAATGAGCACCTACATCATAAGCTTGTCATAGAGATGGAAATAATTCATGCAGTGTGAGCATTTAACACAGTGCCTGTGAAGCCATCACCATGAAATTAATGCAACTTAACTGGTAGTTTTTAAGCAAAAGCCTAAGCTTTGAGCAGAAGCAAAGCTAAGCATTAACCAGCTTTCCCAACAGCCCACTTCCTTATAGCTGCTTACTGTCAAAAAGTCAAATGGCCACTGTAACGAAGTCCTAACTTTCCTTAATTGTTTCTGTAGATAACATCTTAAGGTTAAGAAACTTCAAGTTCTTCATTGGAGATACTTTCCAGATTCTTCTTTCCAGTGGGTCCAGTGATGCCAGCCTGTCTGAAGATCCCCTCCAAGGAACTGACTCAATGCAAAAATGCAGTTTCTACATCCTTATAATTTCATGTCTAATTCTCTAATCACACCTCATTGGCAATTACAAGCTCCTCAACCCTCTACCCACCAATTTTTTCTTAAAAACACAAAAAGTCCAAAACTCCTCATGGAGGTGAATTTGAGGTTCCCTCCTAACTCCTCACCTAGTTGCCCAGTGATGATTAAACTCTTTCTCTATGGCAATTCCTGCTGTTTTGGTGCATTGTTCTGTTGCCATGCAATGGGTAATCAAACCTCATTTTTCTACAAGGCCTGGAAGTCAGAAAGGATCATGGATGTTTGTCAAATAAAGCTAGTCCTCCTGCATAAATAAGAAAACTTCATCTTGAAGGAGTCAAAGTAAAATGAAATACATAGAAGAATCAGAAAAGTTCTGGATTCTGACTTAAGGGTTGGAAACAGGAAAAAAGTTTGCAGAGAAAAGAAATAGCTAGGCTTAGGGAACAGTCATCTGCAGTCACTCGAACAGTCATCTGGCTAATATTTCTTTCAATAAGTGCAATTTTTCCTCCACTGTCTCTTTCTTTTGTGCTACACTTGAAAACTCCTGGAAAAGTCTGGCTTTCACTTGAATCACTGAAGAGGAAGTAGTATAATGAATTACATGTCAATTAAACACAGTCCACATTCCATAACCTTTAACACACTTCACAACATGGTTTACATTTGGAAACCACAAGATTTAGCAAGGATGATAAGGCAGATCATGTGTTTCTAACCTCTCACAAGAAATACAGTTTAGTTTTGCTTCCTTTAAGAAAATTAGTATGCTTATACTGGTCACACTAAGGCACCATATGGGGCCACAGGTGCTAATGAAACCGTCTTGACTTCTCCTGGTCATTAGATGCACAAGAATAAAATCACCTTGTGACAAAGGCTAAAAAACCAGACAATGAAAAGTGACACATTCTTTTCAAGTTCCTCTGCCATAGGTGTTTCAAATACTCAAACAAACCACTGATTCCTCTAAATATATATATATTTTTTGAGATGGAATTTTACTCTTGTTGCACAGGTTGGAGTGCAATGGCTCAGTCTCAGCCCACTACAACCTCTGCCTCCTGGGTTCAAGCAATTCTCCTGTCTCAGCCTCCCAAGTAGCTGAGATTACAGGCACCTACCACCATGCCTGGCTAAATTTTGTATTTTTAGTAGAGATGGGGTTTCACCATATTGACCAGGGTGGCTTTGAACTGCTGATCTCAGGTGATCCACTCACCTTAGCCTCCCAAAATGCTGGGATTACAGGTGTGAGCCACCACACACACCCCTCACATTTTCATAAGATTTTGAACCAAAATAAGCAACCAATTGACTAGCCTAAAAAAGATCTTATATAATGAGAACTGCTTGTTCTCCTTGGATCTCCCATGAAAGCATGGGCATTATCAAGCCTTCCCTGACATATATGAACAAGGTAAGTCAATGTCCCCCTCCCAGATTCAAGATAATCTGGAATCAATACCGTGTTGCAAAGAATATAGCTATGGCTCTGACTCTATATTTTATGCACAGAGGAGCTTGGAGACATTACATTGTTTTAAACTGGAACATGTACCTTCTTTTCATGGTATTTCAAAGTCTTCCACTGACACTAGCATCAAAGTCTGAATGTCATGAATTGCCCATTTAGATAGACAATTATCACTCTAAGAAAGGAAAACACTGAAGACACTCACGCACAGGGACCCAGCTCATCTAAGCAGGGAGACATCCTTGCTTCTCTTATCCATACGGATTGGTGCCTTCTGCTTGTTCTTCTACATTCTGGAGTTACAATTCCCTTACAGGAAGATTTTCTACTGAAGGAATGCTTTGAGGATGAAGGAAGTGAGAGACTGATCATTGAGAGTCTGAGGTATGGTCTAGCTCCCATTTTCTTTGCTATTTAAGGATTGTAACATTCTGTGCTAGAGGTGTGCATTGCTGTATAGAGTGGCATATACCACTGGATTAGTAAGAGTAAGAAGAAACTTCTAACCTTATGTCAGGGCCATGATGCTAGAATAGGCACCCTTTATTTATTCTAGAAATGGACATTGCTATGAATTTCAAATCAAAACAGAAACATTTTTTAGGCAGTTCCATCCTTTATATAACTGTGAATAAGTAAAACACTGGTTAATGTTTTCTTTCTTCTGATGAATTTTCTTATCTGTTATGTTGGTACAAAGGTACTTGTGATTTTTGCCATTACTTTCAATGGCAAAAACTGCAATTACTGTTACACCAACCTAAAATATATGATGCTTCAAAGAAAGTGGCATGTGACAATAATACTTATTCGAAGGACTAAGAGAGGTAACTGGATTAGGAATTGTACATGTCATTCTACAAGAGTACTCTTGATTAAGCCAAAATTCAGTAGCATCTCTTCAACTCCAAGTTTAAAGGAATCTGGACTGAAAGATAATATCAGAGGACCATCAATGAATGGACGTCCCAAAAGTTGGGCATGAGCTAATGGCATTTAGGGCTAACTCCCATCTCCAAGCCTTTGGAACATTAGAATCCTTCTTACTGGCAACCTCATACAGCTTTTTGGTGCCAAAGCATTTGGACATTCTCCACTCTAAGTTATTTTGACTGAGTGACTCTGTCCAAGTCATGAAAAGGGGATGGGTGCATTTGCATCTCTGGAAGAAAAGGATCATATTTTTTCCATTTTACTTCTTGTGTATCATGAATTATAAATCTGTGTATTATTCAGCAGGCTAACAGCTAAAAGAAGCTCTCAAAATGCAGGATAGGCATGAATTTCACCAAGAAAGACCTGTGTGATATACATATTGTAAAATGCATTTCATCCTTGTCTCTTGTAACTGCACACATTCAATGAACCTACTTTTACATTTGAGAAGAGAGTATGCTGGCAAAATGGTGAAAAAGAAATCACTGTTTTTGATTCCCCATGAACCTACTTCATCCCTTTCCATTGTTCCTCAATAGCCTCTCTATGACCCAGTTGTTTTATTTGTTAAGTGAATGTGTGACGTGGCATTTCTGTGAAAAATAAGAACTTGATATCTCTAAGCACTTTAACCTTAACAGTAGAGCACTTAGTACTACAGTCCTAAGGCTGTCATATTCAGTTCAAGAGCAAATATACAGGGAAAAATAATAGAATAAGACAAATCTGGGTGAGGGGCATGGTGCAATGAAGTGGCCTGAACTGCTGCTCCTTAACACCACTCAGATGCTCTGTGGACAGACATACCATGTGCTGCTGCTGGGAAACAGATAACCATGCCAGTCACTGGAAGAGAAGGTCACAGAAAGAAATTGCTCCTAGACATCATGGAATCAATTATAAAACAAAAATAGCTATATCAGTGAAGGCCTTTTAAATCCAATATGAAAAGAAGGGCTTTCTTTGTCCTTCCCTGTGTCTGCCTGAATTATCAGGGATAGCTGCTAGTTACATACTTCTTGTCTGAAAACAGCATTAAGAACTGGAGAAAAGTCCCCATAGATTTTCTTCCTAGTAAAGGAATATTTTATTATTATAGGAAATCACCTTCTAATTCTGTTTATGTAGATAATGTCCTTTTAAGGGAAAAGGAGTATTGAATATTTGATGCCATTTACATTTCTCCTGCAACTTCTTCTGTTGATCAAAAGCCATTGTAGAAACAGGTAAAATACATTGGTACACAGACAAGTACCATAAAACATTAAGGAAGATGGTGAACTTCCAAAAGGACTAGAAGTAGACATATTCAACAGGAAACAGAGACTGCTGTTTGCAGGGTAAGAAGATAATTGGACAAGGAAATCATAAAACTGGAATCCAGACTCAACTCTTTTATAATCTAGATTTATGTCCTTTGATAACAGGTCTAACCTTCCTGGGACTGAATTTGTTTTTTTTTCTTACGTGAAAGGTCAGGTGACTTATGCTACCCAGAGAATAATATCAATCAATCAAAGAAGAATGTGGAAAAACCAAGATCTCCTGTTTAAGGTCTTCCAGTTACCCACTGCAACAGATTATCATGAGCCTGTTCAGGCACAAGATCTCAGGACTTCAGTTATTAGTTATTCTTTTAAGAATAGTGTTAAATAGGTCAGGTATGGTAGTTCATACCTGTAATCTCAGCATTTTGGGAGGCCAAAACAGGTGGACCACTGCATTCTAGTCTGGGTGACACAGCAAGACTTCATATCAAAAGAAAAAAAAATGTTAAATAGCACTTGATTAATAAATGAGGTGCATAGGAAATGCCAAAAAGTATCAAGGAATATTGGGGATTTTTCTGCTCAAAATTACTTAGAAGGAATAGTGACTCAGGTTAACATATCTTTCATGGGTCTGAAAGCTAGGGCCCATGAAATACATCTTCTCTGCCACCTGTTTTTGCAGATACAGTTATATTGGGACAAAGCTACACCATCCTGCATTTACACAATATCTTATCCCTGCTTTCATCCTACAGTACAATGAAGGTAGAGTTGAGTAGTGGTGATAGAGACCATCTGGCCTCAAAGCTGAAAATATTTATTATCTGTCTTTTGCAGATAAAAGATTGCCATCTCCTGCTTTTGACTTAGAGGAGGTTATAAGGCCACCTTATGAGAGATGAAATTGGAAAAGTGTGACATAGGTCGTAGGTGACATCTGGTTCCTTATGATAGTTTTTGTTGTACTTAATGCATGGTCTAAACACTTAAGGTAAATGCCAAAGGAAAGTTCCCTTATTTTAGAAATAGCCAGAGAGAAGTGGTGTTACTCATGCATCTCCCCAGTGAATTTGCAATCTTTAGATCTGCACCACCTGGGGGCTTGTTAGAAAGTCATACTGTCAGGCCCTGCTACAGCCCTACTGAACCAGAGTCTGCATTTAACTGGCTCCCTGGAGGATTTATGCCCACATTTATTTTAAGTAGCACAGTCCTAGACATTAGAGGAAGTCAGTTTTTACAGACACAACAGAAACTGGGTGCTTTTGTTTTTTAACTGGATTCCTGGGGGATTTATATCCATATTTAGTTAAGTAGCACAGCCCTAGACATTACAGGAAGTCAGTTTTTACAGACACAACAAAATCTGGGTGCTTTTGCTTTTAACTGGATTCCTGGGGGATTTATATCCACATTTAGTTTAAGTAGCACAGCCCTAGACATTACAGGAAGTCAGTTTTTACAGACACAACAGAATCTGTGTGTTTTTGCCAAATTTTTGCAGCTATGGACTACAGAGTTGACATACAAATCTGCTGTTAAAAGCATTTTAGGCAGAGGGAACTATAAATTCAGAATATTGTACATTTACAATTTCATGACACTTACATTTTCAATAAAGTATAAGTTTTAGTTGCTTAAAATTTAGCATGTTTATGATATTTGAAAACCACATCCCACAACCATCTTCCCTCTAGAATTCGGTTTACCTGAAAAAATAATTGCAATCTTTTTCATTTGGTCTCAGTGGATGGCTCATGAAATTTACCAGTGTTTAACAGTATCTGAAATCCCCATTATTTTCTGCCCAACTGTTTCCCCTTTATTCCTCTATTCTTGCTGAGGAACTGTCCTTGTTAATTTGTTCATTAAGGATATATGGGTGGTGAATTCCTAGTCTTTCTATATCTTAAAGTGGTTTCCATAGCTTCATCTTGGTCTGAAGTTAGCTGGGTATTGGATTTTCAATTGATGATTATTTTTCTGCCCTTAGACTATTTCTCCAAGACCATTTTACTTCTCCTGATATTTATGTGAATCTACTAACAGACTAACAGTCTTTCTCTTGCAATCTGCTCTTTTTTAAATATCTTGGGGAGATACTTCACTTTGTGTTCATTCTTAATATTCTTTAGTTTTATATCAATCTATAAATTTACTGATTATCTTATTTGGTACTCAAGTGATGTATTTCAATGTGAGAGCTCATATGTTTCTTTAAGAATATTTCCATCCATTTTCTTTCCAACCGTTGTTGCCTTGGTTGGTCCTTTTTCTAACCCATGTCCATAAACATATCTCCTAATGACTCTTTATGTATTCATATTAATTTTTCTTTCTTTGCACTTCCTCTATACTATTTTTCAGCGTTCTCATTGATTGTAGAGTCTACACTTTACAGTATTATATTTTATCTCCATTACCCTGCTGGTCTGTTCTCATGCTGCTAATAAAGACATACCCGAGACTGGGTAATTTATAAAGGAAAGGTGTTTAATGGACTCACAGTTCCACATGGTGGGGGAGGCTTCACAATCATGGTGGAAGATGAAGAGCAAAGGGACGTCTTTCATTGTGGGAAGCAAGAGAGTGTGTGCAGGGGAACTCCCATTTATAAAACCATCATACCTCATGAGACTTATTCACTACCATGAGCACACCATGGGAAAAACTTGCCCCCATGATTTAATTACCTCCCACCATGTTCCTCCAGGACATGTGGGGATTATTACAATTCAAGGTGAGATTTGGGTGGGGACATAGAGCCAAATCATATTATTTACTGTATCTTTTTTTGTTTCTGTAGTTGTGATTTTGCAATTTCTATATTCAATTGCTTTTATTTGGTGCCTGCCTGTCTCTGTTTTATGATTTTCTTTGCTCTTTTCATGATTGCTGTTTCTTCTTGCATGCATCTTCCTTTGCTTCTTCCTTGTGGTCTCCAGAAGCATTAGAGGTCCTATTCCCTGGAGGAATTATAGGTCCTGTGCTGAAGGTGACTACTCCTCTAGAGAATGCTTGCTCCATTCAAAGGAATTTTGCTTACTGTCTATTTTAAAATCTAAAATTGTGGTTAATTTGGAAGACTGCATTTTCCACTTCTTGATTCTTTTGGCATGTGTTTCGGGATTTTGACCTTCAGGTGAGTAAAAGGCATCTCTCTAACTCTGTCTCTGTCTCTCTTTCTTCTTTGCACACACATATGTCTTCATATGTTAACTTCCTTGTCTCCTTACCCTTCTCTATGGTCTTATCCTCAGTGGTTGGAATTCTCACCCAGAGACATGAGTCACGTTGTCACAAGTTCATTCACCAAATCTGCAGCCTGCTCAGCTCAGTTCTTGGTGGAGATGTTGTGTCAGCTCACTTTCTCCTCCCTAGGATCTCAGTTTTGTAGACATGCCAGCTCTGAGCAATGGTCAGTAGCTATCTTCAAACTCTTTTATTTCTGGAAAGAAAGAGCTCTGTCTCCTGCACTTCTGGGGCAACTTCCATCATTTCCCAAGAATTACACTCTGGTTGTCTCCTGGCTCCTAGGCCTAGAGTGCAGCAGTTCCTCTTACTGTGTTGAGTTCCTGTCTGGTTTCTATTCCTAAGAAGATTATTTCCTCATTTGGGAGTTTGACTATCACTGTTCCATTTTTACATATGATGTTTCATCTCCCGGTCCTATATGTTAAAAACAAATAGGATATGGGATATGATGAGGTTTATCTTCAAATAACCTAATCAATCCTTTATTCTTTAATTCATAGTAACCCCCCAACCCCTTTCTCCTTTTTCTCTTTTTTCTTCCTTTCTTCCTTTGTTACATGCCCAGACACTCCACGGTACCAGGTGTTATCAGTACCAGCTCACATTCCTTTCCTTGTTTGGAAAGAAGACTAGTTGTCTAGCTCATTGCAGACACCTCTTCTCCTTCCCCTCTCTCCTTTATGTGCCCACCTTATTTCAAAACAAGTTCAAATGTTTAGCCAACTAGAATTAGTTTAGAGTGTACTACCCAACCCAGCCAAAGGGGAAAACATACAGGGCAGGACTTGTGTCAGGAATAAAGGCTTTTGTGCCCCTTTGTTCAGGTGTGCTGTCATGGCAACTAGCCAAGGAGAAGCACCCCTCTGCGCAGAAGTAAAATTGCTTTGCTAAGCATCCTTTGTTTGAGTGTTCAATTTCCTTAGGATTTTCAGCATTATTCTCAACAAGGAGACATAAAATATGAGCCTATAATTTCATCTACAATAAGACACAAGAGATGTGAACCCTCTATTAAACAGGCCAGAGGAGTGCACCTGAGAGAGGCAATTTAATCTGGAGCCCAGTGTAAATGTTTGTTATATATGGTTATGTTTGTACATATAATAATAACATGTAAATATAGTTGAAATATTTTGGATACTAGATATTTTATTAAATACTTTACCAGAATCAGATTACTAATCTGGAGCCATTTGTGACTATTTATTTATTTTGAGTCAGAGTCTTGCTCTGTCACCCAGGCTAGAGTTCAGTGGTGAGATCTTGGCTCACTGCAACTTCTGCCTCCCAGGTTCAAATGATTCTTGAGCCTCAGCCTCCCAAGTAGCTGGTATTACAGGCATGCAACACCACATCCAGATAATTTTTGTATTTTTGGTAGAGATGGGGTTTTGACATGTTGGTAAGGCTTGCCTCAAACTCCTGATCTCAAGTGATCTTCCTGTCTCTGCCTCCCACAGTAGTAGGATAACAGGCATAAGCCACCATGCTTGGCCTATTCTTGACCACTTAATCTTCCCATGATGGAGTTCTGATACGTTAAAATTGAGATGAATACATAATAAGGATTACATTTCTTAATGTGCTACCACCTTAGAAGCTTAGCAACAGGACAAGTTGTAAATAAATAAATACATAATAAATGAACTAGATGGAAAATAGATAATTATGTAGCTAAAAATATAACATATTTATCATTAGTGAGTGACTGAAGCCTGCTAGGAAAATGAAAACCTTTTGAAGAACAAAGTTAAATGGTTCTATTAATTACATTCCAAATACTGGAACTATGAAAAAATAAAGCCAGTGAAAATTGCTAGAAGTATTAAACAGCTACTTTTATATCACAGATAAGACTCATCTTTTATATGTGAGACAATATCACCTATTTAAATCTGCAGCTATTTTTGCATTTGTTTTGTCTGTGCAGGTGCCATATTTAAGGCAGATGGGTGATGAAGGGAATAACACCCACTCCAGTGGATTAATTTAAGTGGCTTCACTTCAAAAATAGCCTTACCTTCCTCTAAGTTAAGAAATATTTACTGTTACTCTGCAGATGTCAAATGGAAAAGAAATGATAGGGCTCTTGATTTAAAGAGAGACATCTTTTATATTGTTATAAAGTGTGCTTTACAAATTAAACTTGTACAAACAAGAGTTTGCCTTTATTCTGGGAAAACAGGCATTATTAAGACACAATTTTCCTTGCCAAATTTACAGTTTCAGCATAAACTTAGGAGTTAAGAATAGACGAATATGATTCATATAACCAAAACAAATGGAAAACAGGATAAATCATTTAACTTATTAAGAGAAATCTATTTAAGTTGCTGAAAAGACCACAAATCCTTCTTTTGTAGAGATTCTATTATTTTTCAGTCTATTTATTTTACATAGTGGCCCCAAGTACAATTTTTAGATAAATGTGAGTTATGGGTAGACCTGTTTTTCTGCTTTAAGTATTATATTACACCAGATGGATAAAGCTTAGCAGTTTTATTACACTGCAACTTTAAAAAACTGCATTTTAAAAAAGCCAATGTATACACAAATATTTCATGGCACCAACATATTTTTAAATTCAGATCTATATATCTGGGAAAGCAAACCTTAATTCAGCCTTCCAGACTTTCACCTTGGGGGAGGGGGAGCAGTGTGGTAGGGGAGAAAGAGAACATTATTCATTTATTTATTGAGACAGGGTCTTCCTCTGTCACCCAGGCTGGAGTGCAGTGGCACGATCACAGCCCCCTGTAGCCTCTAACTCCTGGGCTCAAACAATCCTCTCACATCAGCCACTCAACTAGCTGGAACCACAGTCATGTGCCCCCAAACATGACTAATGCTTATTTATTTATTTTTTTTTTGACAGAGATAGGGTCACTCTATGTTGCCCAGTGTTGTATGGAACTCTTGGGCTCAAGGGATCCTCCCATCTCAGCCTCCCATAATGCTGGGATTATGGCTTGAGCCACTGGTTCCAGCTGGTTTTAAAACAAAATGTTTCAGTAAAAACATCCTATGGCAAGAGGTTTTCAAACCTGGCCATGGAAGTTTTATTGCTTCTACTGAAAATGATAAGGTGATGTGACACTTCACTGCTGCCATCCTGTAGCTTATATCAATAAGGGCAACTCAGCAACTCACTCTCCTAGGCAGAATAAAATGCATCATAGAAGCTAAGAAAAAAGTTGTGATACCTCTAAATACGAAAGAATCCTTCCAGAAAGAGTGGGACATGAGGATGGGGTGCTATGCAGTGGGTGATATGAGGGAGATGGCCTTGAAACCAGACCTTGAAAGAGGAATACATATGGCCTGAAATTACACTAAAAATTAAACGAATGTTTATGCTACATGCTTTTATTTGAATAACTAATTTGAAAATATTAGTCAATAATAAATTAAGTAATTAATTATTAATTATTAATTATAAGGTTAGGTTTAGAAATTTAATTGGTAGAATGACCATTCCACAAATTGAGCTTTATTTCAAGTACCTACTACAATTCTCACATTTTAGAGCACTTAATCTGTGCAAAGCAAAATACCTTAACCAGAAAGAATGTAATAAACTGTTGAACCAATAAGTAAGAAAGATGTTTTTTGTATTTTGTGAAATTTTATAAGAAGAAATAAATGCTCTGAGAAATAAATGAGCTGAAGAGTTAGAGAGTAATTTGCATGGTGTCTACTTTAAATAAGTTACCAAAAAATGAGAAGATACTCAGAGACATCCATGGTGATACTGAGGATATGTTTATTTCAGAAACATGTGAAGATTAGTGGGATTTATGCTTTGGACTAAAAATGGATAAGAAATAAACAAACCATTAGACAAAATATATGAAACAATTGCTTTCAGATGTTACACAATGATCAAGACAGAAACGGGATCTCGTGTGTATGAGTCTGACAGTTGTCCTTTGATCCTGGAGAAACGTTCTAGGCTGTAAAAACAGAGGAAGGCAATCACCGAGTTGACAAAACAGAAATCAAAGTTTAGGGATGCTGAGGTGGCAAGAGTTGCAGGACACAGTTCCAGAAAACAAAAAACTTCATAAAGGAAGACCTCTAAAACTCTGCATAGAGGTTCTTTTATGTGTTTTCTAAAAACAAGGATATATACATAGTTGATGAAATTCTGGCAGTCTGTTCAGAAATCTCCAGGGATCTGTAAGGAGAACAATTACCAGAGCATAAAAAGGGTAATGAAGTGTGAAAGTTTAAGTTGTTGAAAGCATAGAATTAAGAACTACAGCCTTATTATCGACTGCAGTAGGACCAAGTCTTAGTATTAATACTAAACTAAATTTGGGTAATTGTTACTCTAACAATGCCCTGACAAAGCATAAAAACAATCCTCTAAGCCATCCATCTGATCCATAAGTAACTTAAATTTACCTCAGGTGAGAATTTAAACTCCTAAAGGGAGATAACATTTAGACTCTAAAATAAATGACATGCATTATTTCCCACATCCAATTAAAAATTATATAGAAAGGCCAAAAATCAAGGCAATGTGATATGTTTTCCATGATAGAAATAAGAGAATCAGATTCAGAAATTAAAGTGATGGGATTAGCAGAAAAGGATTTTAAAAGAGTTGTTATACTCAAAATGGTCAAGGATTAAAAGAAAACATGATTATAATAAGAAAAATTGGAAGGCTAAGAAAGAACTGCATATATATATGTATATATATACTGGAGATGAAAAATAAAATATATGAAATAAAAATTTATTGCACAGGATTAATTGCAAGATGGAGAAGAAAAGACATGTGAAGTAGAAGACACAGTAATTGAAATTATTAACCTGAGCCATAGAGACAAAAGCATAAAAACAAGGAGAAATTAACTGTGGAAAGATATCATGCAGCCTAATACAAGTTCTATTGTAATTCCAGAAGTAGAAAATAGTGAAATGGGACAGAAAATTATTTGGAAAATAATGATTGACATTTTCCCACATATGAAAATAATTATAAAATTAAGATTGGATAAGGCTAACAAACTCCAAATTGAATAAATGTAATAAAATCACATCAAGACAAATCTTTAGCAAATTGACTAAACGTAGCAATACAGTGAAAAATCTCAAAGTGAGTTAGAAGAAAAAAGCACATTTAATGCAGATGAATAAAGATAACAGTCACTTCAGATAACTTCTCAGAAACCACGCCAGTCAGAAGACAATGGATTAGCATGTTTGAAACAATAAAAGAAAAAAAAACTTGGACTTTTTTATCTAGCACATAAATTATTGTAAAATAAATGTAAATATAAGATTTTTTTTTAGACAAACAAAACCAGAGAAAATTTACCATCAATAGAAATCTTTTACAAAGAATATAAAAATAATTTCTCCACACATAAAAAAATGGCATCAGATTGATACGTAGAATCAAATGAGGGACTGAGGACAAATAGTAATAGTATAACAATATATGTGGGTAAATTTTTAAACCTATTTATTGGTATAAACAGTGTAATAAGTCTAAGTTTTAACTTAACAACTTTTGCAAAAATTGACTCTAACTGTATCATAGACAGTCCTAAACCCCAAAGCTAAAATTGTAAGAAAACTGTGACCTCAAGTTACAGAATAGTTTTTTAAGTTTATTTTGAAAAGCACAAACCATTAAAACTTGACATGGTGAATTTCAAATTCTAAATCTTCTGGTCTTCTAAAGACATCATTAGGAAAATGGAAAAAAGACTGTGAAGACAAGAAATTCAACAAAACCTTAATTCAAACTGCATAAAGGACTCTTACAGCTTATAATAATGGAAAAGCCAATTAAAATCATCAGTACATATGAAAAGACATTTCACTGCACAATATACATAAATGGCAAAAAGCATACTAAGAAATATTCAACATGATTAGCATTAACTGCTAAAACCTGGAAAGTCATAACACTGTACATCCATCAGAATAGCTAAAATAGAAAGACCAGTAATATCAAATGATGATGAGAATGTGAAGGAGCTGGAACTCAGATACATTTGTGAAGGACCTGTTCCAGGAGAACTAAAAACCACTGCTCAATGAAATAAAAAAGGACACAAACAAATGGAGGAACATTCCATGTTCATGGATAGGAAGAATCAATATCATGAAAATGGCCATACTACCCAAGGTAATTTATAGATTCAATGCCATCCCTATCAAGCTACCAATGACTTTCTTCACAGAATTGTAAAAAAACTATTTTAAAGATCATATGGAACCAAAAAAGAGCCTGCATTGCCAAAACAATTCTAAGCCAAAAGAACAAAGCTGGAGGCATCATGCTACCTGACTTCAAACTATACTACAAGGCTACGCTAACAAAAATAGCATGGTACTGGTACCAAAACAGAGGTATAGACCAATGGAACAAAACAGAACCCTCAGAAATAATACCACACGTCTACAACCACCTGATCTTTGACAAACCTGAGAAAAACAAGCAATGGGGAAAGGATTCCCTATTTAATAAATGGTGCTGGGAAAACTGGCTAGCCATATGTAGAAAGCTGAAACTGGATCCCTTCCTTACACCTTATACAAAAATTAATTCAAGATGGATTGAAGACTTACATGTTAGACCAACAACCATAAAAACCCTAGAAGAAAACCTAGGCAATACCATTAAAGACATAGGCATGGGCAAGGACTTCATGTTTAAAATACCAAAAGCAATGACAACAAAAGCCAAAATGGACAAATTGGATCTAATTTAACTAAAGAGCTTCTGCACCGCAGAAGAAACCACCATCAGAGTCAACAGGCCACCTACAGAATAGGAGAAAATTTTTGCAATCTACTCATCTGACAAAGGGCTAATATCCAGAGTCTATAAAAAACCCAAACAAATTTACAAGAAAAAATCAAATAACCCCATCAAAAAGTGGGTGAAGGATATGAACAGACACTTCTCAAAAGAAGACATTTATGCAGCCAAGAGACACATGAAAAAATGCTCATCATCACTGGCCACCAGAGAAATGCAAATCAAAACCACAATGAGATACCATCTCACACCAGTTAGAATGGCCATCATTAAAAAGTCAGGAAACAACAGGTGCTAGAGAAGATGTGGAGAAATAGGAACACTTTTACACTGTTGGTGGGACTGTAAACTAGTTCAACCATTGTGGAAGACAGTGTGGCTATTCTTCAAGGATCTAGAACAAGAAATACCATTTGACCCAGCCATCTCATTACTGGATATATACCCAAAGGATTATAAATCATGCTACTATAAAGACACATGCACAGGTATGTTCATTGTGGCACTATTCACAATAGCAAAGACTTGGAACCAACCCAAATGTCCATCAATGATAGACTGTATTAAGAAAAGTGGCCTATCTACACCATGGGATACTATGCAGTTCATGTCCTTTGTAAGGACATGGATGAAGCTGGAAACCATCATTCTGAGCAAACTATCACAAGGACAAAAAACCAAACACCACATGTTCTCACTCATAGGTGGGAATTGAACAATGAGAACACTTGGACACAGAAAGGGGAACATCACACACTGGGCCTGTCATGGGGTGGGGGGAGGAGGGAGGGATAGTATTAGGAGACATACCTAATGTAAATGATGAGTTAATGGGTGCAGCACACCAACATGGCACATGTATATATATGTAACAAACCTGCACATTGTGCACATGTACCCTAGAACTTAAAGTATAAGTAAAAAAAAAAAGTTCCAAATTATATCTCAAAAGAGGGAAAAAATTCATAGTGTATTTTCATAAGCCCTGTTGAAGGTGAGTTTTTAGTCTTCTGGTTTCTAACCTTACTCCTATTACAGATAACTTTAATACCACAGACATGTTGTATATATGCATTTATGTAAGTAAAACATACATTATGTATATTTATGCTTCATAAATAGAGGGAGGTTTTCTCTTCCCAAGAAAGAACCCTTTCTTTGTCCCTATGGGGTGATTTGTTTCACTCTGAGTATGCTTTCTTTAGATTGGTGCTGTCCAGTAAAATTTGCTGGGATGATGGAAATATTCTCTAAAATGAAAAACCTAGTATCCACATATGTCTAGAGAATGGGTTTTAAAATTGAATTAATTTTGATTGATTTAAATATACATATATGGCAAGCTGTTACCACATTGGACAGCATAGTTCCAGAGGATTAATGAAGTAAATGATTAAACACAAGTATATGAAGAAGAGTCTTCTGTAAAATCCCTATTGGTAGCTAGTGAGATTGCTAGAGAGGCACAGAACTGCAGTCATAGTTTTCAACCAAGGCCATCATTGCCTACACTCCCTTCACCCTGGAGATATCTGGCAACTCCTGAAGACATTCTGGTTTGTCACAGTGGGAGAGGTGCTTCATGTGCCAACAGTAACCAGTGAGTAGAAAATCCAGGGATCAGAATAATAATTCCTGCACAAAATTATTCAGCTGCAGGCCCAACAGTTCAACATTGAGAAACTGCAGTGAAGATAGTTTAGCTGAACACGAAGCTTGGAATTTAAGCCTCTTCCGACATTTCTTTCCTTCCACTTTGGCAAGAAACAGGGCTGAGAACCTGGCTTCTTGTCATTATCTTTAAAAGCATATTGGAGCTACAACACTCAGCCAAGGTGTATATTAGGTCTGCCTCTTGAGACGTTTTGGAGTTCTGTCAAACAAGAATACAAATAATACTTTGGATAGTATCTTTACTCTCTGTTTCCCTTAGAGTATGAAAAAACAGCTCATACAATGACTGTGTGTTCCTGAAAATCTATAATGCATGCCTCTCAAATTAAGGTGAAATAATCACCCTCCTGAAGCTGGAAAGAGTGACAGAAGAGTTTATTTAGCTTAGTTTCAGGTTAAAAAATATCATGAATGTTATTTTTATGCCAGTGTGGAGAATTGGCTCAGAAAATTAGAATTGGTAAGAAACTTTCTGAGGCTGTGCATGAAAAGTTTACTTTCTCTACCTAAGTGTCTGGTTAGGCTAACTGTGGAAATGTGATAGGGCAAGTTCACAAATATTTGCACTCTCAATTGACAGAAACTTAAAGACATAGAAAGAAAGAGGTCTAAGATCTCTGGGAGAAGTAAAGGAAAACCTGGAGATCATAATATAGTGGAGTGGATTAAATTACAAAACCAGTTTGTGACAATTCACTTAGTGTCTGCATCTCTATTTTGTTTTTATGGTATAAGCTTTGTCACTGTGAGCAATGCATAGCATTAAATATTTTGGGGAAAGTAATAGAAGAAATATCACAGAAAAAAAGTGGTTACAAAGAAGCTTGTGTCTCTGTCAGAGGAGTCTTATAGTCTGACAGTGGATCCCCATTTTATATGGGTAGGGGTATTTATTCATACTACTGGGGGATCTCAGAAAAAGAATTTATATGGAGTGCAAATTAGTGTCAAGTTTTCTCTTATTAATGACATTTAGTTGCCTGGAAACTAAAAGAAACTACAAATAGAATTTAAGTCACAAAAGTGGTTAGATATTTTCAAAGAGAATGCATTTGCACTTATTAGTCAGCTGGGTAGGTTTTCCTTTTCAACAGCACGGTGATCCTAAATTTGATTAGAGCCCTCAAATGTAGGGATGAAGATTCTTCAATTTCCTCAGGTTGAATTTAATCACTTTTTATTTTTTATATTTAAAAAATTTTTGGAGACAGGGTCTCAGTCTATCACCCCAGGTGGCATGCAGTGGTGTGATCATAGCACACTGTAGTCTCAAACTACTGGGATCAAGAAATCCTCCCACCTCAGCCTCCTGAGTAGCTTGGACTACAGTTATGCACTGCAATACCTGTCCAAACACCTTTTAGCTGTGGATCAATACTCAGCTGTGGATGAGAAGCCCCTAGAACAAAACATCACAGTTGTCATTCATTATGCAACTCTGCTAAAAGTTAAAATGGGGCCTCAAGATGCCCAGAAATTTCACATTTCTGAAATGTACTAAAGAATCAGCCAATTCCCTGGAGAAATCTGTTGCTTAAGGGTTGCACCAATGGAAAAACATCTCTCTCCTAAGGTATCTAGAAATCTCCAGGGAGGAGCAAAACCTAGAGAAGCCCAAAGGAGGAAAACTGTTTAAAGATCTTGAGGCAAAAGAAAGACGACAAAAGGAAAGGCTTTGTTTTGAGACAATTGTTCATATATTTCCCACCTCCTGCTTTAAGCTTTTGTTATTGTTGATAAAAAGATCCTTTGAGCTTTAGGAGGTGAGATAGGGATTTTACAAAATAAAAGGAGAAAAAGGCACCAGCTGTAATTCTTTTCTTAACTGAGTCTTACAAGGAATTCCATTGAGAGTTGTAGCCAGCTAGACTTCCTCGGTCAACTGGGGACTTGGAGAAAATTTCTGTCTTACAAGAGTATTGTTAAATGAACCAATCAGGAACTTTCCTGACTTACAAGAGGACTGTAAAATGCACCAATCATTGCTCTTTAAAATGCACCAATCAGTGCTCTGTAAAATGCACCAATCAGCACTCTCTAAAATGCAGCAATCAGTGCTCTGTAAATTGCACCAATTAACAGAATTCTAAAAGTAGCAAATCATAGGAAGGATTGAAAAAAGGGCAAGATAAGACAGAAATGGAACATGGGAGGGGACAATAAAGGAATAAAAGCTGGCCATCCCAGCTAGCTGTGGCAACCCACTGGGGTCCCCTTCAATGCTGTGGAAGCCTTGTCATTTTGCTCTTCACAATAAACTTTGCTACCATTCATTCTTTGGGCCCATGCCATCTTTAAGAGCTGTAATGCTCACCATGAAGGTCTTTGGCTTCATTCTTGAAGACAGCAAGACCACGAATCCACCAGCAGAAACCAACTCTGGACTCAACTTGGGGGTTTGTCTGGGATATTGCCATGTGGTGAGTACCATCGGATCTCTTTCACTTGCTATTCTGTCCTATTTTTCCTTAGAATTTGGGGGCTAAACACCACGCATCTGTCAGCCAGTTAAAAGTGACTAGTGCAGCCACTGGGCTAAAGACACAGGTGTCAAGCTTTCTGGAAAAGGTCTCTTTAACAACCCATGACTCTTTGGAGTCAGGAGCATTGGTTTGCCTGTAACCAGCTTCCGCTTTTCCTGCACTTCTGGGCTGAGCCAAGGGTTGACAAACAAGCAAGCCATTGAGATCTGGGGTCCTGACAAAAAGTTGGTTGACCCTGCAGCCATGTGCAGAACTCTCAAACTTATGTCACCAAAGCAAGACTTGCCCATCTATTCTATCTATCCTGACCCTTGCCTCTTGGGTCCTAATGCCTGTCAGACAAACTTCCTCTGACTTCTCTTCTCTGAGGCTAGTGACACTTCTAAAAACCACTTCCTTTCCCTGGTGCTCTTCTAGTTTCTTCTATAAGAATAATTTTTAATATAAATTTCAGGACTCTGTTCCCTTATTTAGGCACCTGGGCTTACCAATTAGAAAGACATATTTGCCGAAATCCCTGTTGTATGGGGACTATCTGGAATTTTAGGATCTGTCCTCAGACTGGCAGGCCTAACAAATGCTATTCCTGAAGCTAGGATATGGGGAGCCTTAGAAATTATAGACTCTGAAATTGGGGGCTATATGCTTTCTATTCACATAATGAGAAGTGAGGAAAAATGCTGTCACCCTTCCAAACCTGGAGATGCATTCTCTCCTTCAGTGCATAGTCCTGCACTACATTTTGAGGCATATCATCTTTATAGGACAAGGGTAAGGTGCCAATACCAACTAGAGAAAACACTTAGGACTCTAACAGATTTTCAAGAATGCGTCAGCAAGAAACACTAAATCTGACCTTTCTTGGCCTCTTTGTGGTCTAAGAGGAATGGCAAGGTTGCAGGTTTTTCAGAATGCATTGGTAAGGGCCACTAAATCCATCCTTCCTTGGTTCTCTTTGTGGTCTAGGAGATAAACAAGTGGTTCCACTGCTGCTTCAGTGGGCACAACTATTCCAAACAGCAGAGTTCAGGGACTGTTGCAGGTTCTTGGGTAATGGAAAAAAAAAAAAAAAAAAAGGCCACAACCATGGGCAGTTTTTTCTTTCAGATGGAAAATATTCAGGCTTCAACAAGCTCACCCTTGAAATTCATTGTAAGCCATTGGGACCAATTTGATCCACAAATCCTGAAAAAGAAGTGGCTTATTTTTGTTTTCTGCCCCCAGTATTTTCTCTCTGATGGGGAAAAATGGCCACCTGAGGGAAGTATAAATGACTATACTATCCTGTAGCTTGACCTTTTCTGTAAGAGGGAAGGCTAATGGAGTGAAATAGTTTATGTCCAAGATTTCTTTTCATCGAAGGATAATCCACAACTATGCAAAGCTTGCAAATTACATTCCACAGGAGGACCTCTCAGATTACCTTCATATCCTGCCTCCTTACAGCTCTTCTTCCTATTAATGATAAGCCTCCTCTAATTTCCCCACCCAGAAGAAAACAAGCAAATAAATCTCCAAGGTACCACAAACCCCCTGGGCTATCAGTTATGCCCCCTTCAAGCTGTAGTGGGGGAAGGGAATTTGGCCCAACCTGGATACATGTCCCCTTCTTTCTCTCTGATATAAAGCAGATCAAGGTAGACCCAGGGAAGTTTTCAGATGATCCTGATATGTATATAAATGTCCTACAGGGTCTAGGGCAAACATTCACTCTCACTTGGAGAGATGTCATGCTATTATTAGATCAAACCTGCCTCTAAAGAAAAGAATGTGACTTTACCTGCAGCCTGAGACTTTGGAGATACCTGGTATGTTAGTCTAGTAAATGATAGAATGACAGCTGAAGAAGGGAACAAATTCCCTACTGGTCAGCAAGCCTTCCCCCATATGGATCCCCACTGGAAACCTAGACTGAGATTATGGGGAATGGAGTTGCAAACACCTGTTTTCCTGGTTCTAGAAGGACTAAGGATAATTAGGAAAAAGCCCATGAATTATTCAGTGATGTCCACCATAACTGAGGGAAAGGAAGAAAATCCTACCACTTTCCTCAATAGACTATGGGAGGCCTTAAGCAAATATAATCCCCTGTCTCCCAACACTTTTGAGGGTCAATTGATCCTAAAAGATAAGTTTATTACCTAATCAGCTGCAGAGATCAGGAGAAAGCTCCAAAAGCTAGCCCTGGGCCCTGAACAAAATTTGGAGGTATTATTAAACCTGGCAACCTCAGTGTTCTATAATAGGGACTAAGAGGAACAGGACAAAAAAGAAAAGCCAGAAAAGAGAAAGGCCACAGCCTTTGTCATGGCCCTCGGACAAACAAACCTTGGGGGTTAAGAGAAGACAGAAAACGGAGCAGGCCAATCAGCCAGTAGCATTTGTTTTCAGTGTGGTTTACAATAAAACCTTAAAGAAGATTGTCCAACAAGAAGCAAAATTCATCCTCGCCAATGTCCACTAAGCCAGGGCAATCACTGGAAGATGCACTATCCCAGAGGACAAAGGTTCTCTGAGCCAAAAGCCCCCAAGCACATGATCCAACGACAGGAATGAGGGTGCCCAAGGCAAGTGCCAGCTCATGACATCATGCTCACTGAGCCCCAGGTAAGTTAACCATTGAGGGCCAGGAAATTAACTTCTTCTTGGACATGGTTGGGGCTTTCTCAGTGTTAATCTCCTGCCCTGGACGGCTGTCCCCATGGTCTGTTGCCAACCCAGGAATCCTGGGTTAGCCTGTAACCAGGTATTTCTCCCACCTCCTCAGTTGTAACTGGGAGACTTATCTCTTTTCATGTGCCTTTCTCGTTATGTCTGAAAGTCCCACACCCTTATTAGGGAGAGACCTATTAGCTAAAGCTGGAACTATTATCTATATGAATATGAGGAAAAAGTAACATATTTGTTGTCCCCTGCTGGAGAAAGGAATCAACCCTGAAGTCTGGGCATTGGAAGGACAATTCTAAAGGGCAAAAATCCCTACCCAGTCCCAATCAGGCTAAAAGACCCCACCACTTTTCCTTATCAAAGACAATATCCCTTAAGGCCCAAAGTTCATAAGGGATTACAGGATATTGTTAGATATTTAAAAGTTCAAGTCTTATTAAGAAAATGCAGCAGTCCCTGCCACACCCCAATTCTAGGAGTACAAAAGCCAAACGGTCACTGGACCCTAGTGCAAGATCTTAGACTCAAAAATGAGGCAATAATTCCTCTATATCCAGTTGTACCCAGCCCCTATATACTGCTCTCTCAAATATCAGAGGAAGCAGAATGGTTCACTGTTCTGAACCTCAAGGATGCCTTTTTCTGCATTCTCCTGCACTCTGACTCCCAGTTTCTCTTTGCCTTTGGGGATCCTAAAGCACACCTCCCAACTTACTTCGACAGTCTTGCCTCAAGGTTTTAGGGATAGCCCTCATTGTTTGGTCAGGCACTGGCCCAAGATCTAGGCCACTCCTCAAGTCCAGGCACTCTGGTCCTTTAGTATGTGGATGATTTACTTTTGGCTACCAGTTTGAAAGCCTCATGCTGACAGGCTACTCTAGATACCTTGAACTTTCTAGCTAATCAAGGGTATATGTCCTCTAAATTTAAGGTCCAGCTCTGCCTAAAACAAGTTAAATATCTAGGCCTAATCAAAACCAGAGGTGCCAGGGCCCTCAGCAATGAATGAATACAGCTATACTCACTTGTCCTTGCCCTAAAACATTAAAACCATTGCAGGGGTTCCTTGGGATCATCAGCTTTTGCTGACTATGAATACCTAGATACAGTGAGATGGCCAGGTGATTCTACACTCTAATCAAGGAGACCCAGAGGGCAAATACCAATCTAGTATAATGGGAACCAGAGGCAGAAACAGCCTTCAAAACCTTAAAGCAGGCCCTAGTACCAGCACCAGCCTTATGCCTTCCCAAAGGAACTTCTCTTTATACATCACAGAAAGAGCATGAATAACTCTTGGCATCTTTACCCAGACTCATGGGACAACCCCATAACCAGTGGCATACCTAAGTAAGGAGACTGACGTAGTAGCAAAAGGCTGACCTCACTGTTTATGGGTAGTTGTGGTGGTGGCCATCTTAGCATCAGAGGCTATCAAAATAAAACAAGGGAAGGATCCTACTGTCTGGACTACTCATGAAGTAAATGGCTAGTAGGTACCAAAGGAAATTTATGGCTATCAGACAACTGCCTGCTTAGACATAAAGTAGTACTCCTTGAAGGACTGGTGCTTCAAATACACACATGTGGGCCCTCAACCCTGCTACTTTTCTCCCAGAGAATGGGGAACCAATAGAGTATGACTCCCAACAAATTGTAGCCCAGATTTTGCTGCCTGTGAGGATCTCTCAGAAGTCCCCTCAGCTAATTCTGACCTTAACATATATAGCATTGGAAGTTAATTTGTGGAGAATGAGATATCAAGGGCAGGTTATGCCATAGTTAGTGTTGTAACAGTACTTGAAAGTAAGACTCTTCCCCCAGGGACCTGTGCCCAGTTAGTGGAATTATTGGTGTTTACCCAAGCCTTAGAACTGGGAAAGGGAAAAAGATTAAATGTGAATACAGATAGCAACTACACTTATCTAATCCTACATGCCCATGCTGCAATATAGAAGGAAAGGGAGTTCCTAATCTCTGGGGGAACCCCCATTAAATACCACAAGGAAATCATGGAGTTACTGCACACAGTGCAAAAACCCAAGGAGGTGGCAATCTTACACTGCTGAAGCCATCAAAAAAGTGAAGGAGAAAAAGCCATAAAAAAGGAGAAGAAGGAAAATGTCAGGCAGACACTGAGGCCAAAATTTCTGCCACACAGAACCTCCCATTAGAAATACCCATGGAAGTGCCCTTGGTATGGAACAACCCTCCCCAAGATATTAAGCCCCATTATTTCCCAACTGAAACAGAATGGGGCATTTCACGGAGGCATAGTTTTCTCCCCTCAGGATGGGTAATGACATAAAAGTGAAAGGTTCACAAAAAAGGTTCACCCAAAGCCAGCCAGTGGAAAATACTTAAGACCCTCCACCAAACTTTTCATATGGGTATTGAGAATACTCATAAAATGTCCAAGTCCCTATTTACAGGGCCAAATCTCCTCCAGAACATCTGGCAAGTAATCAAAGCCTGTGAGGTGTGCCAAAGGAATAATCCCTTGGTCCATTGTAAGGCTCCTCTGGGGGAGCAAAGAATAGGGCACTATCCCAGAGAGGACTGGCAGTTAGACTTCACCCATATGCCTAAGTCAAGGGGATTTCAATACTTGCTGGTCTATGTTGATACCTATACAAATTGGATAGAAGCTTTCCCCTGCAAGAGAGAGAAGACTCAGGAAGTGGTTAAAGTCATAATTCATGAAATAATTCTTAGATTTGGGCTTCCCCAAAACTTATAAAGTGACAATGTTTTGGCCTTTAAAGCCATGATAACTCAGGGAATTTCCAGGGTGCTAGGGATACAATATCATCTCCATTGCACCTGGAGGCCACAATCCTCAGGGAAGGTCGAGAAGGCAAATGAAACACTCAAGGTGCACATAAAGAATCTAACACAGGAAAGTCGTCTCCTATGGTCTACTCTCTTGCCTATGGCCTTGTTGAGAAACAAAAATTCTCCTCACAAAATGGGGCCCAGTGCACATAAAATGCTGTATGGATGACCATTTCTCACAAATGTCCTCCTACTTGATCAGGAAACAGCCAACTTGGTCAAGGACATAACTTCTTTGGCAAATTATCAACAAAACCTTAAAAACCTACCTGAAGAATGTCATGGAGAAAAGGAAACAGAGTTGTTCTAACCATGAGATCTAGTGTCGGTCTAGTCCCTCCCCTCTACCTCCCCATCTATGGATTCCTCGAGGGAAGAATCATACTCGGTAATCCTCTCTACCCCCACTGCAGTTAAGGTGGCAGGAGTGGAATATTGGATTCACCATATCCGAGTTAAACTTTCAGCACCCCCTAGGAACCTGTGGAACCATCAGCTCAGGAGTCCCAAGATCAGCCAGACCAGCCTTGATACACCCACAAACCATTGGAGGACTTTTGTCTCCTATTTTGGAAGGAAACATCCCAGACTAAAAAGGCTCCTATAGCTGATCCTAAGGAAAAACCTCTTCCTATTTTAAAAGTTAAGTGAAAACCTACATAATCTTTAACACCTCTCCTTGCCTCTTTAATATACTCCTTTACTGTTTCATCCCTTTATTAAGCAGTATACTAACCACACTCTTTGCAGTTGGACTATATACTGTAGCTCCTGTGGGATGAAAATCCTAATCACATCAACCTTTTTTCTATTATCCTTCTTTTCCTTTTTCTTTTTTTGAGATGGAGTCTCACTCTGTGGTCCAGGCTGGAGTGCAGTGGTGCAATCTCAGCTCACTGCAAGCTCCGCCTCCCAGGTTCATGCCATTCTCCTGCCTCAGCCTCCTGAGTAGCTGGGACTACAGGCACCTGCCACTGCACCCAGCTAATTTTGTTTTGTATTTTTAGTAGAGACAGGTTTTCACCTTGGTCTCGATCTCCTGACCTTGTGATCCACCCGCCTTGACCTCCCAAAGTGCTGGTATTACAGGCATGAGCCACCACGCCTGGCCTTATCCTTTCTGACAGCAATTTACTCCTACCTTTAACTCAGACTAAATAAAATGATCTCATTTTCCAGGACAACCTCTTTACCTTCCTACTTGCTCTTTGCCCATCTATCACTCCTGCTTCCTTGGAAACCCCATGCAGTCTCCCCTCCCCTTCCACTAGCTTCTAGTTACCTCTACAAATTTCTCAACTTAACCCACTCTCTGTTAAACGAGTCCAATCCTTCCCTGGCAAATGACTGTTGGCTTTATATCTCTCTATCAGCCACTGCTTGTGTTGCCACTCCCATTCCCTCAAAAAAACTGGGTCTTTACTAACTTAATCTACTTATGAAGGCAGTGACCCTTTCCAACTTCTAAATATGCAATCATAAGCCAAATTCCCCAACTCTGATAGGACCAAAAATACCCTAACAGGACAAGCAATCCAGCTTTTACATTCTTACATTTTTAACCTCACCTAGTACATGAGCAATAAAAAGCCCATACATGGCCCCGTAACCACAAATACCATCTTAACTTTCCAAGCCCTTTTATGCTTCCAGTGCAACCTGTTATCAGGCCTGCCCCTGGGCACCTATTATTTCACCTACACCCTACAACTTCAAGACCCAACTGATCTTAGTAACTTCCGAGTCACCCGAACAGCTCCATTCAGGCAGCTTGTCTGCTTTTCAGGGACCCCCAAAACCATCACCTCCTCCCTGCTTAACAAACAGTCCAGGTTTTGTAATGGCAAATATACTCCCTGCATGACCATTCACCTCTGGAACCCTGCAGCAGCGCCCCCCCCCACTGATGAATGCCTTCTCATTCCCCTCTTTCAATCACTTTTTTGAATGGTTCCTAGCAGATACAAAACATTTTTTTCTCCAGTGGGAACATAGAACACAGGGAGCCACTCAGTTTGCTCCCAACACCCTTTTCCAGCCACTCACTGGGATACTTTGGCAATTACTCCAGGAGTACGGGAAAATGAAAACAACAAACTCATATACCTTTTTAACATACACAACCAGTTCTGTCTACCGAGCCAAGGCATATTCTTCTTATGTGGAACTTCAACCTACATCTGCCTACCCCCCAACTCGACAGACACTTGCACCTTAGTTTTCCTAAGTCCCAACATTGACATTGCCCTAGGAAATCAGACCCTATCAATGCCCTTCAAAGCTTAAGTCCATCAGTGCAGGGCCACACAACTAACGCCCCTTCTTATAGGGTTTGGGAATGGCCACTGCTACAGGAACTGCAATAGCCAGTATATCTAGTTCATTATCCTACTACCACACACTCTCAAAGGATTTTCAGACAGTTTTCAAGAAATAACAAAATCTATCCTTACTCTTCAATCCCAAACAGACTCTTTGGTAGCAGTGACTCTCCAAAACTGCCAAAGCCTAGACATCCTCACTGCTGAGAAAGGAGGACTTTGTACCTTCTTGAAGAGTGTTGTTTTTACAGTAACTAATCTGGGATAGTAGAAACACTGCCTGGCATTAAAGGAAAAGGCTTTTGAAATCAGACAACCCCTTTCAAACTCTTATACCAACCTCTGGAGTTGGATGACATGGCTTCTCCCATTTCTAGGTCCCGTGACAGCCATCTTGCTGTTACTCACCTTAAAGCCCTGTATTTTTAACCTCCTTGTCAAATTTGTTTCCTCCAGGATTGAGGCCATCAAGCTACAGATGGTCTTACAAATGGAAATCCAAATGAGCTCAACTCACAAATTCTACCGAGGAGCCCTGGACTGATCCACTGACCTTTTGACTGGCCTAAGGAGTTCCCCTCTGGAAGACACTACAACTACAGAGCTCTTTCTTCACTCTTTTCTGCAGAAAGTAGCTACTGCAGTCATTGCCTTCTTCCCAACAGCAGTTGAGGGTGTCATGTTTAGAGAGGGGATTGAGAGTTGAGGCCACCTGGACTTCCTGGGTCGAGCGGGGACTTTTCTGTCTTACCAGAGGATTGTAAAAAACACCAATCAGAGCTCTGTAAAATGCACCAATTAGCAGAATTCTAAAAGTAGCCAGTTGTGGGGAGGATTGAATAAAGGTCACTCTGATAGGACAGAAATGGAACACGGGTGAGGACAAGAAGAGAATAAAAACTGGCCACCCCAGCCAGCAGCCGCAGCCTGCTTGGGTCCCCTTCCATGCTGTTTTAAGCTTTGTGCTTCTGCTCTTCACAATAAACCTTGCTACTGCTCCTTCTTTGGGTCTGTGCCATCTTTAAGAGCTGTAACACTCAACATGAAGGTCTACGGCTTCATTCTTGAAGTCAGGGAGACAATGAACCCACCAGCAGGAACCAACTCCGGACACCCATGTTGTCATGGGTGAGATTAATGGCTATAGAAACTGAACATTGCAGGCAATCCTAAAAATAAGAACAAACTGCTGGGAAACCAGTTTTGAACTATGTATCCAAATGAAAGAAACTCCTATACCCTTTGACTCAGAATCCAAATTTATAGGAATTCATCCTAAAAGCTATTTAAAATAGAATAAAAACGTTTGGGTAAGGATGTTCATATGGTAAAAATTACCAGCTTATCATACATCTAGCAAGAGTGGAGACACTAAACAAACTAGAATACATTTGCTTGATGGATATTTTTAAGACATTGTAGCCACTGAGAATATTTTGTGTCGCCCTATGGAAGGAAGGCAGCTTGGACACTCCCTTTTCTTTCAGTTCTTCTTTGGCAACATCACACCCACAGTATGTTGGAAAAGTATGAAAGCATGTCCTAGATCTTGAATTTGCCTGAGATTTTCAGGCGACAGGGTAGGAAAACCTAGTGTTTATTGTCTGTACTCCCAGGCAAAACACTGTAACCTAGGATGTAGAAGAATGATAATACATCCTTAAAACTTGGAGCAAAGGCATCTAAGTCTCTTCTCTGGTAGGATTTTCTGAACCCTCTCTGTTTTACACTGGAGACTTGAGAAGCCACTGAAGCCAGTGGATATGAGTCTCAATAGATTCCGCACAATTTTATGTCCAAGGAACCATGGAAGATGTCTCCCAAGAAATAAAAAGGGAGGTTGGCTACAGCTTTCTCTTTGCTCAGAGCCAGACCATAAGAAGTACAGCCTTCCTGGCCATCAGCTAGTACCTGGGTTATCAACAGGGTGCCCCCAATAGGGGTCTAGATATGACCTCTTGCAAGCTGGCAAAAGGAAAGTGCATTTCATTGAAGGGGACTGTGTAGTGTACAGTACTAGGGCTGAGGCTCATGAATACAGCCAACAGTTTATGTTCAAGTTGAAATAATGGGCAGGAAAGAAGAAAAATTTCACAACAGTTCTAAGAATTTTAAAGAAGTTATGATTAGAGAGCAACATAGGCTGCCTGGGTGTAAAACAATGTGTTCCTAAATAAACAAAAAAGTAAACCCAGAAAGAGCAAGGTAATTCTTGAGAACTGAAGAACCTTGCAAAAAAAATTACTATAACAAGACAAAAGGAAATGAACATCAAAAGTAAAAAGCTGAGACTTGCGATACAGTGTCTTCAGTGAAGACATTACTGGTATCTTTCCAGGCACAGAATATGCAGATAAGTATGTGTTAGGTATTACTACCTTATTTAAGTAAGTTGAATTGCATTATACATATCATTCTTCAATTTGCAACTTTCACTACTATTAGAGGAGTCAGGTAACATACCAGTATAAAAAGCCCTAGGAAATTAGTTTATGATAGCATTTAGAAGCGTTGACTCCAATTTTGTCTGCTTGAATTCAGATTCTGCCTCCCCAACTTCCAACCTGTGAGACTTTGGGTAAATTACTGATAGCTTTCTTAAGTGTGAGTTTCCTCTTTTGCAAATGGGCACAAAATATCACTGGCCTTGTAGGCTAAGTATAAGGATTATTTACATCAAAGCACCTAAGAAAGTAGAAGAATGTTAACCACATAACAAATGCTGTATAATTAGTAACTATCATTGACTTACTCTTTTTAAAACAGCACTGTATTTTCTAGAAGTCACTTAACAATGGCCCTCTTCACTAACATTTAGAACCTTTCCTTTATTCCCTCATTGCAACAAACTTCTTTGGACATAGTTTTTTGGTCCTTTGTTCACATGCTTGCCACCTTTTAATTAGCATTATTTGGTGTCAAGCTCATTAACCTTGAGGAAATGTAACATATTTAAAGGAGTGTTTAAGTCCTGAGGTACACAAATACCCTGGCTGTCTGATTGCATTTAAAATAATGATGCTAATAATGACATTAATAAATAACATGTATCAAGCTTTCTAGAGGCACTACTTAGCTTAATGTCAAATCCATTTAAAATGGGACCACCAAGAGTGGGCTGCTTTTTTAAAAACACAATCATGATTTTGTTTGAAATGAAAAAAAAACTTCTTCTGTTATAGGCATTTATAAAATATTGTACCTTGTAGATCATCTAATTGTACATATTTGTGCATGTTAACTTATTTTCTAGATTAAAGTTTCTCTGACAGTTTATATTTCTTTTTTTGTAGTTTTGGTAGCACCAAAGCACCAAAATACTGACTTGCCCCCAAAAGAAAAGTAGAATAATCACAATTATATTAGTAATCATAGTGGTCTGGCAATAGCAGTGATTATAAGAGAAAACATTTTTTAATACAGAGGTTACAAGCTGTGCTCAGATAAATAGTTACAGTCCCTGATGTGTTCGTTTGTCCTGTAAAGTGTTTATAAAAATCAAATAAGTTGTAAAAATTTAAAAATCAACATAACATTCCGGGCGCGGTGGCTCACCCCTGTAATCTCAGCACTTTGGGAGTCTGAGGAGGGGGGTGGGTGGATCACGAGGTCAGGAGATCGAGTCCATCCTGGCTAACACAGTGATGTTTACACATCTCTACTAAAAATACAAAAATTAGCCGAGTATGGTGGTGGGCGCCTGCAGTCCCAGCTACTCGGGAGGCTGAGGCAGGAGAATGATGTGAACCCAGGATGGGGATCTTGCAGTGAGCCGAGATTGCGCCACTGCCCTCCAGCCTGGGCAGCACAGCGAGACTTCGCCTCAAAAAAAAAAAAAAAAAAAAAAAATCAGCGTAACAGTCAGATTCTGATGCAGTGTCCCTTTAAAAACATGATGATCTGGCAACACAGAGGTCTCCTGCATGGACATCAGTGTTTGGAGGTGAGAGAATCTCCCCTTTGCAAAGCATGTTCCCTTATACTTCAGAAAAACTTCATTTAGTTTTGCTCTCTGCAGTCCGACTTGTAAGCACTTGAAATACTGTCTCCTGAGTTAGGTTGTGTCAGCCATTAGAGGAAGGGCTTCGCATTCATTATTTCACTTAATTCACAACATCCTATGAATAGATGCTTTTTAAATATACATTTTATAGATGAGAAGACTGAGATTTGAGGAGCTGCGATGAAACTTCCTCAGTGTCACCTAATGCCCAGCTAGGATGTCAGGGAGGATATGAACTAAGGTTTATTTGACGTCACAACTGAAACGCTTAACTACTATGCTACAAAAATACTCAGTAACACTACAGAAATTAAGCTACATTTGTGACTTATATTCCTAAAGTTTCTTTCTCGGAGGTTGCTGTGGTATGACCATCTTCTCTTAATGGACATGAGCATTGTCTGTCTGCCTGTTTCTCATTGTTATATCTGAATGGTCTCCATTCTGTATCTGTCTTCTTTTCCCCTCATCTTCATTCCTGTAACTCATTCCATCATTATTTTTCTCTCTCACACAGTTCTCTATTTTTCATCTTTTTTTTCTATTCCATCCCTAGCTCTCCAAAGATGCAGAAAATAAATATTTTTCATTCCTGTACTCTATTTTGTATAAGAAATACATTTTGCCTGAGTGGAAAGGATTATGTTGAACAATTTTATTTTTGAAATATCAGTACCCCTTGGTAGTATACACCCAATTTCCCCTCATTCTCTGCTCACATTCTCATCTGAATTATATCTTCATCAGTGAAAACTTATTGTGACCCATGCTTTAAACATCATCCCCTTTGAGTAAAAAGAGAATTCAATTAATCATCCTTTGGGAATAAAGGTATGAATAAGATTCAGTTGTTTGAAAAAAAAATCTTTGTCAATTATATGGGACAGAGATACCTATATGCACCTTAACCTAACAGCATTGCCTCACTGTAATTCTCCATTCATTGCACAATTCCATTCATCACCATGTAGCTGACATCTGTAAGACACACTCCATGGATCCCAAAGCTTCTGTTGCATTATTCTTCCCCAGGAACAGAAGCTGGTTTGCTTTCTACTTCTACTTCCTTCTAACCTTCAAAGCAGTGAATGTTCTGATATCTTTTTATTATTTATTACTGGTCTGATCACAACTTAATTACAGCTTATGTGTGCAATTGCTATCTCATGAAGGCCTTTATTAAGTTATTACTTTTTTAAAGAGTTGTATCTCAACCTCCCCAAGCAAACCTACTTACTGTAGTGATAATGCATGAAATGCATCTATCATAGTTCACTTCTCATTATAGGTTTGCAATATAGTATCATATCTCCACCCTAAATATTTTTCTTGGTATACGTACTAAGTTACTTCTTCTTTTTGTTTTAATATTTCAGTCAAAGTGCCTGAAATGCTCTTTCCTTTGTAAAGGACTGGATCACCTATATGGATTGATATGGTTTGGCTCTGTCCCTGCCCAAATCTCATCTTGAATTGTAGTTCCCATACTCCCCATGTATTCTGGGAGGGACCCGATGGGAGGTAATTGAATCCTGGGGGTGGTTCCCCCGTGCTATTCTCATGATTGTAAGTTCTCATGCGATCTGATGGTTTTATAATGGGCTTCCCCTTTCACTTGGCTCTTAAACTTCTATTCCTACTGCCATGGGAGAAGGACATGTTTGCCTCCCCTTCTGCCATGATTGCAAGTTTCCTGAAGCCTCTCCATCCATGCTAAACTGTGAGTCAATTAAAGGCCTTTCCATCAGAAATTACTCAGTCTCCAGTATGTCCTTATAGCAGCCTGGAATGGACTAATACATGGATCTAGCAAGGGGCTAATTTGACTTGTTAAAAGTTTCATTCAATATATGCTGGAAATCTACCATAGCCTCATCCAACTGAAGGATACCACAAATAAAAAGCTTGTAAACCAAACAAAAGCCAAGCAAAATAAATAAACAGAAAACCTGTCTTAATCTGTTTTGTGTTGCTATAACAGAATACCACAGACTGGGTGATTTATTAACAATAGAAGATAAGGTGCCTCTTGGTTTTGGAGACTGGGAAGTTCAACAACATGGCACTAGCATCTGGCAAGGACCTTCATTCTGTGTCATTCTGTGATGGAAGGCAGAACAGCAAGAAGGGGTGAAAGTGAGAGAGGAAGACAGGGCAGAGCTCACTTTTATTATAACTCATTTCTGTGACAAGGAGCCCACTTCCTCAACAATGGCATTAGTCCATGCAAGAAGGTGATCTCATGATCTAGTCATCCCTCGAGGGTCTGACTTCTAAATACCATCACAATGACAATTAAATTTCAATATGAGTTTTTACAGGAATGTTCAAATCATAGCAAAGAACCCCATGGACTCTGCATAGCCAAATTCTAGAAGATATTGTTTGCATTTTGGTATAGTTATACAGTACTCTACCCTACACTGTTTATTTCAGATTTGAATGACCTTACACTGCAGCCTAAACAAATTTTAGCAAGAATTCATAAAGTCAAGGGTTAATAAAAGAAAAACTTAACAATTGCTCCTGTAGCAATTCACTGTATGTGGAAATATTACCAATACAAGTCACTACCTCACACCATACATTAAAATGGTTCCAGTGGGGGTCATTGTAAAGGGTAGACCTACAAAATATTTAGAAGTCAACCTTGGTGGGAATATTTTTATGACTTTCAAAGTGGGAAAGTTTTTCTTGCATAAGACGCAAAAAACTTGACCACAAAAGAAAACATTTGATATAGTCAATTAGTTAAAATATAAACTTGTGTCCTTCCAAATAAGTAAATAAATAAAACCTCCTAAGAAGAATTAAAAGAGAAACACAATTAAGCAGTCATGAAGCCTGTTTGCAAATGTGCTAAATCTCTTTTGGGAGCACCTGGCATTTCATGTCCCCTGGAAGTGAAATGTACCCATGTGGCTTGTTTTGGACAATGACATTTGCATATTTCCTGTGTATTTCATGGGAATGTGTTTTCTGTTGTTTGTCATTGTAGATACATATAGCAAAAAGAGGACAGTGGGCCTAGAATCTAAGACAAGGCTTGTCTTCCAATTTGGGTCCATGCAGGTGCCTTTAATACGCACGCTGTGACTCATCCATCTATTAGTATACAACATGTTAGAAAACAGAAATGGGAGGAGATTTTGTTTTTCTTAAACTTCAGGAATCCCTCCAATTATCCTTATTTCCTAGCCCTGACTCTGGGTTTCTAAATTCTTAGTCAATACAGAGAGGCTCTTGCCAGGTGGGCTTGAATTTAGCTTGCAAATAACTGAAAACGTCCAGATAATCCAGCATGGAAACATACTTTTGGCTAAGCAAGGAGAACAGAGAAGTTGTGCGGCTGTGTGTGCCATATTGGCTTGGGCATGTATCAAAAGCATGATTCACTGGGCGTGTGTACACAGAATATGAGGATAGAGTTGGTAACTAGATGCCCCTTAATGTGTGTCAGAGAATGATCATTCTAAACAGCCAATGGCTTCAGCATACTAAAGGATCATTGCCAATGACTTTTGATTATATGTGCAAGTACAAATATTTTCATTGATCTCAGGATGGGGGTGGGTGGCTATGCTATTGTCTATAGTACCATGCAAAATACAGCCAGCTGATCAGTGAGCTGTTAGCAATTTACCATCAACAAGCATTTTGGACAGCCATGTTGAAGATGGAAATAAACTCTATCACCCACAATATACTCCTGGGCACAAGAACTTTCCAATGTGTGCAAAACAAGAGATGCTCATGGCTATTGAGTCCATGTAGTTATTATAGCTATGGAGATATTTACTTACCTAATACATGTATGCAGAATAGATCATAAAATCTTAAATAATAGATCATAAATAGATCTTAATAAATAGATCATAAAGATCAGAACATATCATAAAGCTACACTTATGACAACATGTGCAAGAAAGTGGAGTGACAATGAAAGAATTATGCACTAGAAGAAAATAAAATAGGGCCTTTGTACAGAGAAAGAATGACCAAGAGCCCAATAGTGAAATAAATCAAATAAATACCCTGGAACTGAGATCAAAAGAAATATAAATATATAATTCTATACATGCGTATCTATCATTGTAAGGAATTATAGGGTGCATTGAAAGGAGTCTGTATGCCACAGACATGAATTAGGAGCCATTTTCAACAGTCTAGTCTTGGAGTTACCTTCCAAATCAGCTCAGAATATCGGTTATAGATTTTGCTTTCACACATTTAACCAAAAATAAAATGGGGTAGAAGTACATTATTAGAACAGATAAAATACATGGCATAGTCCACATAAATTGTTTACTAAAGCTAGATGAGAAAAACAAGTTGATTAAGATCAAATGTACTACTTTTGCTTACTATATATTTTCCAGTAATGAAATCTCAATAGTTTAGCATTGGAACATTACACATGATTCATGATAATTTGGAATTTTTTTCTTCTCATCTACCTTATGTGACTCTATATTTTTCTTATGCTGAGATTCATGCCCAGGAAGTCAGTCTGTTGTTTTGTGTTGCTTTCATCTGCCAAAAAAAAAGAGATTCACTTTTACCGTATGTTAAAAATCTGCAAAATCCTCACACAGTAGATTTTTAAAAATCTCTCCAATTCAATGTAATTTTTAGGTGAATATTTTGTACGTTAACTAGAATGAGGAGGAAAGCAGAAGTATTGTAATTTATGGTTCTTAATTCTGCATTCTGGGTTTTCAATTTTAAAATAAATAGAAATGTTTAGAGATCTCATACTAATAGGGTACTATAAATACCTTGTTAACACTTTGTTTTAATGTAAGTGTAAGTTGGCTATAAAAGAACTTAAAACTCTTAATCTGCACAATGCTTGCAAACTAATTGGAGAGTGAAGGCCCACACGCATGAAAATAACTGGTAATTATGCCTAAAAGATAAGAAGTATGTGAAGGTTTAGAGAAGGAGGAGTTGATACAAGCTGTCCAAATGATAATATGAATAAAAGGAGGTAGATTTTAATAAAAGAAGTAATAGCTGGGGATATCCACTTACACATAAACATAATAAACAAAGAAAACATGAAATCATAGACACATTTGAAGGCATTTGGGAATGTAAATGTTGATCAGCTTTTGAGTGGTCAATATGGAAAATTTCAACATTCACAACATTGACGAAGACCAGTGCAAACTGAAAGTTCTCCTAAACTTCAGATTGCCCTAATTTCATCAATTATAAAACATTAAAATAGATTATGAGGCAACCATAAATTCTGCTGTGAAAACTATTATTCTCAAATGAGAATTTCTCTTATCTTAATGTGTAAAATATTTCCTCAAGGAACCTTACAGCATTAAATCCACTTTCACAAGTTGGTCTTTAATTAGCTACTCAATGAAGATCCTTTTAAAATAATTATTCAGATTTTAATGTAGATAGTTTTGATTTCAACTCAAAGATTCATTTTTTTAGGGAAAAATATACATCATTGAGGTACACTATAAATGTATGCTTCACATTTACTATTCTTTTTTTTTTTAAAAAAAGGTCTGTTTTTCTTGGAGTGTTTATTTTTTTCCAAATGTATCAGAAAAATCTTGGAGGACTTGCTAAGGTTTTTAACAGGATTTTTTTTTTTTTTTTGTGGTAGTTGCTGATTGGGCCAGAATTAGGGTGTGGTAAATGAGATGTGTTATTACTTATTGACAATTTACCTCTACTGCAAACTTTAGCTCTGTAATCCAGATAAATAGTATTTTAATGCAATATTTAAAAAATAATGTAAAACACCCATGAACACAAAATATCAAACTTTCGAATACAGAGGATCAGTAGCCCTTCTGTGCTAACCCAAATTGCAGCTTAAGGCAAAAATCCCTGAAAAATTCAGTATTGATATTGCTTTCATTTCAAATTTTGGTATTCTGTTATTCATGGATGTTTTGCATTAATTCTGATTTTTAAGGAATACTGCACTAAAGACATGGAATCAACCTAAATGTCCAATGGTCAACCAGATAAAGAAAATGTAGCACAAATACACCATGGAATACTATGCAGCCATAAAAAGGAATGAGATCATGCTCTTGCAGGAACATGGATGGAGTAGGAGGCCATTATCCTTAGCAAACTAAGGCAGGAATGGTAAACCAAATTCTGCATGTTCTCACTTATAAGTGGGAGCTGAATGATGAGAACACATAGACACATAGAGGGGAACAACACACACTGGCACGTACTGGAGGATGGAGGGTGATGGGAGGGAGAGAATCAGGAAAAATGACTAATGGGTACTAGGCTTAGAAACTTAGTGACTAAATAATTGGCACAACTAACCCCCATGACACACATTTAGCTATATAATAAACTTGCATGTGTACTCTGGACCTAAAATAAAAGGTAAATTAAAAATATTGCATTACACTATTATCTCTGTGACTGAAGATTATTTTTGTGCCCCCTAAAGTTTTACATCCAAAGCAAGTGCCTCATTTGCTAATCTTTCCAGCCTTGGCTTGGAAAGGGCTGAAATATCCTCATCCCATTCCTCTGGGATGTCACTTCGGGACTAAATGTGAACATATACTACTGAATGTCATTTGTGTGCCACACTCAAGTGACTCATTCTTGTGAGGAATTTTTTCCCATTATCTGTAGGTTCATAAGTAAATTTGGAATTGCTCTTCTGTGCCATTCAATTTGCCCTTGTATGATTTGTCATGATTAATGGGACCAAAGAAGGCCAAAAGATAATGGTGCCCTCTTGGCTGTGGAATGAAAGATGACAGAGACCACTCAGGGTCTTAGAGAACACCCAATCACACTCATTCGGTAATTATTCACTGAGTGTTTATCTAATAAGAAAAATAATTGCTGTTGTATTTATTCGTTCCACATGAATACATATTAAGCACTCTTCTGTGCATAGGCATTGTTCTCAGTGATAAACATACCAGGGAAAATAATTCTTCCCTTAGCTGTGTTCAGTATGTGTGTGTACATGCATAAACCTGTATACATGTATTTCTATACACACACCTGTGCATTTACCTTATCCATGTCTCATGGATATAATGGCAAATATTACAAAGGTGATTAAAAAATAGACCTTCTCCTTGCCCTCTGGAAGCCTATATACTAGATGTGAGAGAGTACTTGGACAGTTCTCTCAGGCAGGGGGAACTAGAGAGAGAGAATTACTTGTGCAAAGGCCCTGGGGTAACAAACTCCAGGCTGGAAGTGCAGTAGACCTATGGGCTTCTCTCTTTATGCTAGAAGAAATGAGAAGTTACTGGAGGCCCTTAAATGGGAGAGGGACAGGATCATATTAGAACCTCAAAGTGAGGACAAGACAAGTGTAGATTTGCGGAGATGGGTTAGAGATCAGAGGACTTGGCGATTGGTTAGGGCCATAGGCCCTTGGATATTGAGGTATATATGGCACTGTGAACTCAGATGCTCTGTGATGCCAGATGGTGTCCTTTAGTGCAGTGGTCCCCAACCTTTTTGGCACCAAGGACTGGTTTCACAGAAGACAATTTTTCCATGGGCAAGAGGGTGGTAGGGGGATGGTTTGTGGATGATTCAGGCAGATGACATATATTCACTTTTTTTCTGTTATTATCACATTATATTAAATAATGAAATAATTCTACAACTCAACATAATGCAGAATCAGTGGGAGCATTGATCTTTTATTCCCACAGTTAGGTAGTCCCTTCTAGGGGTAATAGATTACAGTGACAGATCATCAGGTATTAGATTCTCACAAGAAACATGCAATATAGCTCTCTCCCATGTGCAGTTCACGAAAGGGTTCATGCTCCTATGAGAATCTAATGCCTATGCCACTCTGATAGGAGGCAGACCTCAGGTGATAAAGAGAATGATAGGGAGTGGCTGCAAATACAGATGCAGCTTCATGTACTTGCCTGCTGCTCACCTCATGCTGTGTGGCCCAGTTTCTAACAAGCCACAAAGCAACACCAATCCATGGACCAGGGCCTGGCGACCCCTGCTTTTACCAAAATCTCCTGCTCGAAGAAACTTGGTTTGTGTTGAGCTATGGAAGGTAGAGATGACATTATAAATTACTGTGAACTGAACTGGGCTCCTTCTCTTTAGTGTCCCCTCCTAGCTTTATTTAGGTATCATGGACAAAACCTATTGCACAGTAAAGTATACAATATGATGATTTACTATATATATATAGTGGTGTATATATATATATATATATATATATATATATATATATAAACAGGTCTGTTATATATATGATATGTATATGTGTATATTATGTATATATGTATATATATAAACACTATATATATACACATATACATATATACATAACATATATATAACCTATCTGATATATATACATATATATATATATACACCACTATATATATGTATATAGAAAGAGTAAATCCACCACCTTGGAGCTCTTAAGAGTATTACCGTACACCCCACTTCAAGTCTGTGGTTATCTTATTATGCTCCTTTTGGGAAATAATCAGCTCTTTTTGTACCTGAAAAGCAGCCCATATGCTCTCCCATTCACATTCACAGAGTAGCTGAAACTGGCTCTGTATTGGAGAGATACAAAAATAAATCTGAGTTATAGACTATGTCTGCCAGCAACTCTTAATCTTTCTGGAGCCAGAACACACATGCACTCACAACCATATGGGAGTAACCACAATGGAAGATGTTGCATGACACTGGCAATGACAGAACTGATGTACATAAATAAAACCAATACTTTAGAGTACAGATTTAGAGTTCTGAAATCCACACATTTATACACAGAGAATAGCTCTCTAAAAGCATGAGCAACTTGCTTTTTTTTTTAGAATTGCAATTAATAGTAAAAAGATTACATTCTGTCTCTCAAAGATCTTTTCTTTGTCATTACAAGCTTGGTAGATGTTGCAGATGATAGCAATAGTTACTCTGATGTACAGGTGGAATTTGATTCATTTCACAGGTATCTATAGAATTTGTCCAGTGTTTCTAGTGCTTTGATCCAGGTTTCCTCTTATTCAAGAACTTAAAGAAAATATTTTTGCAACATTGATTTTTTGAAAACTCTTCAACTCTCTTGGCTTCCAATGCAATGACAGGTATAAATATTGTGGGGGTTTGGGTTGATTTGATGCATTTTCATCATTGCTGCTGGCTTGCGACAGATGCCTGATCAGCAGGCCAGAGCTTAACAGGCTGAACCACGTATTGATGTAGGTGTTTTGCTTTAACAATTCATACAGGGGGTGAATGCAGGTGGACAGCCCTATCTCAGGTCCTATTTGGCCTCTCACACATGTAGAAAGTTCTTTAATGTCTCTATAAGTTCAGTTTCTTCATCTGTAAAATTGGTAAAAATAGTAACACCTACACTAGGGAATTGTTCTAGGAATTAAATCATTAACAAATGTAGAATGCCTAGTGCATCAAAAATGTATCCTAAATGATAGAAGTTGTTGTTGATCTCTACGCAAAATTGAAATGACAAGAGTAAGAAAACCATTATATTATAATATAAATATAGTCTTCTAACATAATGCCTAAAACGAAGCATGCCTGTGTTTCTAGTTACAGCTCCAAATTGACTGAACATCAGTTTGAATGTTTCATTCTTGAGATATTTTTGCCATTTTAAAAATAATAAGACACATAAATGCCCTGAAGTCACTATTTCAGGAGTCAACTGAATGTACTGTTTGCAAGAGGAGAATTGATCTTGGACTCTTAAAAAGGCAATTCTCAACTTGGACATGGTATGTTCAGTTTGGGATAGCAGACTTTGTCTAATCATCTATCTCAGAGTTTAGGATACCACACTCGTTTAATTATGGTGGTATCCCAAACACATAGAACAGCACCTAGCTGAAAGAGGACATCAATAAATGCTATCTCATTTCTTCCCGCTTTGAGAATGATGTAAGTGAACAGAAATAAAATCTGTGGTTTGAATTCTAGGATAACATTTTTTTTTTTTTTTTTTTTTTTTTTTTTTTTTTTTTTTTTTTTTTTTGAGACGGAGTCTCGCTCTGTCGCCCAGGCTGGAGTGCAGTGGCACGATCTCGGCTCACTGCAAGCTCCGCCTCCCGGGTTCACGCCATTCTCCTGCCTCAGCCTCCCAAGTAGCTGGGACTACAGGCGCCCGCCACTACGCCCGGCTAATTTTTTGTATTTTTAGTAGAGACGGGGTTTCACCGTTTTAGCCGGGATGGTCTCGATCTCCTGACCTCGTGATCCGCCCGCCTCGGCCTCCCAAAGTGCTGGGATTACAGGCGTGAGCCACCGCGCCCGGCCAACGTATTTTTACTACAGGTTATTATTATATAACCCCAAGAATCCCTGGTGAATATCAGTGACCTAGTCACAATAGGTAATCAATAAAAGTGAGTGAATAATTCACATTGCAGAAGAATGATGTGGTAAGACTGTTTAGGATGTAAATCAATGCAGGAAAATGACTAATTAGTCTAGAAAACCTTGTTCTCTTGTCTACTAGGGAAGCATATTTTTGTCTTTCATTATTTAATTATTTTTCAGATATTCTTTGGCAACCATTTCTGTAACAACCTCCTCATGACAGACACAGCAGCAGACCCAAGCCCAACAGCTGGAAGAACACATGCTGGGCCATGACTGTCTGTGATAAGCATGGAAGAGTGTTGTGGGAAACAGAAAAGTGAGAGCTGAGAAACATAGAAACAATGGCTTGAGACAGGTTCAAGAGAATACTCCAGCCAAGGGAAGAACTTGGAGAACTTTGCCAACAATGCGTAGTTAGAAGTTAAGAATGCTAATCTGTGAACTTTTAGAGGAGAAGCCCATGTTGTGTCCACCCAAAAGATGAGAATGAGACCTCTTCATTCCACCTTCTATTCCCCCTTGTTCAGAAGTGCCATGTCTGTGCAACTACCCTGCCTCAGATTTTTGGTGGTACCAGATGCTGACTTTGATGTGGTAATTTTTTTTTTTTTTTTGAGATGGAGTCTTACTCTGTCGCCCAGGTTGAAGTGCAGTGGTGTGATCTCAGCTCACTGAAACTTCCACCCTCCAAGTTCAAACAATTGTCAAGCCTCAGCCTCCGGAGTAGCTGAGATTACAGGTGCCTGCCACTGCACCCAGCTAATTGTTTGTATTTTTAGTAGAGATTGGGTTTCATCATCTTGGCCAGGCTGGTCTTGAACTCCTGACCTGGTGATCCACCTGCCTCAGCCTCCCAAAGTACTGGGATTACAGGTGTGAGCCACCACACCCAGCCTTATGTGCCTATTTTTAAAGTAAACTTACCCTAACTCTGTAACCACATCAATAGACACTTGGCCCTGTTAGCTGGCCAAACCAAACTTATAAACCCATACCCTATCTGCATTCCAAATGCACTGATATTTTTCTCCAGTTGTTTAATTATACCTTGTTATTTAATTATACCTTGTTTTTTATTTTTCTTTTTAAATTCAAACATTTTATTTTAAATTATACATCATTGTACATACTTATGGCATACTACGTGATGTTTTGATAGATGTATACATTGTATGATAATTAAATCAAAGCACTTAGCAAATTCATCACCTAAAATGTTTAGCATTTCTTTGCGGTGAGAACACTTAAAATCCTCTCCTCTATCTATTTTGAAATACACAATATATATTTGAAATACACAATATATAGTTGTTAACTATAGTCATCCCACTATGCAATTGAAAAGCAGAACTTACTTTGGTATTTAACATTAACTTTGTACCCATTCGTGAACTTCTGCCCACTCCAACTCCCCTCTACTCTCTCCATCTGCTAACTACTACTCTACTCTCTACTTCTATGAGATCAGCTTTCTAAGATTCTACATATGAGTGAGATGTTGCAGTATTCCTCTTTCTGTATCTGATTTATTTTACTTCAACTTAAGCCACTCCAGGTACATCCATGTTGCTGCAAATGACAGAATCCCATTCCCAACTAGTAATCTCTTCTGTATATGTACACCACATTTTACTTATTCATTCATCCACTGACGAACATTTAGGTTGATTTCATAGCTTGGCTATTATGAATAGTTCTGCAATAAACATGGGAGTGCAGATATCACTTTTCATGCATTGATTCTCAACTTAAACTCCCTTCCAAGATTACTCTTTGCAATGTGAATCATTTGTTTCTTTTTGGTATGAATATACCCAGTAGCTGGATTGCTGACTCATAGGGTAGTTCTATTTTTAATTTTTTGAGGAACGTCATAGTGTTTTCTACCATGGCTGTACTAATTTACAATCCCATCAACAACATGTAAAGGTTTCCCTTTTTCACACATTCTTGCCAGCATTTGTTACATTGTGATTTTTGGTAATAGACATTCTAACTGGAGTGAGGTGATGAGTCATTGCGGTTTTAATTTGCATTTCCCTGATGATTAATGATTGTGAACATTGTCTTCATTCACGTATTGGCTGCTTGTATGTCTTCTTTTGAGAACTGTATATTCAGGTCTTTTGCCCATTTCAAAACCTGGATTATTTGTAGGGTTTTTTTTTCTATAGAGTGTTTTAAGATCCCTTATATATCCTGAATACTAACAACTTGTTGAGTGTATAGTTTTTGAATATTTTCTCCCATTCTGTGGGTTGTCTTTTCACTCCATTGATTGTGTCCTTTGCCACATAGAGGATTTTTTATTTGATGTGATTTAATACTTTTTGCTTTCATTGTCTATGCTTTTTGAGATCTTATCAAAAAATCCCTCCGCTATAGGTTTCCTCTAGGTTTCAGGCCTTACATCTAAGTTTTTAATCCACTTTGAGATGATATTTACATATGCTAAAACATGGTGGTCTAGTTTCATTTTTCTGCACATAAAAATCCAATTTTCCCAGGATTGTTTATTGAAGAGACTTGTCTTTTCTCCAATGCATATCCTTGCAACTTCGTGAAAAATCAGTTGCCTGTATATGGGTGGATTTATTTCTGGGTTCTCTTTTCTGTTTCACTTAAGTGTCTGCTTTTGTGTCAGTACCATGCTGCTTTGGTTACTGTAGTTCTGTAACATATTTTGAAGTCAAAATTGTAATACCTCCAGCTTTGGTCTTTTTGGTTAAGACAGCTTTGGTTTTTCAAGGTGTTTTATGGTTCCATAAACATTTTAGGATTAGCTTTTCTCTTTCTGTGAAGAATGTCATTGGTATGTTAATAGGCATTGCATTGAAACTGTAGACTGCTTTGGGTAGTATGGACGTTTTTACAATATTAACTCGTCTACTCCTTGAATGCAACATATCTTTCATTTATGCTCTCTCCCATTTCTTTCATCAATGTTTTACAGCTTTCAGTGTGGAGATATTTCAGCTCATTGGTTAAATTTATTCATGGGTATTTTAGTTGTTTTTTTGTAGTTATTATGAATGGGATTTTTTAAATTTATTTTTCAGGTAATTTATTTTAGTATATAGAAATACTACTGCTTTTATGTTCATTTCATATCCTGTAACTTTACTGAATTTGTTTATTAGTTCTAGGTGTTTTGGCTTGGAGTCTTTAGTGTTTTTCTCTATATAAAATCATGCCATCTGTGAACAGAGAAAATTTAACTTCTTTCTTTCCAATTTGAATGCCTTTAAAAAATTTCTATTGCCTAACAGTTCTGGCTAGAATTTCTAGTACTATATTGAATAGAAATGGTGAAAATGGGCATTCTTGTCTTATTTCAGATTTAAAGAAGAAGATTTTTGCTTTTTCCCATTCAGTATGATGTTAGCTGTAGATTTGTCATATATATCTTTTATTACATTGAGGTGTGTTCCTTCTGTGTGTAATTTGTTGAGAATTTTTTTATGAATAGATTTTTTTTCAAATGCTTTTTCTTTATCTCTTGGAATGATCATTTTTTTTTGTCCTTTATTTTGTTAATGCGATGTATCATGTTTACTGATTTGCATATGTTGAATCATTCTTGAATCCATGTAATGAACCCCAATTGATTATGGTGAATGATCTTTATAATCCACTGTTGAATATTTTCCTGGTATTTTGTTGAGGCTTTTTGCAACCATCTTCACTGGGGATATCGGCCTGTAGTTTTGTTTGTGTGTATGTGTCCTTGTCTAGTTTTGGTATCTGGGTAACACTAGCCTCATAGAATAAGTGTGGAAGAATTCCCTCCTCTTCAATTTTTTTTGGAAGAGTTTGAGAAGAATGGGTATTAATTTTTCTCTAAATCTTTGGTAGTATTCTACAGTGAAGCCATTAGGTCCTGGGTTCTTTTTTCATGGAGATATTTTATTACTAATTCAATCTTTTATTCGTTATGGTCTGTTCAGATTTTCTACTTCTTCATTATTCAATCCTGGCTGGCTATCTGTGGTAGGTGATTTATCTATGTCTTCTAGGTTTTCCAATTTGTTGGCATGCACTTGTTGAAAGAAGTGTCTTATGATTCTTTGTATTTCTGTGATGTTCATTGTGGTGTCTATTTTCATCTCTGTTTTTATTTATTTTTGTATTCTTTTTTCCTAATTAGTCTCACTAAAATTTTGTCACTTGCTTATCCTTTCAAAAATCAAATGCTTTATATTTTTTATCTTTTATTTTTTATCTCTGTTTTCTTTATTACTGCTCTTATCTTTATTAGTTCTTTCTACTAATTTTGGGTTTAATTTGTTATTATTTTTCTAGTTCTTTGAGGTAAACAATAGGTTGTTTACGGGGAATCTTTATTCTATTTGAATGTAGATATTTATTGCTATAAGCTTCCAAATAGTGTTTTTTTTTTTTTTTTTTTTTTTTTTAGTAACCTGTATGTTTTGGTATGTTGAATTTCCATTTTCATTTGTCTCTAGAAATTGTATAATTTCCCTTCCAATTTCTTCTGACCTGTTGGTTGTTCTGGAGTATGTCGTTTAATTTCCATGTATATGCACAGTTTCCAAAGGGAGCAAGAAATAAATAAAGGATCTACAAAGGAACCAGAAAACCATAAACTGGCAGTCGTAGGTCCTTGTCCATCAATAATTATTTTGATGTAAATGGATTAAATTCTCCAATCAAAATACATAGAATGACTGAATGGACAAAAAAACAAGATCCAACTATATGTTGCCTAAAAGAGACCCACTTTAGTCTTATGGATGCACATAAAGTGAAAGTAAAAGGATAGAAGAAGATAGTCCATGCAAAGGGAGAAAGTAAAAGAAAATACGAGTGGCTATATTATTTCATATAAATATGGTTAAAGTCAACAAACTGTCATGGGAGACTAAGAAGGTCATTATTTTATGAGAAAGGGCTCAATTCATCAAGAAGAGAAAACAATGACATATAAAACAAAGTGCTTCCATTAGACTTCCTAAATATATAAAGCAAATATTAATGGACATAAAGGGAGAAACAGATAGCAATACAATAAGAGTAGAGGACTTTAATACCCCATGTCATCAATGTACAGATCAATCAGACAGAAAATTAAATGAAATACTCAATTAAACTGCACTTTAGCCAAAACAGACCAAAAAATATATACAGAACTTAATATCCAACGGTAGCAGCGCATACATTTTTCTCTAGTGCACATGTAATGTCCGTCAGGGTAGCTCACATGGCAGGCCAAACAACAAGACTTAGCCAACTTTTAAAAATCAAAATCTGGCCAAGCACAGTGGCTCATGCCTGTAATCCCAGCCCTCTGGGAGCCCAGGGCAGGTAGATCACCTGAGGTCAGAAGTTCAAGACCAACCTGGCCAAAACAACAAAATCCTGTCTCCACTAAAAATACAAAAAATTAGCTAGGTGTGATGGCATGTGCTTGAGATCCCAGATACTTGGGAAGCTGAGGAAGGAGGAGAATCATTTGAACCTGGGAGGCGGGGGTTGTGGTGAGCCAAGATCGTGCCTCTGCACTCCAGCCTGGGCTACAGAGGGAGACTTTGTCTCAGATAAATAAATAAATAAATAAATAAATAAATAAATAAATAAATAAATTGCCATCTTAAATATGATTTCTGACTACAAGGATCTGAATAACTAACAATTAAAACTTTTTTTTTTTAAACTGAAGGCTTTCGAAAATCGTGGCTTTTTTTTTGAAATGCACTTGATCCCGGTCATAACACTTTTACTTTAATTCTAACTTCAGGTCTCAGCAAAAATGTGATTTCTGCATGAAAGCATCTTCTGTTCCCCCTAAATTGAATTATTTGTTTCTGCAATGTGTTAAATATGATTTTGCTCTAGCAGAATGCATCAGCATTTACTATAGCAGTTTGTTAGTTTTCTAGTTGGCTTCTAGAAATGCTTTAGTTCTGTGAGGCCAGGACTGACTCTACCTGTTTAAATAACCCTGAGCTATACCCACATCCTTCCATCCATCTCTATTCAATAAATACTTGTGAATTAACAAGTAAATATAGCCATGGAGAGCAAGTTGAGTGAATAATTAATGGGGACTGGAGGGAGTCGGGTGGAGGTATCCACAGGATACAAATTAAGAATATGATCCTTAGACATGAAAATGTCTGTCCCTAGTGCTGGTGGCACCACTTAACAACATTATTATTTGCAGCAAATGTTTTCTCCTATCTGTGCCTCAGTTTCTTAATATCTTTGGAATAATTTGATGTTCCTTCCTCATAGAGATGTTAAAAGTATTGCCGGAGGTACACCTGTAAACTCCCAGAATGGTGCCTGATATACCATTTACACTCCTGAGTGTTAGATATTACAAGGGTTATACTGTGTCTGGGGTGAAGCACTGTTGCTGGTGGCCATTTCCATGTGCCCATCTGAATAGAACGTCAAAGGGTATGATGGCGAAGCATGATGGAACTGGCCGCCCTGATGCAGAAGAAAAATCTGTTAGAAGACTGAGTAAGGAGTTTCACATATCAGCTGATATCCCATATTCCCATATCTGTAACTCTAGAAGATGATTTATGCAACCAGTATCCTCCAAAAGATAGATTTAAGAAAACACACCCTTTCTTTCTCAGAAAACACTACATGTATATGTTTGCTAAAAAAAAAATTAGTTTTCGAATGAATACGTATAAGGAAAAAATGAACAAATATACCATGAGTCCTATTAAAATAATTTGGAGCAGTATGAAGGGTTGGTGAGGAATTTTAGAAACAACAGTTTTTTTCTACATTCTGTTAGTCTTAGGTTTGTATGTGAATAGTAACTTCCTCATGTGTAAGGGAAAGCAGACATTGGAAGAAAGTATTTCAAATGCAGATGAGAAAATTCTGCAAGATCTTCCAGTCTAAACTTAAGAAACTGTAGGCTAACACATGTCATACTTAATATAGTATGCAATCCATAAATCCCGGTCATGAAAAACCATAACTAGCTTATAATCTAGAGATCTACTGATCTTTCTGCAGCACATTTACTATCTTAGTAACTGGTACACTATTCAATAAAGGAAAAACAGAAGGAAATCCTTCAAAGTATGAAAGCTCTGGAACTGAGCAAGAATTCTGAAACTGGGCTACAGCTGGCTCTACTCATCATATCCTTCCTCAGGTATCATGGCACATTCCTTAGGAAATGACAAACTGGTGGATAAAGCAAAACTACACTGAGCCGTTCTCAGTAGGAATGAGCACACTGTCCATGTGTTCATGTGATGGCTAAGCCAGACACATTATGAAGCTCAGAGTCAACAATCTCCAGGGGTCCTGGGAGTGCTGGCTCAACATACCCAAGAAAGACAGAAAGAATCAAGAAATCCAATGCTCCCTTACAAATATGGCTTGTTTGTTACTTATTAGCAATGCATGATATTGATCCTGCCTGCAGCCCATTGCCAATACTTCAGATAAAATTGACATCTCATCATGGTAAGGGACAGCTGGAAACTGGTCTTTAAAAAGTGATTTCAAAGGACAGACACTTGGCTTCTAAACAGCCAGCAAATGGTCTCATAGTACAGGGAAGAAAAGGAATTACTTGCCAATGGAATCCGCACGTTGTCATATATTGTGTGGAGTAGTTCTTCTCACACAACTGTGAGTGAAACCTTCGAAAAGTATTAAAAAGTTTGCTTGTCAACTCTGCCCAGGCCGTTTTGCCCTCCAGATGCCAAACAAACCCAAAACAATATATTGTTTTCTATAGTTGTTGTGCTTATGCCCATCTAGATGCATGTCCTTCATAAGAGCTCTGCTTCTAGCTGGGACTTTGGAGGAAAAGTTACCCATACAAGATCAAATGCATCTAGTATTGGCAAAAATTTTAATTTAAAATTTAAATGCATTAGTGATTTACATTTCATAATGTATAATACAGCATGATATTCTTACAAACAGCTGTATGAGTGTTGAAGATATATGCACTTTCATTCTCTAATGTGAAATCTGGCACTGCCATGGGGAAAAATATTGTATAGTCTTCCACTGTGAATGTCTTTTGACTTTTTACTGAGTCCAGTCTTTCTGAAAAAAAAAAAAAAAAAACATAGAAATGAAATTAGACATTTGTTGAATGTGGGAGAAAATTTTCACAGAAGGAAACTATGTGAATTAGACACAAACAGATGGTAAGACTCTGTGGCTGCCTCCCTGCCTGCTCTGTCAATGGGAGGGGAATCGTGGCAAGGTTAACAGGGCCCGGAGAATATGAATATCCTCATCAACTTTCTTCCAGGGCTTGAGAAACCAACAGATTGATCTGACTCTGTCTTCATCAGTTTAAAGGAAAGGGCCAGTGGGATAAATATGATTTTTTTTTTGGTAATGATTTTGAAACAAGAAAGAAAAAAAAAAGCAATCTATTTATTCTTCTCTATATTAAGGTATGGTCAATTGGTACCAAAAGAAAGCCACTTCCCTTTGACTTTATATCTAGAAAACAAATTCTTAAATGAAGGAGAGCAATTTTATCCCCCAGAGACATTAGGTTATGCTTGAAGACAATTTTGGTTGTCGTCACTTGGGGAGGAGTGCTAGGTTACTGGCATCTGGGTAGGTAAAGGCCAGGGATGTTTGTCAACATCTTATAACACACAGGACATTCCCTCTCTCTCTGAATAGAACGAATAATTAGCCAAGCCAAAGATAATCTCATCTGAACAAGAAAGAATTGTGGCAGAATATTTCAAGGTCACAAATTCAAATGCCTACAGGTTTTAGGCAGGTGACAAATTAATGCAATGGGCTAGGTGTAAGTCAGTAAGGAGTAGTAGATCCTTTAGCAAATATTGCAAGGCTGAGAAATCCTTATCTAGAAAAAAGTTGCATTCGCTATGGAACCATAGTATTCTAGAGACAGTGGATAAGATTTCAGAGTTTCTTGTTTTTTCCACCGCAATTTCTTTTTTGACTATTCATGAGTGTATGTTTTATGTGTACATGAAAAAAAGAAATTAGCTTTCTTTCTTTGACTCCCAGTAAATGCATGCTGTACGTGTATATGAAAACAAAATTTGGCTTCTTTGACCACTAGTTCATGCTCTGTGATTATATGAAAACAAGAAATTATCTGTCTTTGATTACTAGTATACGCACGCTTTATATGTATATGAAAACAAGACACTAGCCTTCTTTGAACACTAGTAAAGGCATGCTTTGTGTATATATAAAAATAAAATCCAGCTGAGTATGGGGGCTCATACCTGCAATCCCAGTACTTTGGGAGGTTGAGGTGGGCAGCGCCTGAGGTCAGGTGTTCAAGACCAGCCTGGCCAATATGGTGAAACACTGTCTCTACTAAATATACAAAAATTAGCCAGGCTTGGTTGCGAGCATCTGTAATCCCAGCTTATTGGGAGGCTGAGGCAAGAGAATTGCTTGAATCTGGGAGGACAAGGTTGCAGTTAGATGAGATCCTGCCATTGCACTCCAGCCTGGGTGACAAGAGTGAGACTTTGTCTCAAAAAATTAAAAATAAAAATAAAATCCTTATGTGTGGAAAAAAGTGCTTTATATAACCAAAATAAATTTTTCTTTTTAAAATTATTGTCTATATTTTTCCTAAAGTAAGAAACTTCTCTGTTTCTTCTCCCCCATCACCTCTTCATCTTTCCTTTTATCTCTTTTTCTTTATCTTTGTAATAAGAAAGCATTGACCATCATCATTGAATTTATTTATGTTAGTAATATAAACATCTTAAAACGCTTGACGAATTGTAAAATTCTTTAAGTTTTAGAGAATAACTTAATTTACTGATTAGCAATTAAATATTCAGCTATCAATCTACTGCTTTCTCTCAAGGGCAAACACCAAAAGCCAAATTTACAAACTTCCCTGCAATATATAATTTATTCAGGGAAAGAAACAAATTACAGTCATTCATGAGAGTCATCCCAGTCAATCATTTCTTTTCAAAAGTTGTCAAAGAAAAAAACTACACTCTTTATGTTTAAATCTTCAACCTTTAAGCTTATGCCCATGAGCGAGGGATTGATACTTTGTAATAATCATATAAAGGTGATATTGCACATTGCTTAAAATGTTTTCATTTTATGCATCCTCTCACTGTAAATTCTGGCTTTGCAAAATAGCAAGCAAACAACTGAAAAATAAACAAACCCATTTCTAGCCTCTCCAGTGGCTGAGGTGCAAAAGTGGAACTTCTATTCTACAATGCCCAGAAGATGCATCCTTATGGGGCTTTGTTTGTCAGAGAGTTAGGAATGGTCAGTGCCTGCACCCAAGACTTTCACTACATAGGAATATATTCCTGGAATTGGAGGTGGTAGGAACAGTTCTTTGTTGACTGCAGAGACAGCATGGTTTTGAGTTGGACTATGGGGAGCATTACTGATGAAACAATTAAACAGCTCCTTTATCAGGCCAATTCTGCACTGTGGTTCTATAATTTACTCCAGAAAGCATATTTTTGAGTCTACTTTTGAATTATTCCAATGACCATCAGTTATCTACAACCTCCATAGATCCTTTCCTGCTTAAACTCTGTAAAAGCAGACTTGTTATCTGCAACCAAGTGTGTTGACCAGCTGAAGCTGTAACATGAACATTAACAATGATAACAACACCAGGGGCTATTGAACACTTTATGAAGGAATTGACAACCAAGTCCTCCCTCATATATGTTAAACTTGCAATTTCAGTGTAGGAAATGTCCACTATAGGAATCAAAAATATTCTTGGTATGAAATACTTTATAGTTTCACTAGACCAAGTTTGACACTAGCAGCATAAACTTTCCAGTGTGCCACAGGCTCCACCACTCCCTATTACCTTAAACCAAGCCTTTGCAGATTTATTTCCATCACCTGGCTCAATGTTGTAGGCACTTGAGTTTGTGACCCTTAGATATTCTGCTGTAAGACCTTTTTGTTCCTTTGTTTTTTTCCAGATGAGGAGCAGAAGCCCAGAGCGAGCACACATGTTACTTAAGTTCTCACTGTTTGCTAGCAGCAAAAACTATTACACTTTCCATTATTTCTGCCTCTACATGATCTGTTTCTATGATACCTACCTGCAGAATGCATAGTGTGAACCTAGGTTTGTGTGTGCATGAGTGTGGAGTGTGTGTGTGTATGTGTGTGATTTTTCTTTAGCCCAGAGGTATTCATAATGAATCAGCTTACTACAGCAGATGAGTGATGAAATTTTTAAGAATTGACAAATTAATATTCAGATTTCTAAGAAGATATTTTCTAAAACCTGTACATTTGAAGGATTATGTATATGGGTTGTGTGTTTTTGTATTCCCTACTTCCATGATTTGTCTCTCTCACCAATGAAATAAGAATTTATATAATACATCCTTTGCTGGTCTCTATCCCACTTGTCAATCTTTGATGGAATCACTGAGGTCCCCAGCTCTGCTTTCCTAAGATGCGGAGTGAGATATTTTCTTTGTTTCGAAGCAAAAGAAATGAGAGTTGCACAAAATAAACCAAGAGGCTCGTAATGAATAAGCTCCCAAGGATGTACAGTTAGATTTTCATCAGGAACATGTGGACATATCTGGTTTTGTGCTGCTTTCCACAAACTCTTTCAATTTGGAAATATTTTTCAAAATTATTTATTATTATTAACTAGATTATGAATAAAGCTTTGATAAGCAGCATTCCCACCAGATAAATTCCTTAGAGCCTTTTAATTCTGTGCTTGCAGGACAGATGTTCCCTTCAGGACCTTCCATGAGGTTTCTTTTTCCTAGCAGGCATTGCAATGTAGTTTACTACAAGTTCTAGTGGAGCAAACCTCCAAAGAAAAGCACTTTTATTGCCAATATTTCTGCAAATGTGGATGCAAGCCTATTTTTGGAAACATTAAAAATTTCAGAATAATTAATTAGGGGGAAATTCAAAATTCACAAGGAATCTGCATCAACATTAGTTGAGGCTGGCATTGTACTTTGAACAGGAAAGTGTCCTTTTAGATACACACCATGATATAATTTTGAGCATGTAATATGTATTCAACTGTTTACTCCTTCCAACTTTTGCTGAATAGGGCATCTACTCATTGTAAGGGCTGAACCACACACAACACATGAAAAGATGAGTTGAATGCCTTTTGTGCATGAAAATAACTCTGTGAAGTAGGAGATAAAGAAAGTAAAAGAGGTTTATAATACTGCATGGTCACAGGTGCAAATCAAGGTGTGCACCCAATGCAGAGAGGAGGATGATTTTAACAAGGACACCAATTGAAAAGTCAGCAAATGACTCAGAGGTTGACAACAGTGGCAGGTCTTGAAGAATGAGGAAGGATCTCCATTGAACAAAGAAGGAGAAAGGTATTCCAGAAACATGGAATGCCTATGTACAGGCTCATAGGCAGAAACAAATGCTCTTTTTAGACAGACAATAGCTAGGAGAGAATGGCTGCTGAATTATTATACAAAGAAGATGAGAACTCAAGAACAGGATAGTAGAGAGACTGGGGAAAGGATGATAGGAACTTGCGTGCCATGCTAAAGAGCTTGACCCTTTATTAGATACGAAAGATAGGGTCCTTGAAGGGCTTTAAGCAGGGCAATACATTATGAGGATAGTGATAGGAGGCAGAGAAATTTTAGCACATACAGCAGGATCCCTGGTAAAATCCCTCCTTTGAGCCAAAAAGCCTGAAAGCTGTGGCCCAAAAGAACTTCCATCCCGGGCCGGGCGCGGTGGCTCACGCCTGTAATCCCAGCACTTTGGGAGGCCGAGGCGGGCGGATCACGAGGTCAGGAGATCGAGACCATCCCGGCTAAAACGGTGAAACCCCGTCTCTACTAAAAATACAAAAAATTAGCCGGGCGTAGTGGCGGGCGCCTGTAGTCCCAGCTACTTGGGAGGCTGAGGCAGGAGAATGGCGTGAACCCGGGAGGCGGAGCTTGCAGTGAGCCGAGATCCCGCCACTGCACTCCAGCCTGGGCGACAGAGCGAGACTCCGTCTCAAAAAAAAAAAAAAAAAAAAAAAAGAACTTCCATCCCTGTGTGCCTGCTCTCTCCCAATTAGTTCTTTCTGAATAATGTCTTTTTACCAACTGAATGTTATCTTTTCCTAAACTACCTATGGCCTGCCCTGCTCCCATTCTTTGCCTGTAAAGACCTCAGCCTCAACTGGCAGATGAGAGAAGTGGCTGGACTTCAGGGAGAGGGGACATAACTTCAGAGATGGTAGCTGGTTGAGGCAACTTGAGTTTTTAAGAGAGAGGCAGAAAGGGACTTTTGCCTCTTCTGAGACTTCGGGGGAAAGCAAACTACCTTTCCCATCCCCTTTCCACCTCTCTTCTCTGCTGAGAGCTGCTTTCATCATTCAATAAAATTCTCCACATTCACCATCCTTCAATGTGTCCTCATGACCTCATTCCTCAGACAAGAATTCAAGCAGTACTAAGTGGGGTATACAAAAAGACTGTCACACTGGCCGTTTGCCCTTGCTGCCAGAGGGCAGCTGTCCCATGTGATGATGAAAAGGCCCACTGAGTTGATATCACACTGCAGTCTATGGATGGTGGAGCTAATAGAGCATTGTAACATGCCCTCTGGGGCAATGGTGTCACCCACACCCCACCTGGATGCTGCCACAGGGCCTGCATAGAGTTTGCTCCTGCTGGCACTGAAGTGGCCAGCTGGTTCCCGCATTCATTCACTCATGTGTTTCCTCCCATAATGGATAGAGCCCACTGGACCCAAGTGAATGAAGTTGGCTCCTGCTAGGCTGCCAGCTGGTTCCTGTACTTGCTCACTCCAGTTTCTGCATTTGTTCACTTTCACGCTCTCTCCCATAAGGTGGGAGCACCCCTGTCAAGAGCTGGTTCAAGGGGTCAAGAAAATGCCCTACATCAATGATGTCTGTATTTTAAAAACATAACAAGGTCATGTGAAGAACTTATACCTGATAGTTTGGAGACTACATGAATCTGAAACATACCCAATAGTTGCATAAACAGGGTTTTTTTGGATAAACATAGAAATAGGCCCTTCTGCTCTTAAAGCTTTAAACTTATATTTATTTTACCTGATTTCCGTCCTCAGGAAAGGATCCCCAAGCTTCTCAAAAAGTATCAAAGGACTGAAACTCATCAGATCACTGCATCTAGACAATGAGACTCCAGGCCCTTCATTCCTAACAATTGCTCCCTCCCAAGTTCCTGTTTTCTCAAGCATAGTTATGTTTCTTCTCTGCTACATAAACTCCTAATTCTAGTCAGTTAGGGATATGGATTTGAGACTGATCTCCCATCTCCTCGGTTGCGGCATCTGATTAAAGCCTTCTTCCTTGGCAATACTTGCTCTCAGTTGTTGGTTTTGGTTGTGTTGAGCAGCAGGATGTAGACCAAACCCCTGGTGTCTTGGTAAAAAATCATCACTAGAAGGAAAGGCACAGGTGAGTGTAGATGTTTCCAGAAGGTATGGATGATGCCATTGTTGAGTAGGAAAAGAAATCAAATAACTGGGTCTGGATGAGGGGAAAGAAAGAAAATTAGTTTTGTGTTAGGTAGAGTGAACGTGAAGTTCCCACTGGCATAGTAAAGAAGATGCTAGAAATTAGACAGGTGGTTTAGATATTATAGGATGATCATGGTCATTCCAACTCAGAAATGTGAAGATGTCATTGGGAATAATAGTATATTATATATAAAATATGATAGTATATATAATATATAATAGTATGTCCTTATATATATATTATATACATATGCTATATGTATATATTATATGTATATATTATATACATATGCTATCTGAAGATAGCAGTGTCTCCTGTATAGTAAAAAGAAAGGATTGATAAGAGAAAGCATACATTTTATAGATGGTAGTCTGTATGACAATGCCACCAGTAATAGTTTCTGTCTTTTAATATAAATTTCTTCTAGTGGAGTAATATGGCATTACCCATAGGCTGACAATTGCATGCAGGTATGGTTTTTTGGCTCCTTTGCAGGCTGCTACATTTCTAACTCATGGGTTATTGCCAGTAGTGTTGGAAATATTTAAACATACTTATTGAATAAATGAATGAACACAAGATTATTTCCCCTATCATCATTGAAGAGGGAGGGCACTCATTAAAACTGAAATTTCTAGATATTGCATACTGATTTTTTAAAGTACACTATTCCAACATGAAAGTTTTTCAAAATCTCAGAATGTTATGACCATATACATACATATATATATGTGTGTGTGTGTGTATGTATACACATATATATATGAGGTCTATAAAGATCTATAAAGCTACAGACAGCTACTCAACTAGATGTCTTCAAAGGGCCATGAGAATTCCAAGGTGCTCTCAGTTTGAGTTATTATTTTTCAGTTTGTCAGTTTTACATTTAAACAATTTTATTTTCTGTCTTCCTTGACACTCAGCCTAACATATAGCCTAGAACAATACTGCAGGAGAAATGACATCATCAGCATCATTAAAATAGTGATTTTATATACCTTGCCCATTTGGTAGGTTGTTGGCCAGCATCATGCCTCTCTTTGCAGTGAAGTTTACAACATCCTTTTTTTTTTTTTTTTTTTTTTTTTGCAATTGTCTCACAGCCTGAAGCTACTGTATGTATGATTGAGGTTGTGAGTACATCTGACTACTGGAATTGTAAAAGCATTACTGGAGAAAGAAAAGCTAACACCTGGAAAATTCTTTCCAGTTCAAATTTGCAGAGATCTTCTTTCCAGGTAAATCTAGAATTTCTTAACAAAAATCTAGATTTTCTTAGGAAAACCTAAAGAGCTCACCTTTAACATGGAATCAGAGTCTATGGAAATGTATAAGGCATAATAATATTTATATGATGTATTCATTGTTGGATTACAGTAATTGTCTCTTAAGCACTTATAACCTGAGTTGGCAAATTCTTATAAGGGCACTGTGTAACCAAGAGGTTACTGTTTCAAAGCACCACCAATTTCAAATTCACAGAAATACACACAGGGCCCTTATAAGAATTTGCCAACACAGGTTATAAATGATTAAGAGAGGCCGGGCGCGGTGGCTCACGCCTGTAATCCCAGCACTTTGGGAGGCCGAGGCGGGTGGATCATGAGGTCAGGAGATCGAGACCATCCTGGCTAACAAGGTGAAACCCCGTCTCTACTAAAAATACAAAAAATTAGCCGGGCGCGGTGGCGGGCGCCTGTAGTCCCAGCTACTCGGGAGGCTGAGGCAGGAGAATGGCGTGAACCCGGGGAAGCGGAGCTTGCAGTGAGCCGAGATTGCGCCACTGCAGTCCGCAGTCTGGCCTGGGTGACAGAGCGAGACTCCGTTTAAAAAAAAAAAAAAAAAAATGATTAAGAGAAAATTACTGGGCCTGGCACTGTGGCTCATGCCTGTAATCCCAGAACTTTGGGAGGCCGAGATGGGCAGATCACAAGGTCAAGAGATTGAGACCATCCTGGCTAACACGGTGAAACCCCATCTCTACTAAAAATACAAAAAGTTAGCTGGGCATGGTGGTGGGACCCTGTAGTCCCAGCTACTCAGGAGGCTGAGGCAGAAGAATAGCATGAACCCTGAAGGAGGAGCTTACAGTGATCCGAGATCATGCCACTGCATTCCAGCCTGGGCAATAGAGCAAGACTCAGTCTCAAAAAAAAAAAAAAAAATACTATACTCTCAACACTGAAAATATCAAATAAATATTCTTATGCCTTATACAAAAATCAGAAAATATAGATGATATCAGAGACACAATATCCTTCCTCACCTTCTGGAGAGAAGAATCATATACTGCCTACTATTTGGGGTTCTATTTAAATCAAATCATCCTGTGCACAACAATTTATAGTTTATAAGGAATTCTTAAAAGCAGTTTTTCATTTGGTCTTTACAACATTTTATAAAAGAAATTGGGGGCAGATATTGAATCCCCATATTGGAAGTAAGCATACAGACATATTGAAATGAGCTTTATAATCCAGCAACTCTACATTGCTGCACATGTAAGATTTTCCTGTGTTATTGAGTAAAAACCTTAAAGAAAAATAAAATAGAAAGCAAATCAAATTCCTGTGTCTATTTTAGAATCTCATAATGCTCAGGGGGTGATTAAGAGGACAAACTGTTCTTCTGAAACATTCTTCCAGTATTTTCTCTGTACTGAAATCTCTTTAGAATATGGCTAATATGTTAAAAAGAATTAAACCACCCTCCTCTGGAAGTTGAGGAGATGGGGAACTCTAAGCCCACCCACTCATCTCTCTCCTTCCTTTCCTCACTCTTCCACAATCTGCCTCTTCTATGCATCCTTGAAGTACAGTTTGAAAATCAATTGATAGTATCTCCTATTCCTTCTCCGTTAGCTTTCTTCATTAACACTTTTGTAATAGACAATTGGGCTGGGTTTTTGGAATCTAATGTCAAATTTCATGTATCTTTCACTAAGATTTCCCTATTCCCAGTGGAGATAAAATAGAATGGCCAATGTGAAAGAATACATTAAAAATACATTTTTCTTTTTTTAGAGATAAAGTCTTGCTGCGTTGGCCAGGCTGAAATATAGTGGCACAACCATAGCTCACTGTAGACTTTTACTCCTGGGTTTAGTTGATTATCCTGCCTTAGCCTCCCCTGTAATTAGCTGTGAGTACAGGTGGACATCACCATGCCTGGCTAATATATATATTTTTTATATTGTAGAGATAGAGTCTCACTGTTTTGCCCAGGTTATTCTCTAACTTCTGGCTTCAAGTGATCCTCCCACCTCGGCCTCTGTTTTATAAGGTATGAAAATTTGTTACTGATTATAGACATGGAAGCTGATATCATTCCAATGTATTGGATTCCTGAATGACACACCTCCCCTCCTCTCATCAAAGATCCTGACACCAACAGATCCTCAAGACATGTAGAATGAAATTCATATTATGTGGTTGTTTCCTAATATTTTTTCTTGCTTAAACCATGTTAGCATCAAGAGAATTAACTTCCTGTCACTTCTGTTTTGCAACATGGCATTCTACATGGATGATGGGATTGTAACCAGTATCATTGCCATTCTTTACAGATCATACTACTTACAAACACAATGTCTCTGTGTGTTCTGCCATTTCCCTGTAAGATCTGCTCTCCTTTATTTTCAGGAATCAGATTCAACTTTGCTGCAATAAATCCCAAAAAGCTACTTTTTTCCTGCAACTTCAGATATGCTCTAGTGTCCAAGATGATAGCCCAGGAAAGAATAAACCTCCTGCTCTCTGCTGAGTGACTGTGGCATTACCTGCCTTGCATATTTTGTCTTGCTATTTTCGTTGCCAATGTTCAAATTCAGTTTCAGTTCTTCATTCCTCTCCAAATTACCCTTGGTTTCCTTGGAATTAGATTGAGCCCTTTTTTACCCATTGATAATAAAAAATTAAAATAACTCTGGTTACATTAGAGAATAATTGGTGTAATAATATGTTTCTTATTTTAAAAAAATGAGAGGCTCTTTATTACTGTGGAATAGGTTTTGATTATTTATGAGAAAAACCTCCTTCTCAGTCCAAATTCTCAAATAACTAAAAAACTCCCAGTTGGTTAAATGGGTTTTAAAAATGGAAACTCCATTAAAAATATGTATTTTTATACATAAGAGCAAAAAGGAAGAGGAAAAGGCTGCTTTATTTTCTTCAGTTACTTCTTCCAAATAACTTTTCTCCTTACTCTAAAAAATATGGTTTTATGTTCAACATTCCAATACAAAATCGTGATGCCCAGCATTTAAATTAGAGTCCCTCCATTCTGGTGGGGATATCAGAAGAGTCATTAAGGAAGACAATTTAAAATGACTAATTTAGAAAAAAAATATTTCAAGTCAACTGTGGTGGCTCACATCTGTAATCCCAGCAGTTTGGGAGGCCAAGGTGGGCAGATCACTTGATGTCAGGAGTTAAGAGACCAGCTGGGCCAACACGGTGAAACCCTGCCTCTACTAAAAATCCAAAAATTAGCCAGATCTGGTGGCACCTGGCTGTAACCACAGCTACTTAGGAGGCTGAGGCAAGAGAATTGTTTCAACCCAGGAGGGGAGGTGAAGGCTGGAGTGAGCTGAGATCATACCACTGCACTCCAGCCTAGGTGATAGAATGAGATTCTGTCTCAAAGGAAAAAAAAAAAAAAAGAATAACACTAAGGTATGTGACTAAATGTTCACATTTATTATCAAGGGGAGGAAAAAGTCATTGGAAACCTTATGTGCATGCAATTTCACACATATACACTGGCTCATACAAACAAATGGACACACTAACATGCATGGAACATATAGTTGGTAACAGCTACACATCAGTTTCCTTACGGTGGTAAGAGTAAGGCATTTATATGAATATATATGTCTATTATTTTTTGAGACATGGGCTTTCTCTGTTGCTCAGGCTAGACTGGCTTTATTGTGGCTCACTGCAGCCTTGAACTCCTGGGCTAAAGTGGTCCTCTCACCTCAGCCTCACAGTAGTTGGGATGACAGGTGCACACCACTGCATCTGGCTAATGTTTTCTGTTTTTATTTTCTGTACAAATGGAGTTTATCAGTATGTTGCTTAGGCTGGTCTCAAACTCCTGGCCTCAAGCAATCCTCTGACCTCAGCTTCCCACAGTGTAGGGATTACAGGCATCAGCCACAACACCTGGTCTATATTTTTAGGTTTTAAATTTCTGTTCCTATTTGAGTAATCAATTACTAAAATAAAGTGCAAACATTTTAGTTGAGTGGTTTGATTAATTTTTACCTATGAGAATCCTATGTAACATCCACCCAGATGCAGACATAGGTGATTTCTGACACCCTGAGACATTTGCCTGTGTTCTTTTCTTCCGAAATTACCAGGATGCAGCCTCTATTCTAACTCCTCTCACAATAGTTTCAGTTTGGGGTATCTATTTTTTTAGTATTTTCATAATTGTTTCTGTAAAAATATTTTCAAAGATTTTGTAATGTATGTTACACTATAGAAATTCTAAAAGTGAAACGTTTTTAGGATGAGAAAAGAAAGAGAGGTTGTAAGGAGGGATGATGGAAGGAAGAAAGAAAGGAAAGAAGGAGTAAATGGAGGGAGGATGAAAGAAGGGAGGAAAGAAAGGCAAAGGAAAGAAAAAGGAAAGGGAGAGGGGAGGGAGGGAAGAGAAGGAGGGAATAAAAAGGGGAGAGAGAAAGGGAGGAAGGAAGGAAGGGAAGGAAGGAGGGAAGAAGAGAGGAAGGGAAGAAAAATGGAAAACACGAAGGAGGGAAGAAGGGAGGAAGAAAATAAGGAAGGGGAAGTGGGGAGGAAGAGAAGGAGTAAGGGGGACAGGAGAGAGGAAATAAGGAAGGAAGAAAGGAGGAAGGAAGAAGGGAAGGAAGGAAGAAAGGAAAGAAGGAAGGAAAGGAGGGCTGGAGGAGAGGAGGGAAATGGGAGGAAGGAGAGAAAGAAGGGGCTGGGATGGAGGGAGGAAATAAGGAAGGGAAGGAGACAGAGAGGGAGGGAGAGAGCGAGTGAGGAAGGAGGGAAAGAAGGAGAAATGGGGGGAGGCAGGAGGGAAAAAAGAGGAAGAGGGAGGAAGGAGGGATGGAGAGTGAGCTCGCCAGGGTAGCTGTGAAGTCTATTTGTCCGTGAGAGCCTCCCTGCTTGGGCACTGCAAAAGCCCAACTTCTGAACTTTGCCCTTCATAACTGTCATGTTCCCAAATCAACCATTCCTTCCAAATATATGTCTTGGCCTTGAAGGATCCTTGATAGGATAAAATACATTTCTTCCTTTTAAAACAATACTTGTTACAAATTCTCAGCGGTGTCATATTTTAAAAGAGAATTCTTGCACACAGATTTCCACCTCGAACCTGGTCCCAGTACAGTGCCTTGTATAACCTCTATTTCCAGGCTCTGCCCACAGCAGGTGAGGCCATTAAATGTTGTCCTCCTTTGCTAGATTATTTTCTTTTAACATATTTGTCACCAACTCCCTGCTGTATTCCCTAAATTCCTCAGAGAAAAACCCAAACACTGGTAAATATAAACAGTTTGTAATCACATGAGAAAACACACAGTAGTGTCTCTCAGATACTCCTGGAGAGAGGCTCTGTCATGGAAGCAACTGGGGGAATACAATATATTTAATGTTTACTTTGAAATGCAAAGTCACTATTATTAAAACAAGCAGAGGGACAAGTGCCACAGCCCAAGACTTTACCTGCCATATTGGCATTTTTGAATTGCCTGTGTTTCAGTGGGTATCAAAAGTTCTGCAATGTTCATTAAATTAAATTGTGGCCATGCTTAATTAAATAAAATTATGCAAGATCTTATAAACAAACCCAACTGGGTGCTTTTCACTCAGTACTCCAGGCAACCCTCTCTTGCTACAGTGTTTGCCGGGATTTCTGTTTTCCAACATGTGACAGATCTCTCTTTCGGCGCTATCTGGTTACCATGCTAAGCCATCTTCTGGGTTGTGGTCTCCATTGTGAAGATTCTGCCTTTATATTTGGCTTTTGAGTTCAGTTCAACAGGAACAGTGAGCCCAGGAAGGTGTGGATCTACAGCTCCATCAAGTGACAGGGATGTCACATGCTGAAACTTTGCTTTTTAGATTCCTGGAAGTAAAAACCCAATGGTCTCATGACACATGACCCCTTTTGGTCAAGTTTTTCTCTTTCTGAGGAAGGACAGAGCCACTACAATAGTCAGCTATGACAGAGGCCTAGTTGCAGCCCCAGTTTCTTTAGATTTTTTTTGGTGTCATTCTTGTTCTTGTTACATTTCATGTTTTCTCCCAAAAGAGGCATCTGCAGGGCTTCATTCAAATTACTTTCTTCTGCAACTTGCGATGCATGCTGTCAATGGACCAGAGGTGATTTGTCAGATCCCATTTTACCTAGGAAACCTCAGGCTTCCGAGCATTGCTGTGCCTGAGTGGAGATGAGGAAGTGTCTTGGAATTTTAGTTTTCCCAGCAGCAGCCCTTACCCTATGATGAACAGTGTGCAAGTAGAAATAGTTCAGCTCCTTCTGCTCCTGCTAGGGACAACTGTGAGGTGTTGCCTGTCCCATTTTCAATGTTCCTCTGTGAGACTGAGCTTCAGTAAACCTATTGTTGCCATCTTTTTGTGGTTTGTCTCAGTTTTCAACATCCTTACCAGGATTTCTGGGAATGCTTTCTCAAAAAAAAAAAATATCACTTTTTAATCTCAAGGGCCTCTTCTGGGGAACTCAGTTTCCAATAGCATATCAATTTACCTTTAATCTATTAAATAGGAGGGGGTGGTTAACTTAGCTGTAAATAACATCAGAGGAGAGACTAAAAATGTTGACAGTTTTTGAAATTAGCTTTGCATACATAGGCAACTTTTATTCACCAGATGTTTCTTAGAAATTAGTTTTGTTCATTTTTTCCCTGATATGACATGGTTCTGTTAACCAAATAAAAATAGCAATTATATGTTTGTGTGTGTATAATAATAATTTTTTGAGAAGGAGTTTCACTCTGTCACCCAGACTGGAGTGCAGTGGCCCAGCTTCAGCTCACTGCAACCTCTGCCTCCTAGGTTCAAGTAATTATAATGCCTCAGCTTCCCAAGTAGCTGGGATTACAGGTGCATGCCACCACGACTGCCTAGTTTTTGTCCTTTTAGTACACATGGGGTTTTGCCGTGTTGGCCTAGATGGTCTCAAACCCCTGACCTCAGGTGATCCACCTGCCTTGGCCTCCCAAAATGTTGGGATTATAGGCATGACCCACCGTGCCTGGCCAGCAGTTATATATTTTAAAGCTCCTTTTTATGGGGACCTTATAATACACTATGAATTAACTAGGTTTAAAAGATTTCTTACTGATTAACATTTATCTGATTTGACAGACATGGAGAATAGATAGATAAGCTGGTTAATAGCTTGGAATGCAAACATAGTAGGGAGGATACAGGATGTGGTCTGAGAATTATCAAAATATGCAAGGATAAAGTCTCCTTCATCTTTGGGTCTTCAGTGCTTAGCATTATGCTTGGCATAAGCAAGTTGATCAATACACACTTGTTAATCTAATTGAATGAAACTGAAGTGCATTGGATTGCAATGAGTTTGGTTTATCTGTTGATTTCTTATGAAATATACGATAATCATAAGAACGGCATTGCATGTCAGAGATAAATTCCCACATTCCAAAAATGGTAGGAGAGATTATATGGACCTATGGTCTTTAGTACAATAGCTAATGACCACATGTGGTCATTTCAATTTAAATTCATTAAAAATAAATAAATGTGAGAATCAGTTCTTTGGTTGCATAAGCTGCCTCTCATCTGCCCAATAGTCACATGGGGCTACTAGCGTCAACAGAATAAGAATATTATTTGGTTATATTATATTAGCTATGAGAATATTATACTAGCTAGGAGATATTGTATTGCAAAGGTCAAACAGAGAACACTTGTCTTAGACAGCTCAAAGGACCTAGGGACAGGTTGATCTTCTTCTATCTCTCTTTATAAAATATTTCATATTTATAAAAATACAAAATAGTTTAAACATGCAGAACATTTATTTAAAGCTGCAAAATATTACTGTATCTCCTTGGTGTCCCCACACACACTGGCCCCAGCAAAATGCACAGTGGATTTTCCTCAGACGTGGTGTTATGAAAACACACCACACCATTTTTCATAAAGGTTTTCTATTGAAGCTAAATGAAAACAATTGCAAGGGAAATTAAAAACACCCAAATGGGCCAGGCATGGTGGCTCATTCCTGTAATCCCAGCACTTTGGGAGGCCTAGGCTGGCAGATCACTTGAGTCCAGGAGTTTAAGACCAGCCTGGCCATCATGGCAAAACTCCATCTATACAAAATTTAGCTGGGTGTCAGAAAGTGCTCCTGTAATCCTAGCTACTGGGGAGGATGTGGTAGAAGAATCACTTAAACTTAGGAGGTGGAAGTTGTAGTGAACTGAGATTATGCCGCTGCGCTCCAGCCTACGAGACAGAGCAAGACTCCATCTCAAAAACAAAACAAAAAAAAATAAAAATAAAAACACAAATAAATTAGAAACATTTGCTACATCCTAAGGACAGAAAGAGTATTTTTCCCCCCATCGGATTTTACCTTCTATTTTCTTTTTTCATTTTTATCATTATTTTACTTTCAGTTCTGGGATACAAGTGCCAAAAGTGTAGATCACATTGCTATATGTGTGCCATATATATTGCTGTACCTATCAACCCACCATTTATGTTTCAAGCCATGCATTCATTAGCTATTTTTCCTAATGCTCCCTCTCCCCTTGCCCCCTACCCCTTGACTGGTGCCAGGGTGTGTTGTTCCCCTCCCTGTGTCCATGTGTTCTTATTGTTCAACTCCCACTTATGAATGAGATACACAGTGTTTGCTTTTCTGTTCCTGCATAACTTTGCTGAGGATGATGGCTATCAGATTCATCCATGTTTCTGCAAAGGACATAATCTCATTTCTCTTTATGGCTCCATAGTATCCTGTGGTGTATAAGTATCACATTTTATTTATCCAGTCTATCACTGATGGGCATGTAGGTTGGCTCCAGGTCTTTGCTATTGTAAATAGTGCTGCAATAAACATATGTGTGCATGTGTCTTTATAGTAGCATGATTTATATTCCTTTGGGTATATACCCAGTAATGGGATTGCTGGGTCAAATGGTATCTTTTTGTTCTAGGTCCTTGGAGAATACCCACAGTGTCTTTCACAATAGTTTAACTAATTTACATTCCAACCAACAGTGGAAAGGTGTTCCTATTTCTCCACTGTCTCACCAGCATCTATTGTTTATTGACTTTTTGATAATTGCCATTCTGACTGGAATGGGATGATAGCTCATTGCAGTTTTGATTTGCATTTTTCTAATGAACAGTGATGTTAAACGATTTTTCATATGTTTGTGGGCTGAATAAATGTCTTCTTTTGAGAAGCATCTGTTCATATCCTTTGCCCACTTTTGATGGGGTTGTTGGTTTTTTCCTTGTAGATTCTGGATGTTAGCCCTTTGTCAGATGGGTAGATTGCAAAAATTTTCTCCCATTCTCTTGGTTACTTATTAACTCTGATGATAGTTTCTTTTACTGCACAGAAGCTCTTCAGTTTTCTGTTTACAGTTAGCCAGTAGAAAGTCTTAAAAATAGAAGATGGCCAAATAGGAACAGCTCTGGTCTGCAGCTACCAGCATGATCAACACACAAGATGAGTGATTTCTGCATTTCCAACTGAGGTATCTGGTTCATCTCACTGGGACTGGTTGGATAGTGGGTGCAGTCCATGAAGGGTGAGCCAAAGAAGGGCAGGGCATCTCCTCACCCAGTAAGTGCAAAGGGTATCATGATTTCCCTTTCCTAGCCAAGGGAAGCTGTGACAGACTGTACCTGGAAAAACAGGACACTTCTGCCCAAATACTGAGGTTTTCCCATGGTCATCGCAACTGGCAGACAAAGAGATTCTCTCCCGTGACTAGCTCAGTGGGTCCCACGCCCATGGAGCCTTGTTCACTGCTACTGCAGCAGTCTGAAATCATCCTGTGAGACTGCAGCCTGGTGGGGGGAGGGGCATCCACCATTGCTGAGGCTTGAGTAGGTAAACAAAGTGGCCAGGAAGCTTGAACTGGTCAGCACCCATGGCAGCTCAGCAAGGCCTACTGCCTCTATAGAATCCATATTTGTGGGCAGGGCATACATGAACAAAAGACAGCAGAAACTTCTGCAGACTTAAGCTTCCCTGTCTGACAGCTCTGAGGAGACCAGTGGTTTTCTCAACATGGCGTTTGAACTCTGAGAATGGATAGACTGCTTCCTGAAGTGGTTCCCTGACTCCCATGTAGCCTAATAGGGAGACATCTCCCAGTCGGGGCCAACAGACACCTCATACAGGTGAATGCCCCTCTGGGAAGAAGCTTCCAAAGGAAAGATCAGGCAGCAATATTTGCTGCTCTGCAATATTTGCTGTTCTGCACCCTCTGCTGGTGATACCCAGGCAAACAAAATCTGGAGCGGACCTCCAGCAAACTCCAACAGACCTGCAACTGAGGGACCTGTCTGTTACAAGGAAAACTAACAAACAGAAAGGAATAGCATCAACATCAACAAAAAGGACATCCACACCAAAACCCCATCTGAAGGTCACTAACATGAAAGTCCAAAGGTAGATAAAAACTACAAAGATAGGGAGAAACCAGAGCAGAAAAGCTGAAAATTCTAAAACCCAAAGTGCTTCTCCTCCAAAGGATCACAGCTCCTTGCCTGCAAGGGAACAAAGCTGGATGGAGAATGAGTTTCATGAGTTGACACAGGTAGGCTTCAGAAGGTTGGTAATAACAAACTTATCTGAGCTAAAGGAGCATGTTCTAACCGATTGCAAGGAAGCTAAAAACCTTCAAAAAAGTTATACCAATGGCCAACTAGAATGAACAGTGTAGAGAAGACCTTACATGACCTGATGGAGCTGAAAACCAAGGCATGAGAACTGCATGACACAAGCACAAGCTTCAATATCTGATTTGATCAAGTGGAAGAAAGGATTTCAGTGATTGAATATCAAATTAATGAAATAAACTGAGACAAAAGTTTAGAGAAAAAAAGAGTAAAAAGAAACAAACAAGGCCTCCAAGAAATATGGGACTATGTGACAAGACCCAAATTTACCTTTGATTGGTGTACCTGAAAGTGATGGGGAGAATGGAACAAAGTTGGAAAACACTCTTCAAGATATCATCCAGGAGAACTTCCCCTACGTAACAAGGCAGGCCAACATTCAAATTCAGGAAATACAGAGAACAACACAAAGATACTCCTTGAGAAGAGCAACCCCAAGACACATAATTGTCAAATTCATTAAGATTGAAATGAAGGAAAAAATGTTAAGGGTAGCCAGAGAGAAAGGCTGGGTTACCCACAAAGGGAAGCCCATCAGACCAACAGCAGATCTCTTGATGGAAACCCTACAAGCCAGAATAGAGTGGGGGCCAATATTCAACATGCTGAAAGAAAACAATTTTCAACACAGAATTTCATATTCAGTGAAGGTAAGATTTATAAGTGAAGGAGAAATAAAATCCTTTACAGACAAGCAAATGCTGAGAGATTTTGTCACCATCAGGCCTGACTTACAAGAACTTCTAAAGGAAGCACTAAACATGGAAAGGAACAACCAGTACCAGCCACTGCAGAAACATGCCAAATTGTAAAGACCATCAATGCTATGAAGAAACTGCATCAATTAATGGGCAAAAGAACCAGCTAACATCATAACGAGAGGATCAAATTCGCACATAACAATATTAACCTAAAATGTAAATGGGCTATGTGCCCCAGTTAAAAGACACCGACAATGGAGAAAGAGTCAAGACCCATCAGGGTGCTGTATTCAGGAAACCCATCTCATGTGCAGAGACACACATAGGCTCAAAATAAAGGGATGGAGGAAGATCTACCAAGCAAATGGAAAGCAAAAAAAAAATAATAATAAAATAAAAAAAAAGGAGGGTTTGCAATCCTAGTCTCTGATACAACAGATTTTAAACCAACAAAGATCAAAAGACACAAAGGAGGCCGTTACATGATGGTAAAGGGAACAATTCAACAAGTAGGACTAACTATCCTAAATATATATGCACCCAATACAGGAACACTCAGTTTCATAAAGCAAGCCCTCAGAGACCTACAAAGAGATTCAGACACCCAAACAATAATAATGGTATAATTTAACACCCCACTGTCAATATTAGACAGATCAACAAGACAGAAGGTTAACAAAGATATCCAGAACCTGAACTCAGCTCTGCACCAAGCGGACATAATAGACATCTACAGAACTCTCCACCCCAAATCAACAGAATATACATTCTTCTCAGCACCACATCACAGTTATTCCAAAACTGACCACGTAGATGGAAGCAAAACACTCTGGAGCAATTGGAAAAGAACAGAAATCACAACAAACTGTATCTAAGACCACAGTACAGGGAACTCAGAATTGAGAAAATCACTTAAAACCACACAACTACATGGGAACTAAACAACCTGCTCCTGAATGACTACTGGGTACATAAAGAAATGAAGGCAGAAATGAAGAAGTTCTTTGAAACCAAAGAGAAAAAAGACACAACATACTAGAATCTCTGGGACACATTTAAAGGAGTGTATAGAGGAAAATTTATGGCACTAAATGCCCACAAGAGAAAGCAGGAAAGATCTAAAATCGAAAAGCTAATATCACAATTAATAAAAACTAGAGATGCAAGAGCAAACAAGTTCAAAAGCTAGCAGAAGGCAAGAAATAACTAAGATCAGAGCAGAGCTGAAGGAGATAGAGTCATAAAGAAACCCTTCAAAAAGTGAATGAATGCAGGAGCCGGTTTTTTGAAAATATTAACAAAATTAATAGACTGTTAGCAAGATGAATAAGGAAGAAAGGAGAGAAGAATCAAATAGATGCAATAAAACAATGATAAAGGGGATATTACCACTAACCCCACAGAAATACAAACTACCTTGAGAGAATACTATAAACACCTCTAAGCAAATAAACTAGAAAATCTAGAAGAAATTAATAAATTCCTGGACACATACACCCTCCCAAGACTAAACCAGGAAGAAGTTGAATCTCTGAATAGGCTAATAACAGGCTCTGAAGCTGAGGGAATAATTAGCAGTGTGCAAACCAAAAAAAGTCCAGGACCAGATGGATTCACAGCCAAATTCTACCAGAGGTAAAAAGAGGAGCTGGTGCCATTCCTTCTGAAATTATTCCAATCCATAGAAAAAGAGGGAATCCTCCCTAACTCATTTTAGGCAGCCAGCATCATCCTGATACCAAAGCCTGGCAGAGACGCAAAAAAAAAAAAAAAAAAAAAAAAAAAAAAAAAAAAAATTTAGACTAATATCCCTGATGAATATGACGTGAAAATCCTCAATAAAATACTGGCAAACCAAATCCAGCAGCACATCAAAAAGCTTATCCACCAGGATCAACTCAGCTTCACTCCTGGGAAGCAAAGCTGGTTCAATATACACAAATCAGTCAATATAATCCATCACATACACAGAACAAATGACAAAAAACACATGATTATCTCAATAGATGCAGAAAAGGCCTTTGAAAAACTTCAACAGCACTTCATGCTAAACACTCTCAATAAATTAGGTATTGACGGGATGTATCTCAAAATAATAAGAGCTATTCATGACAAATCCACAGCCGATATCATACTGAATGGAGAAAACTGGAAGCATTTCCCTTGAAAACCGGCATAAGACAAGGATTCCCCCTCTCACCACTCCTATTCAACATAGTATTGGAAGTTCTGTCCAGGGCAATCAGGTAAGAGAAGGCAATCAAGGGTATTCAATTAGGAAAAGAGGAAGTCAAATTGTCCCTGTTTGCAGATTATGTGATTATATAGTTAGAAAACCCCATCGTCTCAGCCCTAAAACTCCTTAAGTAAATAAGCAACTTCAGCAAAGTCTCAGGATAGAAAATCTATGTGCAAAAATCACAAGCATTCCTATACATCAACAACAGAGAAACAGAGAACCAAATCATAAGAGAACTCTCTTTCACAATTGCTACAAAGAGAATAAAATACCTAGGAATCCAACTTACAAGGGATGCAAAGGTCCTCTTCAAGGAGAACTACAAACTGCTGCTCAACTAAATAAAAGAGGACACAAAAAATGGAAGAACATTGCATGCTCATGGATAGGAAGAATCAATATTGTGAAAATGACCATACTGCCCAAGGTAATTTATAGATTGAAAACCATCCCCATCAAGCTACAATGACTTTCTTCACAGAATTGGAAAAAAAAACAGTTTAAATTTCATGTGGAACCAAAAAAGAGCCCACACTGCCAAGACAATCCTAAGCAAAAAGAATAAAGCTGGAGGCATCACTCTATCTGACTTCAAAACTGTTTGGCTCCAGTAATCAAATCAGCATGGTACTGGTACAAAAACAGATATGTAGACCAATGGAACAGAACAGAAGCCTCAGAAATAACACCACACATCTACAACCACCTGATCATTGACAAACCTCACAAAAACAAGCAATGGGGAAAGGATTCCCTATTTAATAAATGGTGCTGGGAAAACTGGCTAGCCATATGTAGAAAGCTGAAACTGGATCCCTTCCTTACACCTTATACAAAAATTAATTCAAGATGGATTAAAGACTTAAATGTTAGACCTAAAACCATAAAAACCCTAGAAGAAAACCTAGGTAATACCTTCACGACACAGGCATGGGCAAGGACTTCAAGACTGAAACACCAAAAGCAATGGTAACAAAAGCCAAAATTGACAACTGGGATCTAATTTAACTAAAAAGCTTCTGCACTGTAAAAGAAACTGCCATCAGAGAGAACAGGCAGCCTACAGAATGGGAGAAAATTTTTGCAATGTACCCATCTGACAAAGGGCTAATATCCAGAATCCATAAAGAACTTAAACAAATTTACAATAAAAAAAAACCCAACTCCCTCAAAAAGTGGGCAAAGTATATGAACAGACACTTCTCAAAAGAAGACATTTATGCAACCAACAGACACAGGAAAAAATGCTCATCATCACTGGTCATCAGAGAAATGCAAATCAAAACCACAATTAGATAACATCTCATGCCAGTTAGAAGGGCGATCATTAAAAACTCAGGAAACAACAGATGCTGGAGAGGATGTGGAGAAACAGGAACACTTTTACACTGTTGGTGGGAGTGTAAATTAGTACAACATTATGGAAGACAGTGTGGCAATTCCTCAAGGATCTAGAAATACCATTTGACCCAGCGATCCCGTTACTGGGTATATACCCAAAGGATTATAAATCACGCTACTATAAAGATTCATGCACATGTACGTTTATTGTGGCACTATTCACAGTAGCAGATACTTGGAACCAACCCAAATGTCTATCAATGATAGACTGGATTAAGAAAATGTGGCACATATACACCGTGGAATACTATGCAGCCCTATAAAAGGATGAGTTCTTGTCCTTTGCAGGGACATGGATGAAGCTGGAAACCATCATTCTCAGCAAACTATCACAAGGACAGAAAACCAAACACCTCATGTTCTCACTCATAGGTGGGAATTGAAGAATGAGAACACTTGGGCACAGGGAGGGAAACATCACATACCAGGGCCTTTCGTGGGGTGGGGGGCTGGGGTAGCGATAGCATTAGGAGAACTACCTGATATAAATGATGAGTTGGTAGACGCAGGAAACCAACATGGCACATGTATACCTATGTAACAAACAGGCACGTTATGCACACGTACCCTAGAACTTAAAAAAAATAATAGAAAGTCTTAAAAATAAATCTTGCTTCTGTACTCTGTGTTATTTTTCCCTGTCATGTTTACAATCTTCTAATACAGTCCTATAATCTACTCATTTGTTGTATGAATGAATGAAAAGAACCCCACTGATTTTCCTTGCCACTATTTGACTTACTCATTCTAACAGACTTGTTAACTAAGACTCATCACTCTGTTCATCTCATTTTTAAGAGTGGAGCTCATTATCCACTTTCACATTTTTGCCAACAACTAGTCAGTAGGAATAGGGGTCAGGCACAGTAACTCATGCCTCTGATCCCAACCAAGATCTTCTTGCTTGTGAAAAAAATCAGGGAAGATGCCGTACATTTCCTCAAAGGTCTGCAGGTGTCACATTCTTGATTTATACCCCACTTAATAGCTGTCTATCAGGATCCAAGGAACATGGAAAAATGACATTTGGACACCCCGACATGACTCCTAAAAGTGGCACATAGCTATTTTCAGCCGACACGGAGACTAAAATTCATAATCTTCTTTGGGGGGCACAGTGGTATGTTGATATTTTAATTTCATGAAACTATTGAAGAGAAATCCTATCATAAATTATGGTCATGTTCTCTATGCCGTCCACACAAGCTCAGCCGCAGATGTGTTTATCTATAATGGGCTGGTTCTAAATTTTTCCTGAGGCTATTTGTTTGCTTCTTTGAGAGCAGTTTGTCTTTTATGAGTAGAAAGGTAGTAGCAAATTCTGTGACTTGAAAAAAGCTTTTGGAAAAACTTAGAACAGCAAGTGTTAACCATTGACTTATGCTTCTGTCCTCCTGAAAACAAGGGAAGGCTGCTGTGATTCCATTGTAACTGCACATTATTTAACTTTAGTTTACAGAACTAGGTTCTGGGCAAGCAAGCCTCAGCACCATGGAGATGCAGTTAGAACAAAATACTCACTGTTAAACAGTGTCTGCCCTTGTGTCTAATTGTCTCACATGAATATTTCTGAATTTATGCCAGATGACTTAGTAGCTATTTTTGAACACCTGTGATGTGCAGTCACTGTCATAAGTGCTGGGGATATATGAAAGAAAATGAACATCTTGCTTTGAGTCTAATATGGAAGAAAAATAATAAGTGAGCCAATAGATCAGACATATCTTAGTGGGATATCTACTTCTCAGGATGGGGTCTCCTTAGGGACATCTCATTTAAAAATTGCAGATGGATGGATCTCCATGGTGCTTAGTGGGAACAACGCAGCCTCATCAATCTTCCTTGATGCCTGAATATTTTACTGGACATTCCCAACCTCGGATCTCCTCTGAATCTTTCTTCAGCCGGATCTTGGCTGACCTCCAGTGTATTTCATTAACAGGTCCCTTCGTCCTTTACTTTCTATCAGTTGAACTATTGGGGTGAGTTAGTAGCATACCCCAAAAAAACAAGCTGGGAGAGAGGCCATGCCCTACATCTTCTCTGCTTTCTGCCTGGGAGACTACTCCTGCTGGCTGCATTCCTGGGCAGAAGGAAGCTGTTTCTGGTAACTTCTCCCTCCCCTTGATCCTTCAGACCCCCAGAATAGGAAGGGTTCCTCAGTCCCTAAACTCAGGGTGCTCCATATTCAAACACATGTTTTCTCACCCTCACAAGCCAGCTTCCTGCAGGTCTGTAGATAGTTGTTCCCTAAATCTCCATTACATATTCCATCTTGGTACGCCACATTTGGTCTCTTAAATACACTGCATGGAGTAGAAAATCCTAACAAGGCATCAGCTGCTGACTCTGTGATCTGCTACCCTCCCTGCTCTTCCTTGAAAAAAATCCCAAACTAGCCCAGAATGAAGGAATTTGTGTTTTTTGAAATATGTGTTTTCTAGAAAGAATCAAGAAAAAAAACTATTTATGCATAACTGTTGTAACTCTTTAGTACTTGTTCCATGTCTCATGCTACTTTGGATAATCAATGGCTATAAACAGCCAGCCAGATATGGGATGCCTAATAAAGATTTGTAGGTCAATCTGTGCATACTGTTAGCAGTTGACATGACAGCTTAATAAGAAACTGATTTTCTTAGTCTTGATTCGTATCCCAGATAAATACATGAAACAACAGTGGTTCAGAAACAGCAAACAACACTGAACCACTCAACCACAATATTATATTTGATAAAGATAGATTAAATAGTAGGTAAAGGTAATTTTTTATTCTCTGTCTCCATAGCCCCTCCCTCCTTCCCTCCCTCCTTTCCTCCCTTCCTTCCTTCTTCCCATCCTTCCTTCCATCCATCCTTTTTTCTATCCTTCTTTCTTCCTTCCCTCCTTCTATCTCTCTTTTTTCTTTACTTCTTTTTGAACTTCTTTCTTTTTTTCCCCTCTGCATTTTTGAAATAATGTAGCCAAAAGGAGACAATACAGAATGTGTAGTAATTCTATTAGTATACAAATGGAACATCCACAAGTTATGGCTTTATCAATGACATGATGTTCTCTTAGTGGCACTTTTTATTTCAATCTCTCCAAATACATGTTAATCAAATTGTTCCAGTCATGTGCACATTTGAAAGATGGAAGTTTAATCCATCCAAATTGAAAAATGGTTTTCTTTGCTTCAATTTAAATAATTAGTGGGGAATAAGAAAGCCTACTCTCCAACAATTAATGGAAAAACAGTGGGAATGCAACTTCTCCTGTGCCTACTCCACAAAACAGTGTATTTTAAGTCTTATTTCCCACAAATTTGTGAATAGTATATTATTCCCATGCTTACACTCATGACATAAAGCTTAAATTAAAAATAGTTCCAATTCTCCAGCTAATTCTCCAGCAAACTGATAAAATTTGAAGTTAAAATTTGATATGTGCTTACTTTTACTAACAAAACTTTTGTGCTGCTGATGTGATTTTTTTTGGTAGCATTCTTAGTCCAGAAAAATGCAATCTGTAACATCTTAGAATCATATGAACACTGGTTTTCATGCCAGGCAGGTTCAGATAGTCTACCCCACACAAGGAACCATGCAACCAAACCAGAGCTGGCAGCTGATTTTTTTTTTTTTTATCTCTGGAGGGCAAAGGAGGAGGAGGCTCTCTCTTTCCCTTAGTGCTGTGTATTAAGTGAATCCCTTTAAATACTCCTACCTTATTTCATTTTCCTCCTTTTCCACCCTAGATATGGACAGTATCCTGAATGGGTGTTTAGAACTCTTACTCATGTCTTTGTACTTTTATAACAAAGATGTACACTCTTAAATCACATCATTTTATATATTTAAGATACACACTTCTGCAATGAAGACTGAGTTTTATCCTTTCATTAATGGGAAGTCACTATAGGAATTTATGCTGTTGAGTTCAAAATTAATTACCAAACGATTCTGGAACAGATGTGTTACAGTATGATCTGTGAGCTCTTCAAAAAGGAAAAGTGGCTCACAAGGACTTCATGAAATAGTTTACCTTGATATAAAGGTGAGATGATAAAGAACAAATGAGGTTAAGGAATATCCTCCAAGTCATGCTGATTGAGGACAGGAAATGTGCACAAAGCTCCAAAGCTCTTGCTGTAGCTCAGTGTACGTCCTGTTGGAGAGAGAAAACAGTTGAAAAGAGTTGCCTGATACTTGCATACTGGACATAGTCAAGGGTGCTATGAGATTGGATTCTGGACTAGAGCCAATGAACTCCATTCCTCTGTGTGTATCTGAGCTTCTCGGTGACATCTGCCTAGGGTAAGTGGGAGGTGACAAAGAGAGGACCTTCTCCATTTTAGAGGCCAGATAGATCAGTAAACATTTCCTAGTGGTAGGAGGTTCTATTATTTTCCACTTAAAACCTTCTGATATTGGAGTCAGTGTCTATTAGTATGTATACCAGGTGGACTGGGGTTTTGATGAGGCATTCTGCTTTCTGTAGCAGTCAGCAGGGCTACCCTCCCATCGTCCCTGGAGTCCTTGTTTTCTGCAGTTCAGCAGCTCGCTGTGAATGAGCTGAGGTTTTTTCATGATGGACCCTGTTTCAGAATTCAGGACAACCAAAGCTTAACAAGGTTAACCACATCACATGTACTTCACACCAGAACTTATGTGATTACCATCTCCTGGTTAGAAATAATAATAATTTTTTTTCAGATAGGGTCTTACTCTGTTGTTTACACTGGACTGCACTGGCATCATCATGGCTCACTGCAGCCTCCTGGGCTCAATGAATTCTCCCACTGTAGCCTCCCAAATAGCTGAGACTACAGGCACACAACTACACCAGGCTAATTTTTTTTTTAAGCGACCAAGAATCGGTATGCGTTCAGGCTGTTCTCCAATTTTTGGGCTTAAGTGGCCCTTCTGCCTAAGCCTTCCAAACTGCTGAGATTACAATGTGATTGGAAATTCTTAAGTGAGAGGCAATTCTGACACCATAATCATAAAAGGTCACTCAAATAAATATGAAGGTGGAGGAAGAAACCTTTAAAAATATGCGTGGTTACACAGAGTACATCCGAACAATAAAATAGTGTGCAATTGTGACAAGGACGAGAAAGTTCTTTGTGTATTGATATGTAAAATCTCCAGAAAGCTGCTACATAAAAAAAGTGAGGAATAGAAAAAGAATGAATACAGTATGCCAGTTTTGCTTAGGAAAAGGGGAGTAATAATATATCTGCATATTTGAATAAACATTGGAAGCATATAAAACGTGGAGGCCAGAAATGGAGGAGAGGGATTAGCAGGTAGGAGATTACTCAATATATGCCTTTCATATCATTTTTTTGGATGATATACATTTTTACTTGCTATGATACATTAAATCAAGTAGGATCTGGTTTAACATTCTATCAAGGTTAATATCCTATAGTTGATAATTATATTATAGTTATGTAAGATGTTTACATTGGGGTAAGGACAATATTATTTTTACAAATTTAGGGTATGTCTAACATTAGTTCAAAACAATTGTTATAAATAAAGGTGACACAAGTAAGTGATAAATGTCTTCAACATCATTAGTTATAGGTGAAATCCAAACTAAAAACAAGAAAAGATGCCATTTGTACAGCAAGTAGAATGGCTAAATTTTTTTTTTTTTTTTTTGAGTTGGGACCAGTGCATTTGTGAATCTCTCATGAACTGGCAGTGGAAGTATAAAATGGTACAACAATATTGCTGGCAAATTCTTATGGAAATAAATGTGTACCTACCTGTTGACCCCAAAATTTCACACAGAGGGGTTTATCTATGAAAAACAACTGTGCAGGAATGATCATAACATCTGTACTTACAATTGCCAAAACCTGAAAGCAACCAAAATGTGCAAAAGGAGAATGGATAAAGGAACTTTTTTTTTTGTATGTTCCTACAGTGCAGTACCACGCAGTAATCATAAGGGACAAAGGACTGACACATCAACAATGCTTATGAAGCTCACATACACGATGATGAGTGAAAAGAAACTTGATAACAGAGAGCTTGCACCGTATGTCTCCATTTACACAAACTGATTGAGCAGGAAAAACTAACAGAAGGAAAACCGTATCAGAACTGTAGCTGCCTCTTGTTGGATGATTAACTGGGAAGAGGTAAAAGGGATGAAAATGATTTATATGATAACAAGGTTGTGGATCATGGAGGTGTATCTGCTTGTCAAAATTGTGCAGGTAATTTTTCTATGTTTTAGTTGTTCATATTTTATCATTTAAAAAACACTGTAAAAATAATAATTGCATACAGCTGAGGAATGGGTAGAGATATCAATCATAGAGAATGGCAGTATATGGATGGCACTGAGGTATAGTAATGGATTTGGGGGCTTCAAGAAACCAGTCTGTTTAGTTTTTCTGTATTTGCTATGTTTCACAATAAAATGTTCAAAATATTCTAAAAAGAAAAAATTCACATTTTGCTATAAAGGGAAGTGGTAGAAGTAGCAGGGATTTTTTTTTTATTATTGAGAAGATGAAAGTGATTATACCATAGTGTATGCTAACGGGAGTGGTAGAGTTCTCAGGGCTGGAAAAGCATGTGGCAACTCAAGATGTTCTCTGGCTGACACTGACAATCAAAATGACATTTTAAAATATGCAGTGATCAGATTACACTAAAGGAATGTCAAGAACATTGAATCGCAGGCTTATGGAAAATGATAAGGAAAGCTAAAAAGTATTTTGGTGATAGCTTTTGGGTAAGAAGACCGAGAAAACCCACACCCATTTCTGAGAGCAGGTGGTATGTTAGCAGCTATAGAAAGAATTCAGGGCTCTTTCAAATACTCTCTTCTTCTATGTTTACACCAAAGAAAATGGTCTTTAAATTTTAAAGGTGAAAGCAAATAGATGTGAAAGAGATTTAAGCCATCAATAGATGAAGAGACAATGAAGAACAAAGCTTCTTAAAATAAATTCAAACTCAGATGAATTCTATGTCAAGAATGGAGAACCTTTGCTAGTAGTTGTTGATTAATGATGGTTTACAAGAGAACCGTTGAGAAATAAAAGATGGGTAAATATGACACCATTTTGCCTTTCTTTTCTTAAGAGAGGATAACCTTCTGGAAATTACGACTGTTAAATTTGACAATAATCCTCAATGTTCCAGAATAGATACCTAACAAATGTCTTGTAAGCCGATACTAAATGAAACAGCAATTTCCATAGGCTCAATCGGTTTTCTCAAAGTATGTCCTTACCAAGTCATTTTTACTAAAATTCTTGCATATAATTTGTCTGGAGGTTAACATGTTATTTGGCAATTTCCCTCTTGCTATTCTAGAGGACAAGACAGTTGTATCAATGAGTGAGCCTCAAACCAGGGTATTATGCAACTGTTCATTTACAGGTATTTGGTAATAATTTTCACCACCCACTGAAAGGCTGCATATCTAATGTCACATGTGGAGAGAAAACCTGGGTTTAGTCATGGAAATGATCCATTTCCACCTGCATCTATTCCTATATTTACATATACATCTATAAGTATTTTGTTTACCTATCTTGTCATAAAATTAGCTGACCTTTGTCATCACTTATATATTAAAATTAGTTTAACTTAAAATTAAAAATAGCATACATTCTCTATAGTTTGAGAATACATGGCATAACTATTTGAATGTTTTATTTCATGTAAGAGCTTTGAGACATTTTCTCTCTACTCTTGTGACTGCAAATAATTCAAGATTGTACCAGCACATTTTCATTTTACATCTTGTGAGACAGTCAGGGCTGGAGATGGGGTGAAATTAGTATTGGCTTCTTGGAGTTGTTATTAGAATTAAATTTTAAATAGTACCTTGTGCTTTCCATTCTCATCTTCCAAAAAGTGAAATTCTAAATTCATTAGTAGAAGCTTCTAGCTATGTGTCTTTGAGAGCCACCGGCCTTTCTTCCAAACTATTTGTGATAGCTGTAAAAGAATCACAGTTAATTAAAGTGCTATTCTAAGGGACTACCTTCCTATATGGAGAAAAAAGACATATAATGAAACAATCTCTTTTTGATGTTTCCATTCATAAACTATCATACTTCAGATTTGTATTATTGCCCGAAATTAGCTCCTTAGCTAATAATCACCCCTTAGTTAGAAAATCAGGAAATCCACTGTGGCATATCCAACTCCAAGCACTGTTAATGAGTATTGTGTATGATTCTGCACAGGTAAGTTGAAAGCAAATCACTGTGAAAATAATGACATACTCATAGCCTTCTCGTTTCGGGGAGGGTAACATAGCTCCACTGTTTTAACTACCTCTCTTTAAGCATTAGCAATTTAATGAGGAACATCAATTAGGGTTGTAAGTCATCTTCCCACTTACCACTCAGTTACCTTACAGCTTACACTGATTATTTTAGGGTGTGTGATTCCAAAGTAACAACGGTTGACAGTCCTATCACTTAGTACCTTTTAGCTGTAATTATATAACATTTTGAGTGATTCTCTAGAGTTTTCCTTTGTTGTGCAAATAGTAATCTCTTGGCAAAAAGAAATGACATTTGAACTGCTTTAATAGCCTCGCTCTGAAATGTAATTAATATTGCAATTACTCTAATAAGTAGGTTACTATAATTATTTCTCTGCTTTATTATACAACTGTCGAGAGAAGATGAAAGTGGAAGTAGGAAGAGTTGGAAATTTTATCTCTTTGTCCTTGAGCAATAGTTTTTTCTTTCAGTTATTTTTGTTTCATCTTGTTTTCATTTACAACAATGGAAAGAATGGTCATCCCTTTGTAGGATGGTACAAAAGTTACCTAAGGTAATTCCCAAAGTAAATTGTTCTCTTCCACAAAATGGGGATGATGGCATTATCTTCCTGGAATTGTCCTTACTTTTAGTAGCAGTTCAACTAATTCTGGTTTTCCTCTTATAATGTTTTAGGATAGTTTTTAAATTACAGAAAAATTACAATGAGTAGTAGTACAGAGAGTTCCCATCTACCCCAAAACCCACTTCCCCTATTGTGGACATCTGGTAAATTTATCAAAATTTTAATAAACCAACGTTGACATGTTAGTGTTAACTAAAGTCCACTTCTTATTTGGATTTCCCTTATGTTTTTATCTAATGTCTCTTTTCTGTTCCAGGATCTCATCTGGGGTAACATCACACTATTTTTCATGTTTTCTTGGGCTCTTTTTGTTCTGACAATTTTTCAGATGCTTTATTGGTAATCTTGACAGTTATGGGACAGTTAGAGGATCAGATATTTTGTAAAATGTCCCTCAATTTACATGAATCCAATGTTTTTCCCACGACTACACTGGGTTTATAGGCATTTGAGACAAAGATCACAGAAATACTTTTACCTCCTTTCATTTTCCATCCGCCTTCTTTCTTTTTCTCATATTTTCTTTTTTTTCCTCTTTACTTTATTTTATAAGTAAGTTTCTCCTCCTTATTGCCCTGGGAACAAAATTTTCTTCACTTATTATTATTATTATTTTTTGAGACAGGATCTTGCTCTATTGCCCAGGCTGGGATGCAGTGGTGCAATCATTGTTCACTGCAGCCTCAAACTCCTGGGCTCAGGTGATCCTCCCACCTTAACCCCCTGAGTGTTTATGCTCATTTTAACACAGCAAATGTAAGTGGATGTTCAGATATACCAGAAAAAAAATGAAATTAAAGGTACGTACTCTAAAAACCATAAGAATTTTATTTTGATATGCTGAATCAGATCCAGGTGGAATGTTTCAGGAAGTAGAAATAGGACTGTAAACATAAGTAGATACTAATAAACAATTCATACTGAAACACTTGATAAAGTGTGTTAACCAAAAGCATTTATGAGAATGGAAAGATGAATATGTAATTATACAGACTGCATCTATAATTATATAATATAATACATAATTATATATATAATTCTCATAATTATATATTATATAATTTTATTATTGGAATTATAATATGATTGTATTTAATCATGTAATTAATTATATAATTATAATGTTGGAAGCATCTATAATTTTAATATTGGAAGCATCCTTAAGTTTTTTATAATTTGCATAGATTTCTTACAGAATTTAAGTTTCACAACTTTATTAGCAGATTTATTGCCTAAATAAAATGTAAAGTAAGGTTTTTTTAACCCTGGGCAGACGACTAAATACACCCAAAACAAGATAGCTTTATTTTTTTCATGGGGTTGAGTAATAACAAAGATAATGATTGGGCCTTGGTGTTGATTTCTGACACAGTTTGGCAGGCTTGACAGTAGTTTGAGGTGCTTCACATGTGTTAGGCTCTGAAACAGCTAAGGCCTCCCTTCAAGCTTATTCTATTTTCCCATCAGGATTGTTGCATTTCTAAGTTTATAGATAATCTATTGCATATCTGTAGTGTCCTTGGACTCTGAAAGTGTGAGTCATTTGTTGCTCAAGTCTCTCGGGCTGGTTAATTGCATGTGTCACCTTGACTGGGCCACAGGATGCCCAAATACGTGATCAAACTTATTAAGTCTGTCTGGGAAGGTGTTTTAGATGTTTTATTTTTAATTCTTGTGGGTACGTAGTAGGCATATGTAACTATGGGGCATGTAAGATACTTTGGTGCAGTGATGTAGTGCATAATAATCCCATCAAAGAAAATTAGGTATTCATTCTCTCCAGCATTTAACCTCTGGTGGGAGGGGGTTTTAGGATGAGATTAACATTTACAGTGATGACTAACTAAAGCAGATTTTCTTTGCCAATGTGTGTGGACCTTATCCAATCAGCCAAATGCTTGAGAAGTACAAAGACTGACCTCCCCCAAGTAACAGAGAATTCTCCTGCCTTTCAGCTTTCAAACTGGGGCATAGACTCTTCCTGGTTCTGCAGCCTCCTGCCAGCCTTAGGACACGAATTGGGAGATCAATTGGAGTTTCTACAGGTTTTGGACTTGTCAGTCTTTACAGTTACATGAAGCAATTACTTATAATAAGTCTCTTTCTCTCTCTGTGTGTGTGTGTCTATGTGTGAGTGTGTGTATCTGTATGTGAGTGTGTGTGCATGCACATATTATAGATATCATATATTTATATACTGGAGATACCTATACCTATATCTTTATACATGTAGGGACTTATTTTATTGCTCATGCAATTGTAGAGGCTGACTATATACATGCACACACAGAGACACATCTTAATATGTATATCTTTATTTGAGATATATAGATCTCATATCAATTTGTTTATCTGGAGGTCCCAGACTGATATAGATTTCTTCTCTACTTATGCAGACATTATGTAAATGGATTTAAGTCTTTTTTAAATACTCTTATGATACAGGTCAGGACTATGCCATCTGATTAGCATAAATTATGATCCCACAACTTGTTTGGAAAAGAATGGAAGAATTCAGGCTTTCCACTTACCTAATCAAATGGTAGTCATTTCACTGATTATCTTCTTTTGTACTCATTTACTTCAATTTAATTCAATCATTATTAAGCTCCTATCCAACATCCATGGGAAAAGTTATTATTAGACAAGGTTCTTGCACAATTGCATTGAATTGTGCAAAGAAAAATAACTCTTTTGAGGTCTTGAGGAGAGAGTCTGAACTAAACAAGAGAGATACACAGGGACACAAGGTCAGAGGCACATGGTCTTTTAAGAAACTGTTGAGGACTGAAGTTATATTCTCATAATGAGAACAAAGCTAGCCCCTGTGTTAACTTTTTCTTATCCATTTAGAGCTTTGAAATGTGAGACTTGTTAGGCACCAGGAGAGACTTCTAGATCAGGGGTTGGCAAACTTTTTTACTGCAAAAAGCTCTGTTACCAAATTTTAGGCTTTTCAGGTCTGTCTCTGTCACCAATACTCAGCTGCACCATTTTAGCACAAAAGTCACAGTGGGTAATCCATACATGATACAAAATGCAGATAGCTGCATGTTAGTAAAACTGTATGTATGAACACTAAAATTTAAATTTCTTATAAACTTTACATGTCATGAAACATTCTTCTTTTAGTTTTTCTTTTGGAACACTGTTTACAAATGTAAAAATCATTTCTGGCTTGTAGGCTGCATAAAATCAGGCAGCAAGGAGATCTGGCCCTCGGGATATAGTTTGCCAATCCCTCTTCTGTGGTATCAGTTTCATTCACACTTCTTATGTGGTAGTGCGCAGCAAGGAAAGGAAAGGCACCATTTCCCCTTCAGACTCAATACTATAGAAAGTGCTTGATTAAATTGACATATGTACTAACATCTTATCCACGTTGATGTTTAATTTATTTGGTATAACAATAATACAAAGAGAGATAGTTTACAATTATTTTTACCTCTTACATTTAAAAAGTGTATTATTTGTCTTTATAGCAGCATGCTTTATAGTCCTTTCGGTATATACCCAGTAATGGGATGGCTGAGTCAAATGGTATTTCTAATTCTAGATCCCCGAGGAATCACCACACTGACTTCCACAATGGTTGAACTAGTTTACAGTCCCACCAACAGTGTAAAAGTGTTCCTATTTCTCCACGTCCTCTCCAGCACCTGTTGTTTCCTGACTTTTTAATGATCGCCATTCTAACTGGTATGAGATGGTATCTCATTGAGGTTTTGATTTGCATTTCTCTGATGGCCAGTGATGGTGAGCATTTTTTCATGTGTTTTTTGTTATTGCAGCATTATTCACAATAGCAAAGACTTGGAACCAACCCAAATGTCAAACAATGATAGACTGGATTAAGAAAATGTGGCACATATACACCATGGAATACTATGCAGCCATAAAAAATGATGAGTTCATATCTTTTGTAGGGACATGGATGAAATTGGAAATCATCATTCTCAGTAAACTATCGCAAGAACAAAAAACCAAACACCACATATTCTCACTCATAGGTGGGAATTGAACAATGAGAACACATGGACACAGGAAGGGGAACATCACACTCTGGGGACTGTTGTGGGGTGGGGGGAGGGGGGAGGGATAGCATTGGGAGATATAACTAAAGCTAGTTGACGAGTTAGTGGGTGCAGCGCACCAGCATGAAACATGTATATATATGTAACTAACCTGCACAATGTGCCCATGTACCCTAAAACTTAAAGTATAATAATAATAAATAAAAAAGTGTATTATTGTGTAATTGTACTGCTCTTTGAAAGGCACCAATGAAAACCAATTATTTTATATAACACTGCAGTTCTACGCAAATATCAAGTTCAGATGGTGGCCTTGGGATTTATTGTTTTTTTTTTTTTTTTTTTTTTTGAGCCAGGGTCTCACTCTATTGCCCAGGCTGGAGTGCAGTAGTGTGATCATGGCTTACTGTTGCCTCAACCTCCTGGGCTCAGGTGATCTTCCCACCTCAATCTCTCAAGTAGCTGGTAATACAGGTGGCTGCTACCATGCCTATTTTTTTTTTTTCTATTTTTTGTAAAGACGGGGTTTCCCAATGTTTCCTTTGCTGGTCTCCAACTCCTGGGCACAAACAATCCACCTTTCCCAGTCTCCCAAAATATCTATTCACGGGAATCTCAAAAAGTATATTTGAAGCCTCCATAGAAGAGCCTTCAGCTCCTTGGCAGCGCTAACCTGCAAAATTCCTGGCACAGTTCACTATCAGTTAGGGATTTAAAATTACTTTTCTGAACAATGGCAGTTTCAGTAGGGGAGCTTTTATGCTCTATGCAAATGGATGGTTTTCTTATAAATGGTTTACTGAGTGGAAGCCAGTCTAGATTGTGTTTATCAGTCTTGTATTCCAAAGAAATGCTCTGGAGGGATTGCCGCTGTTGTAAGGAAAATGCACACACTGAGCGTTTCATCTAAGAAGTTGCTGAATTAACAAAAATTAAATCAGTTGGAAGATAACCTTTTGCACAAATGAGCCCCATTGGCAGATGACAGTCATCTATCTGCATGGTGCACTGGCACTTGCAGAAAATTCTGAGAACATGCCTTAGGTCACTGTTTTTTTCATCCTGCATTTTCCTTATGAAATAGCTCAGCGTGAACGTCTTCAGGTGCTTTGGGCAGATGGTGTTGGAAAATCATTTTTCAAATTGCCTCCTCAAGAAAGTGCACTTGTAAGAATTGCCTTGCTAAAACCAATCAGCAACCTGTGATGTTTCAGCTGCCTGTAAGAGTCCATTTTTCATCTAAAATGTGACTTATATTGGTTCGTAGGAGACAAAAAATGAACATAATGCCAAAGGCTGAAGTTTGAAATTCCTTACTTGGGATGAACTTTTCTAAAGATCAAATTCCATGTTTAGTTTAAAGTCCTAAAACTGGTGAGTGAATTAGTCTGTTCTCACGCTGCTAATAAAGACATACCAGTTACTGGGTAATTTATAAAGAAAAAGAGGTTTAATGGACTCACAATTCCACATGGCTGGGAAGGCCTCACAGTCCTGGCCAAAGGTGAAAGGCACATCTTACATGGCCACAGACAAGAGATAATGGAAGCCAAGGGAAAGGTGTTTCCCCATATAAAACCGTCAAATCTCATGAGACTTACTACAGTAAGAACAGTATGGGGAAAACACCACCATGATTCAATTATTTCACACTGGGGCCTCCCACAACACGTGGGAATCATGGGAGCTGCAATTCAAGGTGAGATTTGGGTGGAGACACAGTCAAGCCATACCAGTGAGTCACTTGGGTTACAACTTAGTGATCATAGAGGTCCAGTTTTATCACCAAATAATCTGAAGGTATAATTACCTGAAACTGTTAAATAGGTATTTGGTTACTTCACTTAATTTCTGTCTCCTCAACTAGAAAAACATGAAATAAGGTCTCACACTTTGTCAACTTGGCATATACTAGTAAGTGTTCAATAAACATTGGTTGAAGGAATTTAAAAGTGAATACATATAGCATGCAAATATTGAATTTTTTTCTTATTTTTGTAAAATATGTGACAAATATACATTTTAAGGATTTAGGTAGAAATTCTTTGAGTTGATATTTTATTTCTAAAGTGCTACTCATCTGGGTCTAAAAAAGACTATGGTCATTTAAGATATACTAATATTTGGATCTATGAGTCAAATTTATATTTTCTTATTTTATTCAGGGTCTGTATCCCTGCTAAATGAACTTAAAATTTTAGGGTTCTCTTTTTCACTAATTTGTGAGACCTGAGGTTTATTCTCCACATAAAATGTCGTGTTACTATGCCACACAGATATCACATTTTCATCAAGCTAAAGAAGCAATCATCATTATCAAATAAAGCACACTTATGCCAAGACCTTGAGAGGGATATTTAGGAACCTTAAATCACTAGTTATTCATAACTTATACATAACATATTTTTAAATGTTTCACATAGACTTTCTAATATGTTGTGTGACACCTGCTTATTATAGAAAAAAATCAGAAGATCATACAAAGAAGAGAAAATATAAATGTTTCAGTCATCACCCAGGAATGATCTCTGTTCACAATTACTGTTTCCTAGCTTGCAGTGTTATTCTATTAATGAGAGAGCACATTATATTCATCTAAATATTCCCTATGTCATTGAATGAAAATCTTGAAAAATTATTATTTTCATGTTATGTAGGTGTTCTGGATGACAAAATTAAAACCTCAGAGGACAGAAAAGTATAAAGAAGAAGATAAAAATGTGCTGTCTAATACCATCAAACCCAGATAAGCCCTATTAAGATCTTCATGTGTTTCACCTTTTTTCAAGTTTATGTATACAGAACAGGGATGATACTACACTTAATATCGAGTGCTTATTTTTCCCCCCATAATATTTTGTTGTAGTATTTTTCCCATGTTGTTTCTTGTTTCAAAAACCTAACTTTTAATGAGTACATAATATCCCATCATATAGATGTCATATATATGTTAAGCAATGCCAAAGTCATTGCCATTTGCATCACTTACGTGGTTGTAAAATTTTGGAGAACAGTGCAGTGGAACGTCTAATATAATTATCCGTAAGTTGTTTTCTGCATTTCCTTTTCTTTCAGGTAGCTTTCTAGGAGCAGAATTATTAGATCAAAGTATATGGACATTTTTAAAGCACATGAAACTTTGAAGTTTAGTTGCTTTCGAAGTTGCAAATTTACTTACACTCTAATCAACAGAGAATTATATAAACCATATCTTCTGTAACTTTTAGAGGGGGCCCTAGTGAAAAAATCTGAAGTATACTAATGGAAACTTTTGGTAAAATTTGCTCCACAATTTGTGGTAAAAGAATGTACCATAAAAGTCCCGATATCATTTTTTCCCAATTCTAGAAGAAAACGTAGTTTCCTTGTGTAATCAACTCAATTAACAACAAAGAAGAATATTGTTCAACATTTATGTTTGGAACACCCAAGAGAAAATATTCGGCAAATAACTGCAAATTTAAATGTGAAACTTGAGAGAGGGTTCAGGGCTAGAACTCAATGCAGAATTTGAGGAGTTTTGTGATTTGTTATATTAAGAGAATGAGAGAGATTTTCCAGGGAGAATGTGCAGAGAAAAAAAAAAAAAAAAAAAAAACAGAAGGGAAAAACCACACATAGAATCTTGGTTAAGGGGATAGTTGTACTAGGAATTTAAACATGTCAATAAATAAATATGTCACAAAAATGTCTCATATTCCTGAAGAGATGGGAATAAAATGAGATAAAAATGAGGCGGGCTTAGAAGGACTAATCTCCGGAATGGTCTGAGATATTAGAAAGAACAGGTAACCAGGTATTAGTAATAACTAAACCAATGAAAGCAATGTGAATCTTGTAAACTCTATTTTCTGTAATCAAATAATTGTTGGTTAATATGAGATAACATCTTTAATATCAAGCACAGAGTATTTGTTTATTTTTTCTTGTTTATAACAGCTTTACTGAGATATAACTGATATACCAAAATACCTGCACATTTACTGTATACAATTTGATGGGTTTGGACATATGTAAACGCCCATGCTACTATTGCCATATACAATTTCTTTCTGTATTTGAATCTCCAGCTCTAGACAAAAGTACCTCAAAATAAAATAAATCGTATTTTTAATGAACCAAAACATATTTTAGGGAACCAAGAAGTCTAATACTTCATAACATAATTTGAAATGTATTTTCATAGTTCATTAAGGTTTCTCTTGAACCAGAGATCAGTTATACCTTGTATTTGATATTTTTTAAAAAATTCCATAATTTATTGGGATACAGGTGTTATCTGATTACATGAATAAGTTCTTTAGTGGTGATTTTTGAGATCCGGGTGCACCCATCACCCAAACCCCCATCACCCAAGCACCATACACTGCACCGTATTTGTTGTCTTTTGTCTCTTGCCCCTCTCTCACTCTTCCCCCCAAAGCCCCAAAGTCCATTTTATCATTCTTATGCCTTTGCATCCTTATATCTTAGCTCCCACATACCGGGCAGAACACACAATGTTTGGTTTTCCCTTCCTGAGTTAATTCACTTAGAATAGTAGCCTCCAGTCCCGCTCAACTCATTACAAATGCTGTTAATTCATTCCTTTTTATGGCTGAGTAGTATTCCATCATATATGTGGCACAGTTTTTTTGTCCTCTCATTGATTGATGGGCATTTGAATTGGTTCCACAGATTTGCAATTGTGAATTGTAAGGCACACAATATTTAATAGATATTTTACAACATTTCTTAAATTTGAAAAATATAAAAATAACTTCATGTTATAACTTAAATAATCAAACCAAATATGCATCAGAAATATGGCATTTTAACCTATCAGAATGGCTAAAGTTAAAAGGAAAGAAAATGTCCAAAGTTAGTCACAATGGAAGTAATTTTCATGCATAGCTGGTAGGAATGTAAATTACTACAAAAAAATTGTTGGACAGTATTAATTTGAACTGAAAACACATGTACTGTATAAAACAGAAATTCTACTCCTAGGCATGTAATCACAAGAAATAAGTATGTATTCTCTGCAAAAGACATGAACAACAGTATGTATAGGAACTTTGGCCCCAAACTTAAAAGAAGCCAAATGTCGATCATTGAAATAAAGGAGTTGTTCTGTAGTCTTAAAATGGAATATTGTATAATAACAAAAAATGAATGACTCATGGAAGATTATGGATGAAAGGCACAGATATAATGTTGAATAAAAGAGGTTAGACATGAAAGAGTACATGTTGTATGATTACATTGGTGTAAATTTTGAGAGCATACAGCAGGGGTCAAAGCATTGTTTAACTTTCAGAGAACGTTGATTAGAAAGAAAAATAAGAGAGGTTTTGGGTGGTGAAAAAAGTTTTATGTTTTGTTCTTGTATTTGGTTACAGGGTTACCTATGTAAAGAAAAAATCTAAAGACTGGGTGTTATGCCTGTAGTTCTAGGACTGTGAGAGGCCGAGGTGAGTGGATTAGTTAAGTCCAGGAGTTAGGGACCAGCCTGGGCAACACAGCACTACACAATCTCTACCAAAAAAAAAAAAATGTAGTGCATGCCTGTAGTCCCAGCTACTCTGGGAGCTGAGCCAGGAAGATCGGTTGAATTTGGGAGGTTGAGACTGCATTGAGCTATCATTGCACCACTGCACTCCAGTCTGGGTGAAAGTGAGACCTTGTCTCAAAAAAAGAAAAAGAGAAGGAAGGAAGGAAGGAAGGAAGGAAGAAAGGAAGGAAGGAAGGAAAGGAAAAAAGAAAGAGAGAGAAAGAAAGAAGGAAAGAAAGAAGAAAGAGAAAGAAAGAGAGAGAGAAAGAAAGAAAGAAAGAAAAAAGAAAGAAAGAAAGGAGAGAGGGAGGAAGGGAGGACGGGAGGGAGGGAGCGAGGGAAGGAAGAAAAGAAAGAGACAAAGAAAGAGAGAAAGAAAGCAAGAAAGAAGACAGGGAAAGAAAGGAAGAGGGAGGGAGGGAGAAGGAGAAAGAAAAGAAGGAAGGAAGAAAGAAAGAGAGAGAAAGAAAGAAAGGAAGGAAGAAAAGAAAGAAAAAGAAAGAGAGAAAGAAAAGAAAGAAAGAAAAGAAGGAAGGAAAGAGGAAGGGAAGAAGGGAAGGGAGACAGAGAGGGAGGAAGGGAAGGCAGGCAGGCAGGCAGGAAGGAAGGAAGGAAGGAGAAAAGAAAGAGAAATCAAGCTATACTTATGGTTTAATATAAGCTATAAGTAATACGTACTTTACTATAAGTATTTGAGAATTCATTATTTTTAGGTTGAGTATTTTCATACAATTATATATGGACTTGCTTCTCTACAAACTGGAAATCTTGCCCTCACAATTTCACTCATCTCATCTATGAAGGGTTAGAATGAAAGCAAGTAGATTTTTTTAAAGCTCTGACATATCTCACTGCCCTATTCACTTTGTATTGACAGAAATCAGTCATCATTTCTGTATTATTGAAAGTGGAGCAACATATTTGGTTTCTCAAGCCTTTATTGTGTTTCCTGAAAGCCAGTTCAAGAGCTTAGCAATAACGCAGTTACTACTCAGTGTTTTTGAGGAGCATCCCAAATTCATTACAACTGGAACACTGTGTTCTTCTTTTTATAGGTTTCACCAGTGGAAAGACTGGTATAAGTGTGCCGAATGGGGGGCTGTTAAAGGATTTCCCTAAAGTTTCCTTTTCCCAATTCATATACTCCTCGTTGTAATTGATTGACCATTGGACACTAATGTAAATCTAATGGCTGAGTGTTTTGCTAATTGCTAGAACCTTGTTATCTGGAGTTGTTAATTCACCCTAAGCAAGGACTACCAGCAATTAATTTTTTTCTATTTCTTGACTCCACAGTTGACAATTATCAATCCCTTTTAAAAAACAATTATATATTTCAGTCTTTTACAAACTGACACAAAACTGAAGTTCCCTTAAATGATTTTAGTGTCAGAAGAAAAGATCCCTTGGTAACCCATCGAAGTTGGATCTACAATGCCTAAATTCATTTACATACAAGAGGGGCATTTACTATTTAAGCCAAGAGCATCCTTCGCAAGTAATACATGAATTAAAATATTCCATTCACCAGAACTTCATTTGATCTGTCCCATCTCCTTGTATGCTTAGTAACTGTCGAGGACAATTCAGGCCTGCCTTGTATCTTATAAATCAGAGCTGACAAGAACAGACGTAGCGCCCTGACTGCTATAACGCTGATATTCAACTTTCAGGACCAGGGACAGCAGAGAGCAGTCCCGGGAATCTTTACACAAGCTCACTTTGTCTTCTGAACAACTCTCCGAAACGAAATGCTATCTGCTCACGGTCCAAGCCAATTGAAATATGATAATGTATTTCATGACGAAGGGATACTTTTATATTTTCAATTTCTGAATTCACTTATTCCTCCAGTGAAGTGCATCTTTAATAAATGTAACCTCAATAGGGCGGTAGTGGCAAATACTAAATAAGAGGAAACGTGGAGACAAATATTTACAGTTTGCAAGATTAACACTGAACTATATCTTGGCCAATCAGTTCCTCTACTTGGTTTATGTTAAACCTTCAGTTCATCTCTTGGACCTCCTAAGTACTCTATTTGGACATCCTAGTTAATCTGAGCTCTTGACTGTTGGCTTGGTATCCTCACGGCCTTCTTGGATCCTATTGATGATTTAGTTCTTTAAACTTTTTTAGAACTAAAATCTTCTGCTAGGCTTCTGACACTCTCCAGCTGAATCCTAATAACGAGCTCCATCCATGCTTTTTTCTTCTTCTTCTCTTCCTCCTCTTCTTCTTCTTCTTTTCTTCTTATTCCTCTTCTTCTTCTCCTTCTCCTCCTCCTCCTTCTTCCCTTCTTCTTCTTCTTCATCTTCTTCATCTTCTTCTCCTCCTCCTCCTTCCTTCTTCTGCTTCTTCTTCTTCTTCTTCTTCTTCTTCTTCTTCTTTTTCTTCTTCTTCTTCTTCTTTTTCTTCTTCTTCTTCTCCTTCTTCTTCTCCTCCTCCTCTTCCTCCTCCTCCTCCTCCTTCTTCTTCTTCTTCTTCTTCTTCTTCTTTTTTCTTCTCCTTCTTTCCCTTCCTCCTGTTTGCCTCCTCCTCCTTTCTCCTCCTCCCTCTTTCTTCCTCTTCCTCCTTTCTCCTCCTCCTACTTGTTCTTCTTCTTCCTCTTCTTCCTTGTCATCCTCATCCTCCTCTTTCTCCTCCTCCTCCTTCTCCTCCTCATCCTCCTTCTTCTTCTCCTCCTCCTCTTTCTTCTTCTCCTTCTTCTTCCTCTTCTTTTCTCCTCCTTCTCCTTCTTCTTCCTCCTCCTCATCCTCTTCTTTCTCTTCCTCCTCTTTCTTCTCCTCCTTCTCCCCCCTCCTCCCTCTCCCCTCCCCCTCCTCCTCCTCATTCTTCTTCTTCTAGTTCTTGTTCTTCTTCTTCCTCTTCTTTTCTTCTTCTTCTTCTTCCCCTTGTTCTTCTTCGTCTCCTCATCCTCCTCTTTCTCCTCCTCCTCCTTTTTCTCCTCCTCCCAGTTCCCCTCCAACTCTTCCTCCTCCTCCTCCCTTGTTGTTGTTGTTGTTGTTGTTATTGTTCTTCTTCTTCCTCCTCTTCTTCTTCTTCTTCTTCTTCTTCTTCTTCTTCTTCTTCTTCTTCTTCTTCTTTTCCTCCTCCTCCTACTCCTCCTCCTCCTTCTCCTCCTCCTTTCTTCTACATAGTGCCAGAGAGCTGGCTTCTATATACTGGTATATAAACATTTGTCCAGACAATTTAGGGAACTACATCCTGAGGAAAAATGTCTTTGGCATTACATATATTTTTTATGGGTGCAGTGGTTCACACCTGTAATCTCAGCACTTTGCGAGGCTGAGATAGGAGAATCACTGGAGCTCAGGAGTTTGAGACACCCCTGGGCAACATAGTAAAAACTTGTCTCTGAAAAAAATAAAAATTAGCCATGAATGGTGACAAGTGTCTTTGTTCCCAGCTACTCAGGACACTGAAGTGGGAGGATCACTTGAGCCTGGGTAGTTGAGGGTGCAGTGAGTTACAGAACGAGATTTTGTCTCAAAAGAAAAAAAAAAATTCCAGTAAGCTTAATATGCAAATTAGTACTTTTTGTCATTACTAGAAATATGGTAGCCACATGATGCAAATATTAAACATTAACATTTGTATAACTTATTTTTAAAATGCCTATTTGCTCTTGAATATGCTCTCCTGAAACTTTTGCCACAAACACCCCCACAAAACATCCCTGGTCAAAAATGTTAAATCTAATGGCCAATTCTTAATCTTCAGTTTGTCTTTTATATTAACATTATTTGAGAAATTTTTTGTCTCTTGAACTTACGTAATACAGTTCTTTTCCATTTAAATTCTAAGAAAACACACTCGGCTAATTTTCTTCCTACTTTTGTGGTCAATATTTGTCATTCTTGTTCACTGTTTCTTCCTCTCTCCCAATCCTAAATCTTGGAATATGCCTCAGTATTTATTTCTTGGACAATTTCTTCTTCTGTATTCACTGCCTTGATGATCTTACACAATGTCAAATTAAAATGTTAACCACCAAATTAAATCTCGAGCCCTGATGTTAGATTATGAATCCTAAAGCTAGGAATCACAAAATCTCATAAGTCTAACTTCTATTTCAGCATTTTCACTTGAGTGTCTAGTAGGCAACTCTCACTTACCAAGCTCAATACCAAACTCTTCATCTCCGTACCTGAAACCTGTGACTGGTCTTTACCATCTGAGAAAATGACTGTCGTATCCTGCCAGACACTCAGAAATTGGTTCAGAGTTCCTATCCCCCAACTTCATGGATTTCTTCCCAACACCTTCACTTGAATCCTTCTTTAGAAAAATGTCAGCTAAGGATCACAGGGTATTGGAAGAGAGAGGTTTTGCCCAAAGCTTTCAAGGGCCAGATAGTTATTGCTCTTGTTTTTCAGCCCTGTTAGTTAATGCCTTTATTTATTTCTCTCAGGAATGCTTTGTCATTTTTAGTGTAGACACCTAACTATTTTTTATTGATGACAATATTGTAAACTGTTTGGTTCCCCAAATGTCATTTTCTGGTTGCTTGCTACTGACATATAAATACAAGTGATTTTTGTATGTTGACTTTATGTCTTAAGTTCTTGCTAAATTAAGTGTTGTAGTGTGTGTTTGATAAGTTATTTAAGATTTTTCATGAAAAAATGTTTTCTTCAAATATAAATAGTCTGACTTCTGCCCTTCTGTTCTTATGTCCAGTATGTCTTTTTCTTGTCCTAGTAACTTCAATACAATATTGGCTATAAGTGGTTAGAGTTAGTATCCTTCTTTTTTCCCAATCTTTGGAAGAAATTGTAATATTTTATGATTAAGTGTGTATCTTGCTGCAGATTTTCCTCAGTTTATTTTGTTATTAAGTTGAGAATTTCTCTTTCTTGGTGATATGGTTTGGCTGTGTTTCTTCCCAGCTGTCATCTTGAATTGTAGCTACCATAATTCCTATGTGTTGTGGGAGGGACCGAGTTGGAGATAATCGAATCATAGGGTGGTTCACCCATACTGTTGTTTTCATAGTTAATACATCTCATGAGATCTGATGGTTTGTTAAGGGGAAACCCCTTTTGCTTTGTTCTCATTTCTCTCTTTCCCTGCTGACATATAAGACATGCCTTTCACTTTCTGCCAGTATTGTGATGCCTCCCAAGCCACGTGCAACTGTAATTCCGTTAAACTTCTTTTTCTTTATAAATTACTCAGTCTTAGTATGTCTGTAACAGCAGTGTGAAAACGGATTAATATATCTGGCTACTTTTTTAATAGATCTTTTTCATGTATGTCTTCTACTTAATGTTTGCTTTTGGGAACCTGGCTTAAGACAGGTAGGTATTACAATATTGTCATTAGCCTCACATGTCCAATACTAGTATGTAAAAATAACACAAGGCACTTCATACAGTAGAGATTTGTTCTTTATCTATTGCTCTCCCAAGACAGGAACAAAACCTGTAGCTGATTTTAATCTCAGAAGACCAAAACTAGTTCCAAGCTGTTTGCTGAAACATCTTTGTCTTTCTCGTTTCTGTGTGCTTTCACAAGTTAATGTATGCAGTATTCAGCAATGGTCAATAAAAAGATATGACAATTCAAAATATATTTTCTGTTTTTAGACAAATAGAGGTTATGATTCATGATCTCACTGGTTTGCAGTCCATGATTTTAAAATGCTAGCAAAACATGCTTCTTCTCCCCATAAAGGCAAGATGAGTAGGTAACAGTTGGAAAGAAATATGATTTTTCAAAAATTCTTCTTGTCCCATCACCTTAGGCCCCTGCAAATAGTCTTCAATACTTGCAGTGAAATGAGATTGAAATAGAACTTCTTTCTCATTCGTCTAATTGACTATTTTATTATTCACTTTTTATCTCTCCTGACTAATATGCAAGCTACAGTATTGTAAGAAAAGAAAATGAGATTTCATGGCTGGGAGCAGTGGCTCCTGGTTGCAATTCTAGCACATTGGAAGACTGAGCCCTGGAGTCTGAGAGCAGCCAAGAATACATAGTATGACTCTGTTTCTATTTAAAATAAAAATATGGAAAATGTGAGCAATTAGAAAGGTACAAATAGTGTCAGGCAAATTCTCATTGGGTTTTATATTCTCAAGAAAATATCACCATGTTTTCGGGCAAAACTGAATGTCATATGGTAAGAAGTGCAATTTATTTGCAGTGCAAGCACAGCTCTGCGATTTATGCTGATTATAAACAAAAGGAATAAGAGTAAATTACATCTCCAGAAAAATCCCAAACCTAATTCTGTTCAATAGCGTCAAACTCTTTCTATTTCAATACCTGCATGAATGTCATTGTCAAGTAATCAAATTTACTAGATTTAATGTTGGCTGCTTTAATTTACACCTCTCTCTGACTAGCAACATTGCTCATAATGAAATGGCCCCAAAGGATGCAGACATAGAATGGCTTAAATAGTCTACTAATGGATGTCTAAGAATGCAAGTGGCATGGGTTTTCAAGGTGGTTAAACTATTATCAATAGCAAGATGTGACATAGTAACAGCTGTGTCAGGCATGAATGCAATGAATTTGAATATGTTATGAAATTATTTTATACCCATGTCACTTTAGTAGTACATGTAGCTGAGGAAGTAGCTCAGTTAGCAGACACTTTGTAGCAGTTTTCTGGATTGGTTGGCCAATCCCAGCAAGAGCTCCACATTTTTCTGTGTCTATTCTCTATTTCTTCATCTAGCAACACACAACCACCATACAAACTTTCATCAGTTTATACCTGGATATTGCCATGGGTAAAATAGGGCTTCATTCAGCCAGAATAATCTGGATCACATGACAGATATTATTTACCCGTTGAGAAATCTAGTCTCTCCATATTATTTCTTAGAATGTCAATTTATCATTCCCATATTAAAGAGACCCATAGCAATGGAAACACTTTAATTTCAAACACAGATTTTTTTTTTTTCAGATGGCCAACCTTTGTATTGTTCTTGGCTTATCCTCTCCCATCTCCCATTCCCCCACTCTCATGCTCTTTCTCATATTATCTACTTTTGTGGAACACATTTTGGTGTTTCTTGATTATTGCTGCTTCTTCGAGTTTCACCTTGTAATAGAATCCTTTTCTGTCTTCTCATTCCAGCATCCACAGATCACACTTTGTGTTCCTGGAGGGTTTAATTTACTGTTTATACAACTGTCATAATTGAAAATTCATTCTTTGTTTCAAACATTTTGAGTGTGCAGTGGTAGTGGAACATGTATTAGTATTCTTATTAAATGAAAAAATTGCAACTAGAAGTCAGTGGAGTAGACCAAGAGAGGAATATACTTGAATTTACACCCTTCAATTGTCCCTCTTCTTCCATTCTCATTGTTTTATCAAGATATTTTTCTACAAATTTTCCTATTATGGTGCTAGACTACATAATTAAAATAGCAATCACAGAATTAAGCCAAAATATAAAAAAATTGAGGCCTATGCACATCAACGAAGCAGGTAGTTCAACTGTTGATTTCTAAGTCTTCAATATCAGGACTTCTTTTCTATCAAGACTTGGGTGGTGGCAAGGAATCTGATTTTTCAAAATCACATAAGGTAAATATAATGAAAGTTGCTCAAATCCACACTTCTTGAATCACCAAAATAAAGAGTAGGCTAATTTGAAATTGGTCCATCAATTAAAAAGTGGTTATGTGAATAATAATATATTAAATGCAGTATGGTACAGTCATACACATATGTAGTTGTTTAAAATATAACAACATGTAAAGATGCATGCAGAAATAGAAAACACAATGTAATATGTTTACTTTCCATATCATTAAGCAGTAGTTTAATTACCATTTTATATTTTTATGAACACTTTTACTTATTAGTTTTATTAGTCGATTCTCACATTGCTATAAAGAACTGCCAGAGATTGGGTAATTTATGAAGGAAAGAGGTTTAATTGACTTACAGTGCTGCATTGCTTGGGAGGCCTCAGGAAACTTACAGTATGGTAGAAGGCAAAAGAGAAGCAAGCACCTTCTTCACAGGATGGCAGGACAGAGTGAATGCAAGCAGGGGAAACTCCAAACACATAAAATCACTGAATCTGATGAGACTCACCCAATATCATGGAACAGCATGGGGGCAACCGCCCTCATGATTAAATTACCTTCACCTGGTCCCACCCTTGACATGTGCGGATCACGAAGAGTGCATAACCTTCATGAGATTTGGATGCTGACACAAAGCTAAACCACATCATTAGTCAATCATAACATCTAAGAGTTATTTTTAAATTCAGAACCACGGAGAGCTCTCTACCATCTTTGTAAAAAGGGCATTAGACAAATAATAGAAAAATCCCTTGAGTTGGCAACAGTTATGTGGCCTTTACATTAAAAAGCACAAATGGATCACACACATTTATTTGTTTCTTCCTCCACCCAATGATAGTAAGAGAAAAAAAAAAAAGATAAATAGAAGAGTGGAGAGTGTATTTGAATAAATCACAGAAATCCTGAAAGCAGAAACACATATAGAAGAGGACTGGCATTGAGCGTGGAAAGTGGGTGAATCCTTTTCTTAGATGTTTGTAGACAGTAATTAGGTCAAGGAGGAGAGAAATTATTTAACACCGAGAAACGTGCAAATCAATGAAACTAGGTACAGGATAGCTATAAGAGACATACGGGGAGGAAACAGAAGAAGCAAATAAAAGATGCATATAAAATTATTAAACCTGCATCTTTTTTTCCTCTTCATCACATGAAATACTAAGTTACTGCCTGGAATAGGAATGCAGGAATTTCTTCCCTAAAGGAAGTAAATGTGGGTTGGGATCTGGCAAGATGGCCGAATAAGAACAGCTCTGGTCTGCAGCTCACAGCAAAACCAACGCATAAGGCACGTGATTTCTGCATTTCCAACAGAGGTTGGATTAGTTAGAGAGTAAATGCAGCCCATGGAGGGTGAGCAGAAACAGGGTAGGACATTGCCTCATCCAGGAAGCACAAGCAGCTGCAGAACTACCTCTCCTAGTCAAGGGAAGCCTTAGGCACTGTGCCATGAGGGACGGTGCTATCCAGCTCAGATACTATGATATTCCCATAAATTTTGCAACCCTCAGAATATTCCCTTGGGTGTCTACACCACTAGAGCCCTCGGTTTCAAGCACAAAACTGGGCAGCTGTTTGGGTAGACAATAAGCTGCTAGAGTTTTTTTTTTTTTTTTCCATACCCCAGTAGTGCCTGGAACCCCAGTGAGAAAGAACCGTTGGCTCCACTCAAAAGCAGACTGAAGGCAGGGAGACAACTGGCCTTTCTCAGTAGGTCCCAACGCCATGGAGCCAAGCAAGCTAAGATCCACAGGCTTAAAATTCTCACTGACAGCACAACAGATGGAAGTCGACTTGGGATGCTTGAGCTTGGTGGGAGGAGGGACGTCTACCATTAGTGCAGCTTGAGCAGGTGGTTTTCCCCTCACAGTATAAACAAAGCCACCAGGAATTTCAGACTGGGCAGAATCCACCACAGCATGGCAAAGCCACTTTAGCCAGACTGCATCTCTAGATTCCTCCTTACTGGGCAAGGTATCTCTGAAAGAAAGGCAGCAGCTTCAGTCAGGGAATTATAGATAAAATCCCCCTCCCCTGGGGACAGAGTACCTGGGGGAAAGGGTGGCTGTGGGTGCAGCTTCAACAGACTTAGACATTCCTGACTGCCAGCTCTGAAGAAAGCAGCAGATCTTTCAGAAGAGTACTCAAGCTCTGCTAGGGACAGACTGCCTCCTCAAGTGGGTGCCTGGCCCCCATGCCTCCTGAGTGGAAGACATCTCCCTTGCAGGGGTCGACAAACACCTCATACAGGAGAGCTCTGGCTGGCATCTGGCATGTGCCCCTCTGGGGTGAAGCTTCCACAGGAAGGAGCAGGAAGCAATCTTTGATGTTCTGCAGCCCACACTGGTGATACCCAGGAAAACAGGGTCTGGAGTGGACGTTCAGCAAACTCCAGCAGACCTGCAGAAGAGGGACCTAACTGTTAGAAGGAAAACTAACAAACAGAAAGCAATAACATCAACATTAACAAAAAGGATACCCACTCAAAAACCCGATCCAAAGGTCACCAGCATCAAAGATCAAAGGTAGATAAATCCAAAAAGATGAGGAAAAACCAGTGTAAAAATGCTGAAAATTCTAAAACCTAGAATGCTTCTTCTCCAAAGGATCACAACTCTTCACCAGCAAGGGAACAAAACAGGATGGAGGATGAGTTTGATGAACTGACAGAGTAGGCTTCAGAAGGTGAGTAATAAAAAACTCCTCTGGGCCAAAGGAACATGTTCTAACCAAATTCAAGGAAGTTAAGAACCTTGATAAAAGGTTACAGGAACATCTAACTCAAAAAAAAAAAAAAAAAAAAACAGTTTAGAGGAGAATATAAATGACCTAATAGAGCTGAAAAACACAGCACAAAAACTTCATGAAGCATACACAAGTATCAACAGGTGAATCAATCAAGTGAAAGAATGGATATTACAAATTGAAGATAAAGTTAATAAAACAAAGCCTGAAGGCAAGGACAGAGAAAAAAAATGAAAAGGAATGAACAGAGACTCCAAGAAATATGGGACTATGTGAAAAGACCAAACCTACGATAGATTGGTGTATCTGAAATTAACAGGGAGAATGGAACCAAGCCGGAAAACACACTTCAGGATGTTATCCAGGAGAACTTTCCCAATCTAGAAAGACAGGCCAACATTCAAATACAGGAAATACAAAGAACACCACTAATATATTCCTCCAGAAGAGCAACCCAAGACGTATAATCATCAGAATCTCCAAAGATGAAATGAAGGAAAAAAATGTTAAGGGCAGCCAGAAAGAAAGGTCAGGTTACCTACAAAAAGAAGCTCATCAAACTAACAGTGGATCTCTGCAGAAATCCTACAAGCCATGAAACAGTCAGAGCCAATATTCAGTATTCTTTAAAAAATGAATATACAACCCAGAATTTCACACCAGCCAAATTAAGCTTCATAAGTGAAGGAGAAATGAAACCCTTTCCAGACAAGAAAATGCTGAGGGATTTCCTCACCACCAGGCCTGCCTTACAAGAGCTCCTGAAGGAAGTACTAAACATGGAAAATGAAAAATGGATACCAGCCACTGCAAAAACATACCAAAATACAAAGACCAATGACACTATGAAGCAACTGCATCAACTAATATGCAAAATAACCAGCTAGTCTCATGATGACAGAATCAAACTCACACATGACAGTATTAACCTTAAATATAAATGGGCTAAATGCCCCAATTAAAAGAAACAGACTGGCAAATTAGATAAAGAGTAAAGACACATCAGTGTGCTGCTGTCAGGAGACCCATCTCACATCCAAAGACACATATAGGCTCAAAATAAAGGGATGAAGGAATATTTATCAAGCAAATGGAAAGCACGAAAAAGCAGGGGTTGCCATCTTAGCCTTTGATAAAACAGAATTTAAACCAACGAATATGAAAAAAGACAAAAAAAGAGCATTAAATAATGGTAAAGGGATCAAAGCAACAAGAAGAGCTAATTATCTTAAATATATATGCACTAAATGCAGGAACACACAGATTCATAAAGCAAGTTCTTAGAGACCTACTGAGAGATTTAGACTCCCAGACAATAATAGTGTGAACCTTTAAAACTCCACTGTCAGTATTAGACAGATCAATGATGCAGAAATTTAAATATATGCAGGATTTGAGTTCATCTCTGGACCAAGAGGACCTAACAGGCATCTACGGAACTGTCCACCCCAAATCAACAGAACATACATTCTTCTCAGCACCACATAGCCCTTATTTTAAAATTGACTATGTAATTGGAAGTAAAATATTGCTCAGCAAATGCAAAAGAATGGAAATCAAAACAGTCTCTCAGACTACAGTACAATCAAATTAGAACTCAGAATTAAGAAACTGACCCAAAACCACACAACTACATGAAACTTGAACAAGTTGCTCCTGAGTGGCTATTGGGTAAATAATAAAATTAAGACAGAAATAAAAAAGTTCTTTGAAACTAAATAGAAAAAGACACCAAGTATCAGAATCTCTGGGAAACAGCTTAATCAATGCTTAGAGAGAAATTTATACAACTGAATGCCCACATCAGAAAGTGGGAAAGAAAAATCAACACCCTAACATCACATTTAAAATAACTAGAGAAGCAAGAACAAATTCAAAAACTACCAGAAGACAAGAAATAACCTAAGATCAGAGCAGAATTGAAGGAGACAGAGACACAAAAAAACTTTTTAAAAAATTATTGAATCCGGGAGCTGTTTTTTTTTAAAGATTAACAAAATAGATAGACTGCTAACCAGATTAATAAAGAAGAAAATAGTGAAGAATCAAATCGACACGAGAAAAATGATAAAGGGGATATGACGACTGATTCCACAGAAATACAAACTACCATCAGAGAACACTATGAACCCCACTACACAAATAAGCTAGAAAATCTGGAAGAAATTGACAAATTACTGGAAACATTCCCACTCCCAAGACTAAACCAGAAATAAGTCAAATCTCTGAATAGATCAATAACAAGTTCTGAAATTAAGGCTGTAATTCATAGCCTACCAAATAATGAAAGCCCAGGACCAGATGCATTCACAGCTGAATTCTATGAGAGTTGAAAAGAGGAGCTGGCAACATTCCTTCAGAAACTATTCCAAACAATAGAAAAAAGAGGAACTTCTCTCTAAGTCATTTTATAAGGCCAGCATTGTACTGATACCAACACCTGGCAGAGACAAAAAAAAAAAAAGAAAAAAAAAGAAAATTTCAGGCCAATATCCCTGATGAACATCGATGCAAAAATCCTCAATATTAATACTGGCAAACCAAATCCAGCAGCACATCAAAAATCTTACCCACCACGATGAAGTCGGCTTCATCCCTGGGATGAAAGGCTGGTTCAACATATGCAAATCAATAAAAGTAATTCATCACAAATGAGAAAACCAATGACAAAAACCACATGCTTATCTCAATAGATGCAGAAAAGGCCTTTGATAAAAATTCAACAACGTTCATGTTAAAAAACACACAATAAAATAGGTATTGATGGAACATATCTCAAAGTAATAAGGGCTGTTTATGAGAAACCCATAGCCAATTGAATGGATAAAAACTGGAAGCATTCCCTTTTAAAACCTGCACATGACTAGGTTGCCCTCTTTCACTACTGCTATTCAACATAGTATTGGAAGTTCTGGTCAGGACAATCAGGTAAGAGAAAGAAATAAAGTTATTCAAATAGGAAGAGAGGAAGTCAAATTGTCTCTGTTTGCAGATGACATAATTGTGTATTTAGAAAACCTCATCATCTGAGCCCATAAACTCCTTAAGCTGATGATCAACTTTAGTAAAACTCAGGATACAAAATCAATGTGCAAAAATCACAAGCATTGCTACACACCAATGATACACAAACAGAGAACCAAATAATGAGTGAAATCCCACTCACAATTCCTACAGAGAGAAAAAAATACCTAGGAATAAAACTTACATGGAATGAGAAAATGCTCTTCAAGAAGAACTACAAACCACTGCTCAAGGAAATAAAGGAGAAAACAAACACATGTAAAAGCATTCCACGCTTACGGATAGGAAGCATCAATATTGTGAAAATGGCCATATTGCCCAAAGTAATTTATAAATTCAATGCTATCCCCCATAAGCTAGCATTCACTTATTTCACAGAACTAGGAAAAACTACTCTAAGTTTCACATGGAGCCAAAAAAGAGCCCATGTAGCCAAGACGATCCTAAGCTAAAATAACAAAACTGGAGGCATCATGCTACCTTATTTCAAACTATACTACAAGGCTACAGTAACAAAAACAATACGTTACTTGTACCAAAACAGATATTTAGACCAATAGAATGGAACAAAGGCCTCAGAAATAACATCCCACATCTACAAGTATCTTCGACAAACCTAACAAAAACAAGCAATGGGGAAAGGATTCCCTATTTAATAAATAGTGTTGGGAAAATTGTCTAGCCATATGCAGAAAGCTCAAACAAGACACCCTTCTTACACCTTATACAAAAATTAATTCAAGATGGATTAAAGACTTAAATGTAAGACCTAAAACCATAAAAACCCTAGAAGAAAACCAAGGCAATACTATTCAGGACATAGGCATAGCCAAAGTCTTCATGACTAAAACACCAAAACCAATGACAACAGAACCAAAATTGACAAATGAGATTAATTTAACTAAAGAGCTTGTGCATAGCAAAAGACACTACCATCAGAGTAAACAGGCAACCTACAGAATGAGAGAAAATTTTTCAATCTATCCATCTGAGAAATGGCTAATATCCAGAATCTAAAAAGAACTTAAACAAATTTACAAGAAAAAAAAAACATCAAAAAGTGGGTGAAGGATATGAACAGACATTGTCAAAAGAAGACATTTGTTCAGCCAACAGACATATGAAAAAAAAAACTCATCATCACTGGTGATTAGAGAAATGCAAATTGAAACCACAGTGAGATACCATCTCACTCTAGTTAGAATGGCAATCATTAAAATGTGAGGAAACAACATATGCTGGAGAGTATGTGGAGAAATAGGAATGCTTTTACAATGCTGTTGGGAGTGTAAATTAGTTCAACCATTGTGGAAGACAGTGTCATGATTCCTCAAATATCTAGAACCAGCAATCCTATTATTGGGTATATACCAAAAGGATTATAAATTATTCTACCATAAAGACACATGCACATGTATCTTTACTGTAGCACTATTCACAATGGCAAAGAGTTGGAACCAACCCAAATATTCATCAATGATAGACTGGATAAAGAAAATGTGACATATATGCACCATGGAATAGTATGCAGCCATACAAAAGGATGAGTTCTTGTCCTCTGCAGGGACATGGATGAAGCTGGAAACCATCATTCTCAGCAGACTAACACAGGAACAGAAAACCAAACACTGCATGTTCTTACTTGTAACTGGGAGTTGAACAATGAGAACACATGAACACAGGGAGGGGAACATCACACACCAGGGCCTGTTGGGGTTGAGGGGCAAGGAGAGGGATAGCATTAGGAAAAATATCTAATGCATGGGGGCTTAAAACCTAGATGATGGGTTGATGGGGACAGCAAACCACCATGGCACATGTATACCTATGTAACAAACCTACATGTTCTCCATGTGTATCCCAAAACATAACATATATATACATATATATATATGTTTTATATATAGTGTGTTTTATATGTGTGTGTGTGTGTATATATATGTACACACACACATACACACACATATAAAGTCAATGTGACTGCATACAAATTTAAACCATCTTCATTAAAAGGAAACCAGCAAGTAACACAGCAAGTAAGACACCACAGACTGGGAATGTATATATTTGCAACATGTACAGGTGACTAAATATTTGTATCTAAAATATATAAGGGACTTCTAAAAGTCAATATAAAAGACCAACAACTCAACCTAAAAGTTGCCAGCGGATACAGACAAGTTTGTGGAAATGAATGAACCTAATTAGTACTTGTGAAAATTTATATTATGAAATAATAATGGGCTGTCCTGCAACTGAAAGTATAAAAAGAGGAGGAGAAATTGTACATGAATCTTACAAAAGTGGTTATCTCTAGAAAAGAAATAGAGGCAGTAAACAGAAGATGAAAAGAGGTCAACAGGGTGAGAGTTATATCTTTTGCATTATATTGTCTTAACAAAACCCTCTGAAGCTAAGCAGAAAAGAAATAAGAAAGGTTGGCAAGAAAAGATGGGTAGGGAGTGAGAACTTCCCAGCTAATTACAAAGATGCTCTTAAAGTACAGTACTTCATCCTTTGCTTTCTGCATCTTCATACATGCAAAGACTTTGAGAATAAAATGATATGTTTATTAGGGTTATTTCTGATAAAACATTCTAACAGATGCGTTGGCCAGGGAATTGTAAAGGGAATTGATTGGAATCTACCTTTAAATGATAACTTTTTTCTTAACATAAATATGGACATGGAAATGACTGTCTCCAAGCCTAGTTATACCATTTCCATAAAATCTACCATTACCTGTGTATTGACATAAATAAATATCTGGAGGCAGATATTTCATTTATCTGGAATATCTGACATTCCAGAGGACTTTGCTTTGCTCACAGAAATTTGTAGTACAGTATTATGAATTCCACCATGCAAAATGCATTGAAAAATATTTCTTCCCAAATCCATCACTATTCTTCTTAGCAGGATGTTTGGAAAAAATGTTTTACCTCCTGTGCACCATGATCTTTATGGGGGGTATATGTAGGTGATCTGAATGATGTTTATCTACAAGGTACGTAGAGAGATGTCTGGATCCCTTGATATGTTTTAGTGTCCTGGCTGATAATAGAGGTACCAAGAAATATCTGCAAATCTCCACAGCAATGTCTGAGAAGCCAAATGAGAAAGTTGAAAGGTCTGAGTGTGATAATTCCCATAAAAATAAGAGAAAATACGGGCAAAAGAGATGTAAAGAAATGGCATCAGTGAGTAAACTGGAAGCTATTCACCTTTGTCAACAGAAAGCATTTGAAGATACAAAACCCACAGCATGCTCAAAACTAGCCTTCTTTTTTATAATGTCCAAATCTACTGTAGCATCTCACTATGGACATTGCTTCTAATTATTATCCACCTAGGGAACTGAAACTGAGTTTCCTAAATAAGAAAATATATAGTTTTTGTTTTAAGAAAAGCTGTCTAATCTATCTTAGAAGTAAGCGTAGATGAAGGAAATCCATTTACTCCATCTCACAATTACTTCATGTTTCATTAGGCTGCCCACAGGCATTCTGTGTTTATGGTCTGTTGCACTCCACAATAAAGCTATTATTCGTGAGCACTTCCCTGCTGGCTAACCACATTTTGGTTACTGCTTATGTTTATTTATGAGTCTCGCTTGGGAAAGGATTTGCAATGTCTGATAGGGAGTGCTCACATGTATGTTTACACTTCTCCAGGCTTAGGCATCTCGAGAAGGGAAGTGGCCACAGTGTCACCAATCTCCAGAATGAATTATGCAGCAGGATACATCACTGATAACCAGACAGAACACTCAGTCAATATTTAAAGGGTAATGGCACTGTTTGAAAGAAGCAAACTGAGAGGATTTCAGTCCTGTGGAATCATCAAATTCAAGCAACATTGATAAATAATTACTTGACTCAATCCTAACCAGGCAAAAATAATTATCAGGAAGAAAAATTAGCATTATTTATCCCAGGGAGAGTATGACATCAGATGTTGCCTCTACTGTCCGTGCAGCTGAGGTTTCTGCTTCCTGACCCTTGTTTTCCTGCATAGGTAAAGAAATCTATTAATTGGGGTTCTTCAAATGACAGAATGTACCCAAGAACTCATCTATAAATGTATGTATGTATATATGTATGTATGTATCTCTGTATGTATGTATGTATCGTCTATCATCTATCTATCTATCTTTGTCCATTTGTGTTGGTATAAAAAATAACATATGTCATTATAAACAATAGATTATATTGTGTATAATATAAAGCTCTGGAGGCTGGGAATTCCAAGATCAAGATGCTAACAGGTTTGGTGTTGTATGAGGGCTGCTATTTGCTTCCAAAGTGGCATTTTGTTGCTGTACCCTCTGAAGGGAACAAACACTGTGTTCACATGGTGGAAGTGATGCAAGGGCAATAGTGTCAAATGCTGTGTAAAGTCTTTTGTAATAAAGGATTTAATCACTCACAAGGGCTAATGACCTAATTACCTTAATTACCTTCTAAATGTTCCACCTCTTAATAATATTGCACTGGAATAGTAGTATGTTTCAACAAATTTTGAAGGGACACAACCATTCAAACCATAGCTCACTCACTCTGTCTATCTATGTATCTATCTATGTATCTATCTATCTATCTATGTATCTATCTATCTATCTATTATCTATCTATCAATCATCTATTGAAAGAGAATGCGAAAGAGAAAAATTTACTTTAATGACTTGATTCATGTAATTGTGGTGTCTGGCATGTTTGAATTCCATATGGTGAGATGGCAGACAGGAAACTTAGGCAAGAGTTTCACAGATTCCTCTTTTGCTGCTTCTTAGTGTGAAGGTTTATTCTTTGGACTTTCATGATAAACAAAAGCTATGCACTTCTGTATTCCAGTCAGCAAGCAATAATTATCTGATGGTGTACAGAGCATATAATACCCATTGAGAATGGATTCTAAAGACATTCAAGAGGGTCCCTGTGCTAGTTATAAAGCATTTATCTCTCAGTTCCAAATTCACCATTTGTATTCTTCCTAGTGATGATGGGGCACATATCTTTCTACTTTGTCAGCTGACTCTCCATTTACTGCTACCAATCGGTGGCCTAGAAGATATTGGGAGACAGGAAGAGGTGAGAAAGAACATACTACATCCTGTAAGTTTGCTATTGCTGTCTCCTTCACTCCAGCAATGGTACTTAACCTAGTAACATCAGTTGGTTCCAGTGTCTATGTGTCCTACCTGCACACTTAGTGATCTTTGCCAGACCAACTTGTTTTTAGCCCCAACATTCTTGCTCCACAACAGGATTGGGGTCCCAGACACTCCAGTAAGCTCTTCCTGGAAGTACCTCTTTGAAAAGGGGTACTGGGTTAGATATGATAGCATTTATATTTTGTGCTATGACACACATTGTGACATAAGCATGTGAAATTTCTTATTATTTTATTTCCTAGGGTTAATTTTGTGTATGTGTATGAAGACAAAAGATAAGACATCTTTTATTTTGGTAGCTACCAAGATACCTAAGATTGCTTGACCAGTATTTGCTGACAACAGCAAATAATGTTATTTTACAAGGCCTCTTTAAAAATGTTAGCTTTCTGAAACTAAAACATTTATTTAAACCTCAGACAAATAACACACACTTTACCACCACTCCTTCCCCATTCATTTGTATCATCAGTTAAAAAACCTTAGAAAACATAAAACTTAAATGTTCATTTTAACTGAAGCCTTGTGGCTAACAACCACAGTTTATAAATGGCACTTTGGTATTTTGAAGCTAAACATTACACTAACTCTATGCAAAAGCATAGAGTTCAAAAGCATTTCTGTTCAAAAGCAGAAAAGATAATGAATATATATAGTGTCAGTCATCACACCTGGATATGACTAGATTTTTTTTAAGCAGATGAAGAGGAAGGTCAGAAAGTCAAATGTGTCAGTGAGCCGAGATCGTGCTACTGCACTTCAGCTTGGGTGACAGAGCAAGACTCCGTCTCAAACAAAACAAAATAAAACAAAACAAAACACAACAAAACAAAAAAAGCTTTGTGAGGACTTATCAAAAAGCTGAGTCAAAGTCTGAATATTCAAAGTCAAAGGCTGAATGTTCTCCTGACTGTAGGGAGGAGAGGGAAGGACTTTAATATGACCAAAGTTATAAACCAAGTCAGTATTTGGGAGAATTCACAGAAACCTCTGCTTTGGTTCCAGGTTTATATATCTTTAAATCTTATTACAAATTAAATTTTATCTGAATGTTTTAGTAAAGAAACATAAATCCTTGTTGTGAAATCACTATTTATATATCCTTGTACCTCCTTCCTTTGATATCAGGCATCATTTCCATGCAGATAGATCCCACTGTACATTGACTTAGTTTCTAGTTTCTGATTTCCAAATCTGGTTGAATAGTTTCACCTTGAGACACCACTGCCTCCACAATATTTTTCTTCTGAATAAGCACAAATGACAATAGTTTAAAAAACATGAATATATGACCAAGTTGATAATAAGTGCTTTACCTGAGAATTCAAAATCATAAAAATCCCTATGACCTAGAAAATACTATAATCCATATTTCACAGAGATGAAACTACAGGTTAGAAGTTAAATAGTCTTGTCTAGGTCACATCTTTAGAGCAAAGATGGACCTAGAGTCCCAAAGGTAAGCTGTCTGAAGAAAAGTAGGCTTAATTTATTTCCATCATGAAAATCACATACAACTTATTTGTGTCACACTTACTGGGCAGCTCTTCCTGATTCAATAATTCTTAACCCTCAGGCAGGGCAAGCAGGTTTTTGAACAGCTTGATCTATTGCCCATTTCTCATGTTCATACTGTATTTCAGCCAACCTGATTATGCCTTCCTCTTTGTAATTTTTTTAAAGACAAGGTCTCACTCTATTGCCCAGGATGGAGTGCAATAGTGCGATCAGAGCTCACTATAACCCCAAACTCCTGGACTCAAGCAATCTGCCCTCAGACTCCCAAGTAGCTGGGATTAGAGGTGTGCTCTAGTAGGCTCAACTAATTTTTAAATTTTCTGTAGAGATGGGGTTTTGCTGTGTTGCCCGGGCTGACCTCAAACTTTTACCCTCAAGTGAATCTGCTTTATCCTCCCAAAGTGCTGGGGTTACAGTCATGAGTCACTGCATCTGGCACTGTTCTTTGTATTTTCACTTAGAACAATTAACATGAGTCCTGGAATGGCAGCTCACACCTGTAATCCCAGCTACTCAGGAGGCTGAGATGGGAGGATCTCTTGAGACCAGGTAGTTAAGGCTGCAGTGAGCTGAGATCATGCCACTGCACTCTAGACTGGGTGACAGAGCAAGACTCTGTCTCAAAACAACAAAAACTCCAAAAACCAAAAAGAACAGACCAATTCACATGACTATACATTTCCATTCTACATAGTTACAGATATTAAAAGCAGGACATAATTTAAGATTAACTTAAATATTACTTTTTCCACATGGCTTTCTTGATTCTCTTAGCCCAAATCACATGGCTTCCTCTGAATTTGAGGAAGTTATTGATACCATGTGCTTCCTAGTATCCACAATGGAATTTCTCTTTAGCAGACTTTATATGAAAAACACCCCATAATTAATGGGGAATGTCTCCAGAAATGCTAAATAAGGACTTCCACTTTGGTTAAGAAAGTTCTTATTGTTTCCAGTAAGGCATATGCAATTTATCTATTTATATCCTGAACCATGATTTGTGGTGGAATATTACCACCACCTGCTTTATTACTTGTCAAAAAGAGTCCCAATACTGAAGCTTCTAATGAGTGATTGTCAAGTGTTATCCAACCTCCATAAGTTAGAGATAGATCGGAATTACCTGTGTGTTGTTTTGAGGTTGTTGACTCACCCACTTCATGCTGAGATGGAAGTGGGACATAATCCCTGATTTCAAACAACAGTTATATTGACCTGTTGTTAGCAGTGAGAATCTGTTATTTTTTTTAGGGAGGAAGGCAAGTTGCTTTGAGAAAAATCTTTAATGAACCATATGTCTAAAGTACAACTACCTTAACTTTATGTTAGCAATCAAAGTATATATAATTCCATTAGTAGATAAAATTTATTCTTTGAATTTTTTTTCTCAAATCTGCATTTTTGTTTTTCTCATTATTTTCTTATGTCCTCATTTTTACTTGATAGCTCAAATATTCTTGGCTTTTTTCTGCTTCTGGTTATTTAGAAATTATGCCAAAGAAAATATATTTGGATACTCAGCTCTAAAATACTATCACCTGCCCTCCCCCACCCCATAGTAATGAGAGATTTAGCATAATCTTCAGCAACATTTAACTTCACTTTGCATAGATTAGGGTTAAAACAAATTGATTTTTTGGATCAAGACTAGTGTAACCACATTAGTTACAATATAATATAGTGGCAGGTGGATCATGAGGTCAGGAGATTGAGATCATCCTGGCCAACATAGTGAAACCCCATATCTACTAAAAATACAAAAATTAGCTGGGTGTGGTGGTGCACTCCTGTAGTCCCAGCTACCTGGGAGGCTGATGCAGGAGAAACACTTGAATCCAGGAGGGGGAGGTTGCAGTGAGCCAAAATGGTGTCACTGCCTTCCTGCCTGGCAAAACAGTGTGACTCTGTCTCAAAAACAAAACTATATATATATATATATATATATATATATATATATATATATATATATATATATACACACACACACACACACACACATACATAATGTATATATATTATATATGTTACATATAACATGTTTCATTATATTATAATGTTTACATGCTACATCGTCCTTTTCTCTTCTAAGATTTAGTTTTGGCTCTTGTGTATTGCTTAGTTACCATATCATCCAGTTTTCAGACATTAGACAAGAGTTTCACTGTTTTATTGCTCACTGACATTTTGTTTATAGGTATAACTTCTCTTCATGGGTATACTAATCTGATTCATTGATTAGCCTACCGGAGTACTTGAGTATTTTAAAGGGCAGTATCCATATGAAATTCTTGCATGACAGAATACTTTCCTTGTTTGGTTGTAGAATTTGTAGGTTACAGTGCTAGGTCCCCAAATCCCCATTTCCTTTTCACAGCTTATACTTCAAAGAAGAAATCTGGACCTAACTTGATGTTTTCCTGGGGATAATATGACTTCTTAAAGATATGGAGGATTGAAGTCTTGGTGTTTTTTATGGCTCTGAACTTAAGCATTTTCTCAAGATATATTTAGGCATGGGTTTATTTTAATTAATTCAGAGTACGCTCTGACATGAAGATGAAAGACCTCTTTTTTTATATTATGACATTGTAGCTTAGCTAACTCTATCATTATCTCTAATTCCTTTCTTCTTAATTTGCCTTTTTTCCAAAGACTTTGAAAATAATTAAATGTACCTACCTCTTCTACAGCTAGGAGTGTTCACGTGCTATGAGAGTGGCCAAGGAAACATATGTATCATCTATTGTTGTCCATTTGTCTTTTCCCTTTTTTTTCTGCTTAGAAATTTGGCACAATATCTATAGGCTCAGCAGACATTCGATGACCATGCAGATACATGGGTGTAATGAAATAAGGAGTCTATGTCACAGGTACATTTCTTGAGCAGCCACAAACACACCAATCCCTATACTTCCAAGAGATGAATCAACTCTATATTAATCAGTTTTCTCTAGAGAAACAGAACCAATAGTATGTATATATATATAGATAGATAGATAATAGATAGATAGATAGATAGATAGATAGATAGATAGATAAACAGATAGATGACAGGTAGATATGTAGAGAGAGAGATAGATAAAGACATAGAGAGATAGGGATTTATTGGAGGAGTTGGCTCAGACAAATAGGAGGCTGAGAAGTCCCACCACAGGCTATCTGCAAGCTGGAGAACCAGGGAAGTTAAATACATGGCTCCATCCAAACTTCCCTCAAAATCAGGGAAGCTGATGATATTTCAGTGCTGGAGGCCTGTGATCCTGCAGATAATGGTCAGGGTGAGATGGGAGTTGTTGGCTTATGTCCTGGAGTCTAAAGGCTGGAGAAGCTGGGTTGTTGGTGTTCAAGGACAGGAGAAGGATCTCCCAGCTCCACAAGAGAAGGATAATGTAGTTACATTTGCCTTTCTCTGTCTTTTATTCTACCCAGGCCTATAGGTGATTGAATGGTGCCTACCCACACTGGATGATGGTGGATCCTTACTCAGTCCATTGATTGAAATGCCAATTTCATCCAAAAAATCTCTGACAAGAACACCCTAAAATCATGCTTGAAGAGCTCTCTGGGTATCTCTCAATCCACTCAAGTTGATATCTAAAACTAACCATCACAAACCCCTGGTCTATTTAAGTTACCCTGGGAGAGCTTTCTGTGACTCACAGCCAAAGGATATTGTAACAGCCAAAGGAAGTCCTGACACATGGTTTTTCATATATCTGTGTTTGGAGTCAATATCACATACTCTGTATCTACTACTGTATCTAGGAGGAAAGTCATGGTGGGCTTCTAGTCTTCACATTTACACATGAAGTTCAAAGATCCTAATAGAAAACTATCAATTGTACATTTAAATAAGGCACCCATAAAGATATTTTGTAACATATAAGCTCTAGGCCATTCACCCTTGGAGTTATGTAGCTTCAATGCTACAAAAATTTTTCAGTGATAAGAATGGCTTTGCAACCAGGTGCGGTGGCTCATGCCTATAATCCCAGCACTTTGGGAGGCCGAGGCAGGCAGATCATGAGGTCTAATCGAGACCATCCTGGCTAACACGGTGAAACCCCGTCTCCACTAAAAATACAAAAAAAATTATCTGGGCATGGTGGCGGGTGCCTGTAGTCCCAGCTACTTGGGAGGCTGTGGCAGGAGAATGGCATGAACCCAGGAGATGGAGCTTCCAGTGAGCTGAGACTGAGCCATTGCACTCCAGCCTGGGTGACAGAGTGAGATTCCATCTCAGTTAAAAAAAAATAGCTTTGCTTTGTAAAAATATTGATGGGTTTTCTGGTGAAGGCATTGGCACTTAATTTCTCCTATGTGTAAAACATGTTTCAGGGTTTGCAATTAGTAGCTTCCATCCCAGGCCATTCAGGGAAGAAAATGCAACTACTGAGGATACTCTAATCAGCAGTGACATGCATTTGAAATACCATATCTAAATAATTTGGTGTTGGACTAGTAATTGAGAGACAGATCCATACAGTGAGAAGAATGTCAGCAAAATGGCCCAGATAGACATGGAAATTCAGTTGATGTTAGTATTATATTTTAGAAACATGAATAATTTGAAAACAAAAACAGGTTTTTGGGCAACTAAAGAGCCATTTGGAAAAACAACCCAGCTGGTATTCATTTCTTAAAATTTGCACCAAAATAAAATTGAATGTAATGTAAACATGTATTTAAAAAATGAAAATATGAGAAATTGTTTGATAACTTTTTTTGTGGAGGGGAGAGAGGCTTGGAAAAAGCTATTTAATCACTATATTAAGCCCAAAAGTCAAAAAGAAAATGTTTTGTAAGTTGTTTTCTTCCAAAGAGTGAAGTCTCAGTCTCTCTGTCTCTCTCTCTCTGTCTCTCTCTCTCTCTCTGTCACCATCACATTAGCAATCCAAAAGGTAAATAAACATTTGTCGGGAAAAATAGTACTTACAACAATGTGTGTAATTAAGGTGTTTTTTGCTCTAAAATAAGGTCTTTTACAAATAAACAAGAAAAATATTGCAACTCAAGTCAAATATGGACAAAAGTATGAACAGGAAGTTTAAGGAAACTAAAGTATCTGTGGTGAATGACAAAGATTCTCTGTCTGTCCAAACTGTAGTCAGGCTTCCGAACCTTCTCCAAGGCCCACATGTGTACTTCCCTGTAAAATCCAGTTTTAGCACAGAACCCTGCTAAGTCAGCTTGGCAGGAACTCCTAACCCTTAGTATCTGGTCAACCTCAATATCTCAGTTAGTTCCTCATCCTCCACCCACTCCAGGTGATATCTGGTCACCCTCGCCTTTCTTCAGCTAGAATCCTGTTAGATGGGTTTAACCAGAATCTCCATTATCCCTGATATTTTGAAACTCTTAGCCATTTTCCAACCAATGTCCAAATTTCTGCTGACCCTCCCCCTGCTCTTTGACCATAAATTCCCACTTGCCCATGCTGTATTCAGAGTTGATCCCAATCTTTCTCCCCGACTGCAAGACTCCATACTGTCTTTCTACACCTTCTTCTCTCTTCTCCCTCCTTCATTTCTCCCTGTTCTCCACCCTGTCTCTTCCTCCTCCTTTCCCCCAGGCAAGGCAAATTTCCAGAAAGAATTGGAAACCACTGGTTTCCATGGCTACGGCCACTACACCTAACTCAAAAATCCTGAATAAACTCTTCCTTACTTTGCTTTCACAAGTATCATTGAATATTTTCTCTTTAACGTGAATATACATAGAAGATATTCAATTATTTGCAAGATTAAAGAAAATTTTAAAAAACACGATGCTTTTTACACCTATTAGATTAGCCAGGATCAAAAACAGGGTAATCTCAGTGTTGACGAAAAACGCAGGTGAAGACTAGGCAGGGCCACAATGCCCTTGTTCACTGAACCCTGCCTGGAAACCACCTCCCTGGTCATTCTCCAGGCTGTGCTGTAGCTTGGGCAAGAACTGACCTTGACAGAGACCCCGAGATTAAAAAGCCAGTCATGCGTCTCTGCCCTTGTTCATTCCCAATGAAATGATTTATGGTATAACACAATGCATGCTTATATGTTTATTATTAGAAGTGAGCAACACAAACTGTGATTTGCTTTTCAGGTTTTTAAAAATAAAAACTGCCAGCAAGGTGTTAAAATTAGTACAAGACACAGCAGCTGTTCAACTCATTTTTTCAAATTATTTCCGTATATGGCTTACAAAGTACTGCCACTCTGAGGTAAATGCAGTCCTGTAGATTGTAAGCATTTAAGCTGTGTGACAGATGGCCGCTCCTCATTTCTTGATGTGTTTTGCAATGGAAATTTAATGTGGAAAACACTAATAATAATGTTTTAATTTAGTGCCTTTTCCCTGGGAGCTTCAAACACTTGACAAACATTACATAATTAATGGTTAAATGTTACACAAACATCCACAGGAAGTGGGAAAGAAGAAAGGAATTGAAGCGTCATTCTGTGGTTGCAAACAAGTAGTGTGTTCACATGCAGGTGCTCATCCTATACAAAGAGAACTTAACTTACAAAGCAGCAGTTTCCAATTTTTCCTGGATATTCGCATCGCATGGGAGAAAGGAGGAGGAAGAGACAGGGTGGAGGAAGAAGAGACAGCCTGCAGGACAGGGACAAAGGATGGAGGGAGAAGAGAGAATAAGAAGAAAGGCAAGAGGAAACAGCGTTCTAATCTGCAACAAACACCCTTCCCCCCCAATTTATTTCCCATGAGTTTGGGGACATGATTCTCTTTTTAATCATAGCTAGTATGTCTAATAGATGACACACATCTCCATCTTTATGTTCAGATGCTCCACCCTAATTGTGATGGTTAATACTGGGTGTCAATTTGATTGGATTGAAGGATACATCTATCCTGGGTGTGTCTGTGAGGGTGTTGCCAAAAGAGATTAACATTTGAGTCAGTGGGCTGAGGAAGGAACATCCACCCTTAATCTGGTGGGCACAGTCTAATCAGCTGCCAGTGGATATAAACCAGGCAGAAAAATGTAAAAAGGAGAGACCTGCCTAGGTTTCCAGCCTATTTCTTTCTCCCATGTTGGATGCTTCCTGCCCTCAAACATGAGGATCCAAGTTCTTTGGGACTCAAACTAGCTTTCTTGCTCCTGAGCTTGCAGACAGCCTATTGTGGAACATTGTGATTATGGTAAGTTAATACTTTATAAATTCCACTTCATATATAGATCCCATTATTTATGTTCCGCTAGAGAATCCTGACTAATACACTAATTTATAAAGTCCATGACAACTCAAACACACTTGCCGAATCCTCCATTAAAGACCACATTAACATTCAAATTCCTTCTTAAGAGATAGTGGCTGGGTTCAGTGGCTCATGGCTATAAGTCCAGCACTTTGGGAGGCTGAGGCAAGCAGATCATCTGAGGTAAGGAGTTTGGGGGTAGCCTTGCAAACATGGTGAAACCCTGTCTCTACTAAAAATACAAAAATTAGCCTGGCATGGTGGTGTGCACTTGTAATCCTAGCTACTCGGGAGGCTGAGGTAGGAGAATCAGTTGAACTCGGGAGGCAGAGGTTGCAGTGAGCCAAGATTGCCCCACTGCACTCCAGCCTCAGTGGCAAAGCAAGACTCCATCCGAAAAAAAAAAAAAAAGAGTAGTTTTGGGTGGGTGCAAGATTTCCAAACCTCAAACTCAAGTGTTACGACAACCTTCAGTCTTGCTTGTCTCACCAATGTGGTGAGTTTTAGTGCTGCATGAAGCTAAAGTAATGCCTATGAATGGAGGATGTGGACCATATTCCTTCTTTGGCCAAAGGCAGAATAAACCCAGGATTGCACAGAATCATAAAATCCTGAGATGCAGGAAAAAATATGGTTCCCTTCAGTGGATTCCTTTCATTCAAAACCCCAAAGCAAGCCTTCAGAAGGATTTTATAAATATCATTTTGTGTGAAGATTAATAGATAAATAAGAAGAACTTCATTTACAGAAAAAGTGCTTTTTGTTTGTAAACTGTAAGTGGCTCTCATGACTGTTTGAGAATGAAATGCAGCTATAGGAATGCCAAATTTTCCTAATAAATCAATATATAATTGTTGCTGCTGTGACTGCACAAAATTAATGAATAGAATAGCTTTGAGCAGCTTTATTTGTAGGTCCTTCTGTTTGACACACAATCAATCTACTTATTCAATGATCAGGCCTGGGAAACTGCCTGAAAACCAAAACATCCAAAGCTGAGCAGTTTCTAAACAATAATACTAAAGAGAGATGAATTCCTACCTCACAGCCAAATGTAACTCTGAAATGAAGCTGCTTGATGAGAGATATCTCATCCTTGTAACAGAGTTTTTAAAAATCTGTTCATTTCATCTTGAGTACATTTTTCTGCAAAGGCTGGTTTGAATAGTTATATGATCCAGCATATCACTGTGCTACATGCAGTGACGGGCAATGTTAAAAATGGATAAAATGTCTGTGTTCAAATTCCAACTATGAATCTTCCAGTGGGATATCGCTGGACAATACTTTGGTAGTGCAGTTATTCTACAAAAAAAAAAAAAAAAAGCATTTTCCTTAAAGAAGAGTTGAAATGGTGCTCTGGTTTGATGACATGGGAGTCTGTAGAATTCTTTTTTTGTTTGTTTTGTTATAAGACAGAATCTCACTGTGTTGCCCAGGCTGGAGTATGGTGGCATGATCTTGGCCCACTGCAACTTCCACCTCCCAGGTTCAGGTGATTCTCCTGCCTCAGCCTCCTGAATAGCTGGGATTACAGGTGTTCACCACCATGCCCAGATAATTTTTGTATTTTTAGTAGAGAAGTGGTTTCTCCATGTTGAACAGGCTTGTCTCGAACTCCTGACCTCAAATGATTCACCTGCCTCAGCCTCCCGAAATGCTGGGATTACAGGTGCAAGCCACCATGCCCTGTCTGGGAGTCTTCAGAATTCTAATGAGTGATATGAAATGATACTAAAAAATATATGTAATCCAAATCATCACCATGCCTAAGGCTAATTTTTTTTTTTTTTTGGTTTTGTTTTAGCAGCACATGAAGTTCTTCATGGCTTCAGTAGAAACCAGATATCTTCAATCTTGTCACTTTTGGCATTTGGGGCTGAATAGTTTTGTTGGGGGAACAACCTTCTGCATTGTAGGATATTTGAAAGAGTCCCTGGTCCCTACCCAATGCTGGTAGCACTTTTTCTCTCCAGTTATGAAAACAAATAATGTCTCCACACATTGCTGATTGTCCCGCATAAAGTGTATGTGTACCCATATACAAAATCCCCTTATCTGAGAAGGTCTAATATAAATAACACAATTTGTATGATTATTTAAATAGAAATTTATTTGCTGTACTTCTAAATATCGACGTTCTTGAAATTCAATACAATCTTATGAGTTCTTCTTCTACATATGATTCCATTCTCATTGTCTTCTCTTAAGTTGTTATGAAAAACACTCCAGCATTTTTTAAATGCTTTGAGAAACATTGTGCATGCCTTTCTCCCTCAATGTCCCTATTCTTGTATCTGGATTCTTCATGTCTCTGTTAAGACCAGAATGCTGTTTATCCTCTCAGAGTGACTTACATTAAATTTGAGCAATGAAAATGTTATTTTTAGAAAAGGACTTTGGTGGAATTTTGAAAAAATATATACAGTAGTAGTTAAAGTGCATTTGGCTTCATTGGTGTGTTAGAAATGAAATGTTGAGGATATATGTTAGGTACAGACATTTTAGTACTACAATTCTTCAAGATTTTTGCTTGGCTTTAGTTAAAATGTAATTAGAGTTCAAACGAGGAAGGCATTGCAATGTATTTACTGAACTTTCTTTCTATTATTTTCTTTTTTTCTTTTTGAGACAGGGTCTAACTATATTGGCCAGGCTGAGTGCAGTAACATGATCATGGCTTACTGCAGCCTTGACTTTCCAGGCTCAAGCAATGCTACTGTTTTAAACTCCTGAGTAGCTGGGATCACATGTGCATATTACCATGCCTGGCTGACCTTAAAAATTTTTGCAGAGATGAAGTATCACTATGTTTCTCAGGCTGGTCTTAAACTCCTGTCCTCAAGCAGTCCTCCCCTTTTGGCTTCCCCAAATGCTAGGATTACAGGCATGAGCCACTGTGCCTAGCTATTTATTGAACTTTGCCCCATAGTTGAGCACTCTGTGGTTGCCAAAAGCAAGTTTCACCTATCTCCTGGCATCTTTAAGATGATCATTGATAAGATGGACTTATAACATACTCAGAGTACATTTGAGGATAAGGAACCACCACCTGGGCAGACCAAATCAATCAACATGAGAGCTCTTGGAACTGGAGAGGGCTGGGATCATATTCTGGACCTGCCATTGATTGTCTATGTGACCGTGAATCAAAATGGCTTCCCTCTCTACGTGTCACTTTCTGCAACTGAAAAGTGGGATTATGAGATGCGTTCTCCATGATTTTATTAGGAATAATAAAAGGCCTCTGCAAAGTAGCTATGTTTGGCACACAGCAGTGGCTGGGTACATGCTGCTTCTCCTACACACCAAGATGCAGGATAACCGACTTGGTCAGGGAGAGAGGGCATAGAGAACAGAAGTTTCACCCTGTACTTGGCTGAAACCTCAGGTATGAACAGCTCAGACAGGAGTGGGGCTCAGAGGCAATTCATCCTGTATTCTGAAGGGCAGCTAAATTTCAGTTGAAAAGGTGGAGTCTGGAAGCCATGCAAAAGACCTGCAGTCTCCTGGTGAGAAAGATGATAAACATGTAGAAATGTAGATTAATCACTCTGAAAGACAAGGACCCTCATTGTTCCCAAGGCAAGAACAATTTCTTTCTTTCTTTTTTTAACCAGCTGTATTGATGTATAATTTATATAGCATAGTACTCACATGTTTAATGACTTTTAACAATTTATAGAGTTGTGCACCCACCACCAAAATTCAACTGGAGAAAATTCCCATTGTCCTAAAAAATCACTTGTGCCTATGCATAGTCAATTCCTTCCTCCACCTCCAGCTCCTGGCAACCACTAATCTACTTTCTGTGTCTACAAATTTGCCTATCCTGGACTTTTAATGTAAAAGGATTTATGAACTCCAGCCTGGGTGACACATTGAGACTCTGCCTTAAAAATAAAAAGAAAAAAGAAAAAAGGATTTATGCAATTTGCAGTTGTGTTTTTGTCTGGTCTGGCTTTTTCACGCAGTGCAATACGTTTGAGGGACACCCATGGTATAGGGTAGGTTCATCTGCATTTCAGTATTTTATTTCTTTTTAACGATGTACTCACATTGCACCAATTACCCTAAAATTTTAGATTTGGTATCTATATGAGTGAAATTTTAATAAGACTAATGTCAGGTTACTTAGACTTGGTCAAAGGAAATAAATTTCAATGAGACAGAAGGAATACTTTCAAGACATCCATTGTACAACATGGTGACTATAGTTACAAACAATGTATTGTATCCTTGAAAACTGCTAGAAGAGTAGATTTTAAGTTTTCTTACCACAAAACCAATGATAAATGCATGAGGTTACATATGTTTTATGATTTGGTTTGATTTAACCATTCCACAATGTATACATATACCAAAACATCATATTGTACACCATAAATGTATACAGTTTTTTGTCAATTAATTTTTTCTAAATTAAATATACTTTAAAAACATTCAAAAAGCTGTAGCATGGCTTGAATCAGGGATCAAGAGCTTCCTACACATTAGTTTTGGTGTTAGGATCATTCCAGTTGTAATTAGTTATTGATTTTAGTAGCACTACCACTGAAGACCTTATCTACTTACCAGAAACAATAAGGGACCATGTCTGAGTAGTCATTGTTCCTAGGGACTCATATACAATTAGCTGGGCAATTCAAAAATTCACTGCAAAATTCAGTTTTTAGAACTAGGAGGTATTCAATAAAAGTGTGTTGAGTTTGTGAAGAAAAAAATAAACAAATTTTAAATAACAAAACACATACAAAAAGGGTCACTCTTTGTAGTAAACTCTCAGCACATGGCTCAGGGTCTAGTGCACAGTGGTATCCAGTAAATATTTGTTGAATTAATTAATAAAGAGTTCAAATTTTAAAATAGTACCTGCCTATAAGCAGGAGTTTAATAACCAAAAAAGCATGTGATCCTACACTTTTGATGCTATCATCCAACCATCTGTGTTTCCATGGGACTGATGTGTAATTTATGGGACTGGGATTTGATGTAAATTCAGGAATTGTTGGGAGTAGCTATTCAGTAGTGAGAAGGAAAAGAAAACACTGACACATGGAACTGAGTGTCTTTGTTTTGGCAAGGACAGGAACTGTATTCTGATACAAGGGTAGGGGATGGGGGTTCCTGGTAAACACATTAATAGCACTCATATGTTTCTTTCCAACACAGATTTGAGAGAGCTCTTCAAATGGGGATCCAAAGCATATCTTTGTAGGTTTTGCTCACAACACTCTTGGAAAATCACTGAGTGTCATGAGAGGTGTTATTGACACAGGCCTGTCATGCGGGGGAGTGACAGAAAGGCCTCCTCAGAAAGACTCTGACGGCCCACAGCAGAGGGCAGAAAAAAAAAAAAAAAAAAACCCTCTCCAGATGATTGCAATACTAGCAATGTCAGCACCTATTTACCAAATACAGAGATGAAAAACAATACAAAGATTTGGGTATTGATGTATAGAAGACATAAGAGTGAGGGGAAAAATGTTTCCCAACAAACATTTCTCAAATAATTATGTGTTGTGTCAGTAAAGGTCACTGTGATTTTATAGGCCTTCAGGTGTAGGTTTACTTGTGTTTGCTTATGATGTATGATTGCTTAAAGGTGTTATTCCTGAAAAGACATCATAATATAATTAAAAAGTTGGCAAAAGTGATGTCTTATTGCTCTCTTTGTTTATTTTTTTAATAAAAAAGAAAACTGCCATTGCACTCTGCTTGGAGTACAATGACCATAAACCAAGAGACAGAATTTACATTCTTGGAAAATCACACACTGTGATTCCCTTGAAAAGGGAGACGACTTTTGCTCTGGAAAAGACACATATATAGAGATCCCAATTAAAATGTGTCTATTCTTCCAAATACTCTCTCATTTAATCCTTGGATACCTGGAACTGATAACTAAGAGGTAACATTGGCAGCTATGTACTAAATGCAAATGCAATAATGGAATCCTCATTTTTGGGTGGGTCTTTGCATAGACCCTTACATGCACGTGCACACACATGCATGTATATTCATTTTTATATTTAGAATCCACTCATGTTAAATACCTATAGCCTTTATATTCAGAGCTGTTTGCTCAGACGTTCTTTCACAGTGTGCAAAGCTCATGCTTTTTTCCAAGCTCAAAACCACTTCTATGATTCTCTTCTCACCACCTAAATAGGAGTCCAGCATTATACTCTCCTTGCTTTGAGCAAATTCACAAACTACATTTTGGTCAGAGTTAAACATGCAATGAGTCATTAAGAGTTAAATCTAGGAAGTAGATTTGGGATGGTTTACACTTTTCATTATAGCTTTTCCTATTTTTCTTCTAGTATATAATAAAAAAATTGTTTAAATAAAAAAACAAGTGCCTATAATTTATAATTTATATACGTATGTGTGAGAGTCATAAACTCAGGAGTTTAAAGCATTCTCAAATTTTCTTATGTCACCATGTCCTAAATAAGTCATAGTTAGAATCTCCTCAAAGCCACCTAGGACTGGCTGGGTGCAGTGGCTTACACCTGTAATCCCAGCAATTTGGAAGGCTGAGGCAGGCAGACAGCTTGAGTCCAGGAGTTCCAGACCATCCTGGCCAACTTGTGAAACCCTATCTCTACCAAAAAATACAAAAATTTGCCAGGCATGATGGTACATGCCTATAATCCCAGCTACTCATGAGGCTGAGGTGAGATAATCTTGAACCTGAGAGGTGGAGATTGCAATGAGCAAAGGTCCTGGCCACTGAACCCCACCTTGGGTGACAGAGTGAGACTCTGTCTCAACAAACAGAAAAATCACCTGGGGCTTGTGAAAATGAAGTGTGTTAATATCCAAGCTGAACGAGCAGTGTGGCTGATAGGCTTTTTAAATTTTGCCTTGCACTTGTTGAAGGCTTAAAGAAAATCTTCATTTCCTGGGTGAACTGAAACCTGGCTAAATGCTTTTGTTAGGCACTCCTTGTTGAGCAATCATTATGTCTATTAAATGCTTGATTCCATCACATCTGGGGAGTTTACTCCTCAGAAAAGAAGAATTGGGATGGTGGTTTCATAAATGTAAAGCAAACTTCAGGCTAAGCCCCCTCCGTAAATGTGAGTCAAGAGTCCATCAGCTCACCTGTGAGAGATCTATCAGGCAGTATTCACTTCAATGCCCCTACATATTAGGGCATTCAGTCCTTGAATCTCAGCTATGCACACTTTTCTAGGTGATCTTATTCAGTTTCATGATTCTAACCAGTACCTGAGTACTGGTGACTCCAGCAGTGACTTCCACCCTGAATACACACCCACATATTCAAGTGCTTCTTGAATAGGAATCTTAAATTTCATATGTCTAAAGTGAGTGATTATTGCTATTTTACCCAACCTGCTCCTCTGTTCGGTAAATGAAACCTTCTTCAGTTTAATTTGACCCAAGCTTTGGATACATCTTGGACTTTGCTGTTTCTCTCATATCCCCCCAAGCTCTATGCCTGTCTGTCAGTAGTAGGAAGTTAATGGTACAACAAATTGCCTTTTACCTTAGAAGTGATGTTCCAGCTTGCCCTAGACTGCTGGACCCTCAAACTCCACCAGTGTGTCAGGCCTCACCAGTGTAAAGTCTTCTCTTGAGTTAATCTCTCCCCTTTTGGCATGACTGTCTTAGTAGACCATAAACAGAACTTGCCACTTCCTGCTCAATAATGTGATGTTATAAATACAATAGACTAGTGTGATGCTGTGAAGAATGTCAAGATGATCAAAAAGAGACCATGACAGTCAGAGAGCAAAATAGTCAACATGTGAAGGAAAAATGCTTTTGATCATTCCTGATAAGGAGTACAAAGAAGGAATAATTCTCAAATAGTGACATAGTAAACACGATTTTTGAACTGCTCCATTAAACATACCATTTCTGGAGTAGTGACTACAACTGGGGCTACTGTCTCATTAGGTCTTTGTTGAACCTATATGTCCCAATTGGCTTTTGCACAGATTAGATAAATGATTTGAATAGCATATGATGGTACCCACAGCTCCTGAGTCTTTAACACCTTCATGCTGGCCCTAACCTTTGCAATTTCTCCTGCAAATTGCAAGTTTAGGCGTTTCTCCTTGGCTTTTACTGTTATAACAACCTTTACTTCTCAGATCTGAAAACTTGCATGAAACCTCTGCCCACTTCAATAGATAATCTCAGTTATACACTTGCAAACTTGGAGAATGACCTGGAAAACTCTACAGGACCATTGAACCTGCTATGAGAAGAAATTGGGTCAAAAGTTCAAATGTAAGACTCCTAAAAATTTCTAAGTATTCAATTCTCCCTAACGCTCTTGCACTGAGGAAAAGTAACAGAAATATCCACCCATTATGGTCTTGTAATAGTGCTGTAGGGTCTTTCCTCAGCAGAATCTAGTTTTTCCTCCTATTAGTGGGATCTAGGTCTGTGAGCTACCTTAGCTTTGCAAACTGATTAAGGGGCTTGGACTTTGATAGAGCTTTCCATTTGTGAGTTCTAGTTTTTTTTTATAAAAGCAATAGAGAATCACCACTGAAGCCACGATACTCTATTAGCCACAGGTTCCCCAGGCATCAGGCTTCTGGACTGTTACTCTGGGTCAATGCTGGTTACAGGAATTAGGTCCACATTGCATCTGATGGCTAACTGCTGGTACTTCCTCCACCAGAATTTAGCCAATGTCATTCATATTAGTTGTATGGCTGCATCATTCAGTCTCAACCCTGGCCTATGGATAACAGCCACTGAGTAGCTTCTAAAATGGGCCAATGCCCCATTCATTCATGCATTGCTTGGAGCCATAGTGAAGTGGGGAGGGTTGCGTTTGAATCCTCTGAGAATGAAGTCATGTAGGAGGTGTCTAATTTTGCATGTGCAATTCATTCTAGCATCCCAGCTTCTCTTATCCTTCTCACCCCTTCCAATCGCTATGCTAAGGAGATCTGGCAACTCCACCTTATTTACAGAAGGCATTGCTGTGTCCACTATTCCAGGGCCTTCACATCAGATTCTCAGGATCAGCTCTAGATGTCCTCCTAGAAACTTGAACCTCAAGGCACATGTGGTGCTACATAATCAATGACTTCTCTCTTATTTAGCTTTGTATTATTCTCCTCCAATTCCATAGTTACTGTCTTAAGATCCAAGTCCCAAGGCAGGCACAGCAGGAGTTTGCAGACAGAGGTGGGAGGATTGTTTGAGGCCAGTAATTAGAGATCAACCAAGGCAACACAATGAGACCCTATCTCTACATCAAATTAAAAGCTTATCTGGGTGTGGTAGCTCATGCCTGTAGTCCCAGCTACTCAGGAGACTGAGGCAGAAGAATTGCTTGAGACTGGGAGTTTGAAGCTGCAGTGTGCTGTGACTGTGCCACTGAATACCAGCTGGGATTGTAGAGCAAGACCCTGTATCTAAAAACTAGCAAACAAACATACAGGTCAGTGTTGCAACTCCTCTGACATGCAGGAATTTGTTTCTGAATGTTTGAAATGCTTGTTCTCCGGTGTTGTAAAGAAATAGCACTTGAACCTAAATGTAATTTATTTAGTAAGGCCATTTTTAGTTCCTACAGAAAGGGTACACTTGCCAGCAGTTTTGTCATGAAAGTACACCGAAGAAAGCAGACAGGGTCATTTATAACCTGATGTGTCCAGCGATTTCCATTCGCTGGAATAGGACCTCACATTCTGTATTTGTCCTGATTGACTAGCAACTTAGAATTTTTTAAAAGAGGCAAAGGTAGATGATAACAAAGAAAGGAGGAAGTAACCTGTGGAAGGCTGAGAAAGGAAAAAATAATAATGACTATTATTATTATTATACTTTAAGTTTTTGGGTACCTGTGCACAACGTGCAGCTTTGTTACATATGTATACATGTGCCATGTTGGTGTGCTGCACCAATTAACTTGCCATTTAGCATTAGGTATATCTCCCAATGCTATACCTCCCCCCTACCCCCACCCCACAACAGTCCCTAGTGTGTGACGTTCCCCTTCCTGTGTCCATGTGTTCTCATTGTTCAATTCCCACCTATGAGTGAGAACACGCAGTGTTTGGTTTTTTGTCCTTGTGATAGTTTGCTGAGAATGATGGTTTCCAGCTTCATCTATGTCCCTATAAAGGACATGAACTCATCATTTTTATGGCTGCATAGTATTCTGTGGTGTATATGTGCTACACTTTCTTAATCCAGCCTATCATTGTTGGATATTTGGCTTGGTTCCAAGTTTTTGCTATTGTTAATAGTGCCGCAGTAAACATACGTGTGCATGTGTCTTTATAGCAGCATGATTTATAATCCTTTGGGTATATATGCAGTAATGGGATGGCTGGGTTGAATGGTGTTTCTAGTTCTAGATCCCTGAGGAATTGCCACACCAACTTCCACAGTGGTTAAACTAGTTTACAGTCCCACCAACAGTGTAAAAATGTTCCTATTTCTCTACATCCTCTCCAGCACCTGTTGTTTCCTGACTTTTTAATGATTGCCATTCTAACTGGTATGAGATGGTATCCCATTGTGGTTTTGATTTGCATTTCTCTGATGGCCAGTGATGATGAGCATTTTTTCGTGTGTTTTTTGGCTGCATAAATGTCTTCTTTTGAGAAGTGTCTGTTCAAATTCTTTGACCACGTTTTGATGGGGTTGTTTGTTTTTTTCTTGTAAATTTGTTTAAGTTCATTGTAGATTCTGGATGTTAGCCCTTTGTCAGATGCGTAAGTTGCAAAAATTTTCTCCCATTCTGTAGGTTGCCTGTTCACTCTGATGGTGGTTTCTTTTGCTGTGCAGAAGCTCCTTAGTTTAATTAGATCCCACTTGTCAATTTTGTCTTTTGTTGCCATTGCTTTTGGTGTTTTAGACATGAAGTCCTTGACCATGCCTGTGTCCTGAATGGTATGTCCTAGGTTTTCTTCTAAGGTTTTTATGGTTTTAGGTCTAACATGTAAGTCTTTAATCTAACTTGAATTAATTGTAGTATAAGGTGTAAGGAAGGGATCCAGTTTCAGCTTTCTGTATATGGCTAGCCAGTTTTCCCAGCACCATTTATTAAATAGGGAATCATTTCCCCATTGCTTGTTTTTGTCAGGTTTGTCAAAGATCAGATAGTTGTAGTTACATGGCATTATTTCTGAGGGCTCTGTTCTGTTCCATTGATGTATATTGCTGATTTGGTACAAGTACCATGTGGTTTTGGTTACTGTAGCCTTGTAGTATAGTTTGAAGTCAGGTAGCATGATGCCTCCAGCTTTGTTCTTTTGGCTTAGTATTGACTTGGTAATGTGGGCTCTTTTTTGGTTCCATATGAACATTAAAGTAGTCTTTTCAAATTGTGTGAAGAAAGTAATTGGTAGCTTGATGGGGATGGTATTGAATCTGTAAATTACCTTGGGGAGTATGGTCATTTTCATGATATTGATTCTTCCTGCCCATGAGCATGGAATGTTCTTACATTTGTTTGTATCCTCTTTTATTTCATTGAGCAGAGGTTTGTAGTTCTCCTTGAAGAGGTCTTTCACATCCCTTCTAAGTTGGATTCCTAGGTATTTTATTCTCTTTGAAGCAACTGTGATTGGGAGTTCACTCATGATTTGGCCCTCTGTTTGTCTGTTATTGGTGTATAAGAATGCTTGTGATTTTTGCACATTGATTTTGTATCCTGAGACTTTGCTGAAGTTGCTTATCAGCTTAAGGAGATTTTGGGCTGAGACGATGGGGTTTTCTAGATATACAATCATGTCATCTGCAAACAGGGACAATTTGACTTCTTCTTTTCCTATTTGAATACCATTTCTTTCTTTCTCCTGCCTGATTGCCTTGGCCAGAACTTCCAACACTATGTTGAATAGGAGTGGTGAGACAGGGCATCCCTGTATTGTGCCAGTTTTCCAAGGGAATCCTTCCAGTTTTTGCCCATTCAGTATGATATTGGCTGTGGGTTTGTCATAGATAGCTCTTATTATTTTGAGATACGTCCCATCAATACCTAATTTATTGAGAGTTTTTAGCATGAAGAGTTGTTGAATTTTTTCAAAGGCCTTTTCTGCATCTATTGAGATAATAATCTGGTTTTTGTCTTTTCTTCTTTTATATGCTGGATTACATTTATTGATTTTTGTATGTTGAACCAGCCTTGCATCCCAGGGATGAAGCCCACTTGATCATGGTGGATAAGCTTTTTGATGTGTTGATGGATTCGGTTTGCCAGTATTTTATTGAGGACTTTTGCATCAATGTTCATCAAGGATATAGGTCTAAAATTCTGTTTTTTGTTGTGTCTCTGCCAGGTTTTGGTATCAGGATGATGCTGGCCTCATAAAATGAGTTAGGGAGGATTCCCTCTTTTTCTATTGATTGGAATAGTTTCAGAAGGAATGGTACCAGAGGTACCTTGTACTACCTTGTACCTCTGGTAGAATTCGGCTGTGAATCCATCTGGTCCTGGACTTTTTTTGGATGGTAGGCTATTAATTCCTGCCTCAATTTCAGAACTTGTTATTTGTCTATTCAGAGATTTGACTTCCTCCCGGTTAAGCTGCTGTAGCTAGACTGACTGTCTAGATTTCTCCTCTCTGGACTGGGCATCTGTGAAAAAAATGGCAGAAACCCCAGTCAGGGGCATATAGATAAAACCCCCACCTCTCTGGGACAGAACACCTGGGGGAAGGACTGGCTGTGAGTGCAGCTTCAGCAGACTCACACATCCCTGCCAGCTGGCTCTGAAGAGAGCAGTGGATCTCCCAGTTCAGTATTTGAGAACTGCTAAGGGTCAGACAGCGCCGTCAAGTGGGTCCCTGACCACCATGTCTCAGGACTTCCCAGAAGGGGGTCCCAGAAGAGGCTGACAGACAACCTCCCAGAAGGGGCTGACAGACAACTCGTAGATGAGAGCTCCAGCTGGCATCTGGTAGATGCCCCTCTGGGACAAAACTTCCAGAAGAAAGAATAGGAAGCAATCTTTGTGGTTCCGCAGCCACCACTGGTGATACCCAGGCAAACAGGATCGAAAGTGGACCTCTAGCAAATTCCAGCACACCTGCAGCAGAGGTACCTGGCTATTAGAAGGAAAACTAACAAACAGAAAGAAATAGCATCAACATCAACAGAAAGGATGTCCACTCAAGAACCCCATCTGAAGGTCACCAACATCAAAAATCAAAGGTAGATAAATCCATGAAGTTGGGGAGAAACCAGCACAAAAAGGCTGAAAATTCCAAAAACCATAGTGTGTCTTCTCCTCCAAAGGATGTGAGCAAAGCAACAAAACTGGATGGAGAATGAGTTTGATGAGTGGACAGAAGTAGGCTTCAGAAGGTGGTTAATAAATTTTCCAATCTAAAGTAGCATGTCCTAACTGAAAACAAGGAAGCTAAGAACCTTGATAAAGGTTACAAGAACAGCTAACTAAAAAAAAAACAGTGTAGAGGAGAATACAAATGACCTGATGAGGCTGAAAAACACAGCAAGAGAACTTTGTGAAACATACACAAGTACAAATAGCCAAATTGATCTAGCAGAAGAAAGGATATCAGAGATTGAAAACTGACTTAATGAAATAAAGCATGAAGGCAAGATTACAGAAAAAAAGAATGAAAGCAACAAACAAAGCCTCCAAGAAATATGGGACTTTGTGAAAAGACCAAACCTAGGTGGTGTGCCTGAAAGTGAAGGGGAGAATGGAACCAAGTTGGAAAACATTCTTCAGGATATTATCCAAGAGAACTTCCCCACCTTGCAAGACAGGCCAACATTCAAATTCAGGAAATATAGAGAACACCACAAAGATAATCCTCGAGAAGAGCAAGCACAAGACCCACAATCATCAGATATACCAAGGCTGAAATGAAGAAAAATTGTTAATGGCAGCCAGACAGAAAAGTCAGTTTACCCACAAAGGGAAGCCCATCAGACTAACAGCAGATCTCTCTGCAGAAACCCTACAGAGAGTGGGGACCAATATTCAACACTCTTAGAGAAAAGAATTTTCAACCCAGAATTTCATATCCAGCCAAACTAAGCTTCATATATGAAGGAGAAATAAAGTACTTTATAGACAAGCAAATGCTGAGAGATTTTGTCACCAACAGGCCTGACTTATAACAGCTCCTGAAGGACGCACTAAACATGGAAAGGACCAACTGGTACCAGCCATTGCAGAAGCATACCAAATTGTAAAGACTATTGACACTATGAAGCAACTGCATGAACTAATGGGCAAAATAACCAGCTAGCATCATAATGACAGGATCAAATTCACACATGATAATATTAACCCCAAGTATTAAATATTACTTAAATATTTGTATTAACTATTAAATATTTACTTAAATGTAAATGGGATAAATGCCCCAATTAAAAGACACAGACTGTCAAATTGGATAAAGAGACAAGATCCATCAGTGTGCTCTATTCAGGAGACCCGTCTCACATGCAAAGACACACATAGATTCAAAATAAAGGGATGGAGGAATATTTACCACATAAATAGGAGGGAAGAAAAAGCAGGGGTTGCAATACTTGTCTCTAATAAAACAGACTTTAAACCAACAAAGATAATAAAGACAAATAAGGACATTACATAATGGTAAAGGAATCAATGCAACAAGAAGAGCTAACTCTCCTAAATATATATGCACCCAATATAGGAGCACCCAGATTCATAAAGTAAGTTCTTAGAGACCTACTAAGAGACTTAGACTCCCACGCAATAATAGTGGGAGATTTTAACACCTCCCTGTCAATATTTGACAGATCAATGAATCAGAAAACTAACAAAGATATTCAGGACTTGAACTCAGTCCTGGACCAAGCAGACCTAATAGACATCTACAGAACTACCCACCTCAAATCAACAGAATATACATTCTTCTTAGCACCACATCTCACTTATTCTAAAATTGACCACATAATTTACGGAAGTAAAACACTCCTCAGCCAATGCAAAACAATGGAAATCATATCCAACAGTCTCTCAGACCACAGTGCAATCAAATTAGAACTCAGGATTGAGAAACTCACTCAAAACTGCACAGCTACATGGGATCTGCACAATCTGCTCCTGCATAACTACTGGGTAAATACCCAAATGAATGCAGAAATAAAGATGTTCTTTGAAACCAATGAGAGCAAAGACACAATGTACCAGAATCTCTGGGACACAGCTAAAGCAGTGTTTAGAGAGAAATTCGTAGCACTAAATGCTCACAGGAGAAAGGAGGAAAGATCTAAAATTGACACCCTAACATCACAGTTAAAAGAACTAGAGAAGCAAAAGCAAGCAAATTCAAAAGCTAGCAGAAGATGAAAAATTACTAAGATCAGAGCAGAACTGAAAGAAACAGTGACATGAAAAGCCCTTCAAAAAATCAGTGAATCCAGGAGCTGTTTTTTTGAAAAGATCAACAAAATAGATTGACTGCTAGCCAGACTTAAAAAGAAGAAAAGAGAGAAGAATCAAATAGATGCAAGAAAAAATTATAAAGGGGATATCACCACTGATCCCACAGAAATATAAACTATCATCAGAGAATACTATAAACATCTCTGTACAAATAAACTAGAAAATCTAGAAGAAATGGATAAATTCCTGGACACATACACCCTCCCTACATATACCCTCCCAAGTCTAATCCTCCACAGATTTTTCTTAGCATGAGGCTTTTTTTTTGATCCCTGCCTCAAGGCCAGTGGCTTATCAATGGAGTATTGAAGTAATTGAGCACATGAAAATACAGAATGGGTTTCACTCCACTCTTAAGCATCTGACTTGTAATGGAAAAAAATGGACAACTGAAGTTTCAGGGATACAGGGATTTGCCTCTTTTCCTAGCACCATGTCTTGCAGCTTGTACCAAGTTATTGTCAGTGGATTTCTCCTATATAGGTTTTGGGCAAAGTTTCTCAACCTTGGTACTGCTGACTTTTTGGACCAGATAATTTTTCATAGTAGCAGTTGACCTGGACATTGGAGGATGTTTAGCAGAATCTCTGTTCACTACCCACTGGATGACAGTAGCACATCCTGCCTCAAGTTGTAAACTTAAAAAATGTATTCAGACACTGCCAAACATCCCCGGGGTGAGGGCATAATCATCGCCAATTGAGATCCCTGGTTTAGAGCAGTTGGAAAGCTCTAATTTATCTTATTGGAGAACTGACATATTACAGCAAACAATAATAACAACAACAGAAATATATGTTCCAATGTTTGGAAGTCTTCTCCTAACCTAAATTGTGTGCAAGTGTCTGACCTATAGAACAGAGACTGTGTGTGTGTGTACGTGTGTGGGCATATATTATATATATATATGTATATATTTGTGTGTGTGTATATATACATAGAAGTGTGTGTATATATAAAAAATAGTGTGTGTGTGTATATAAATCTTCTCCAATAGATAGTATGTTGAGTATGTGCTGCGATAGTGTTTGAATTACTCCAGCAATTCAAGTCACATAATGGGAGACCATAACAGGATAATTTTTTTCCCATCTACTCAGACACCACTAAATTTAATTCTTCGGGCACCAGATGGGTGGAAGTTTGTCCAAACATGCCAAGAAATTCTCCTGTGGACAGCAGCTGGATGTCCTGTAGTTAAGTTCATTTCTGATGCTACCTAGAGATGGTGTCAAATCCCACAGGTTGAGGACTGAGTCGCAGAAGACTGCCCCCCACCCCTGCAATCCTCTCAATGTCAGTCACAAATCCCAGGTGTGACCTGTGCTTCTGACTGGCTATAAAAAGTGGGTATTCCCATAACCTTCTCGTCAGGTTAAGTGAATTTTCAAGAGTGGTCACAGAACTCAGTAAAACACTTTATTTACATTTATCTGGTTATTAGGAAGGATATTACAAAAGATACAGATGAATGAACAGATAGAAGGGATTCATAGGGCGAGGGATATGACAGCATGTGCAGAGCTTCCATGCTCTTTCTGGGTCCATAATCCTCCAGGAAGCTCCATGTTATCTGATATCTGGATGTTTCTGATATCTGATATCTGGATATAAATAAATTTCTGTTATTTACAAACCCCACCTGCTATGGTTTGGCTGTTTCCCACCCAAATCTCATACATTGTATCTTAATTGTAGTTCCCTTAATCCCCAAGTGTTGTGGAAGGAACCAGGTGGAGATAATAGAATAACGTGGGCAATTTCCCCCAACATGTTCTCATGTTAATGAGTGAGATCTTATGAGATCTGATGGTTTTATACGGGGCTTTTCCCTGCTTCACTCAGCACTCCTTCCTGCCACCAAGTGAAGAAGGACGTGTCTACTTCCCCTTCCGCCATGATTGCAAATTTCCTGAGGCCTCCCCAGCCCTGTGGAACTGTAAGTCAATTAAACGTCTTCTCTTTTTAAATTACCTAGTTTTGAGTATGTCTTTATTGGCACCATGAGAACGAACCAACACACCACTCTTTGGGGCTTGTTGTGGAGTCTTTATGATGCAGGTATGATTGGTTAAATCACTGGTCATTGGTGATTATGCCATGTTCTGAATGTATGTGTCTACTCAAATTCATAGTGATGGTATTAACAGGTAGGGCCTTTTAGGAAGTGATAAAATCAGGAGCATTCTGCCTTTATGAATGGGAGTAGTTCTCTTGGAAAGAAACTTGATGGGAGCATTGTAATCTTTTTAGCACCTTCTTTTATGTAAGGACCCAGCAACAGGTGCTATCTCTGGAGCAGAGCAAGCCCTCATCCAAAACTGAATCAGCAGACATACTTCCTTGGACTTCCCAGCCTCAAGAACTGCAAGAAATGAATTTCTGTTATTTACAAATTACCCGGGATAAGAGAGATAGTCTGTCATAGCAGCATGAATGTATAAGAGAGTGATCAATTAAAACTTCAACTCTTCTCCCCTCCCCAAGGTCAAGAGTTGGAGCCACAAGCTCCAACCCTCTAATGACAAGGTTGTTTTCTTGGCCATTAGCCTGCATCCTGAGGCTCTCCTGGAGCCCACTGAGAGTCGCATTACAAGAAAAAAAACATTTTCCTATCACCTAGGAAATTCCTACAAATTTAGGAACTCTTTGATGGAAACTGAGGGTTAAAGACCAAGTCATAGAACCAAAGATTCTCCTAGCACCCCTACGTATGTGGTTTTAGAAACTCTGTGTCAGGACTCAGGGTACAGAGAACAAAAGATATATTTCTTAGTATGTCACAATATCTCACAGGCACTTTAGGAGAGTATTGGATGGACCTGGACACACCTGTCCTGGGTCATTCAGGCTATTTCCAGCTAGGTCATTACTAACTCAAAAACAGGCCAGTAGTGTCACACTGACTGACTTGAGAGAGGGAACAGAAATAACATTCCTCCTCCTCCATTCATTTCCCCAAAAAAACCATTTCTACTATGAGGAAAAATTACAGCAGGTACTTGCTCTTTTGCTGTATAGGTGCTGTCTTTTCTTTCTGCATTCAGCTTTCTTTAAATTACCACCTCTTTCCTCCCCATCCTCCTCCTCTTCTTCTATCTCCTTCTCTTTCTCTCTTTTCCACCCCTCTCCCCCTTTTTTCTCCTCTCTCTCTCACATGCACACATACACACTTACCCAGTTTTGAAGTAACACTCTGATTTCTCTCAAAGGAAGAAAAAATAACTCAATAATCTCATTATTGATGAGATCTGATTGGCTAAAACATAACTTCTTCCAAGATAGTATTTGAAAAATTGTTTTGGCCAGGCACAGTGGCTCATGCCTGTAATCCCAGCACTTTGAGAGGTCGAGGTGGGTGGATCATGAGCCTGGCCAATATGATGAAACCCCATCTCTACTAAAAAATACAAAAATTATCAGGGTGTGGTGGTGTGCATCTGTAGTTCCACCTACTCAGGAGGCTGAGGCAGGATAATTACATGGAACCAGGAGGCAGAGGCTGTAGCAAGCCGATATTTTGCCACTACATGCCAGCCTGGGTGACAGAGTGAGACTCTGTCCCCAAAAAAAGTTATTTGGAACATTCTTTAAAAACATTAGGTTAATTTCAGCAAATATGTATTGAGCGTGTCATAAGCATCTGACAAGCAAATAAAAGTGAGGCACTGCAATGTGGGTTGTGTGTGTGTGTGACTGTTTGGAGCCAGTGAGTCTTCCTGAAGAAAAACTATAAGCACTCGATCCACCTAAGCATAGTCACAAGTGTAAATGAAAAGGTAGAAAAAATCAGAATGAATCATTTGACCATAATGAATTGTCAGTATTTTAAGCTCTGAGAGATTCCTCTCTAAAAATTCCCATTAAGACCTATTGCTGGTATCTTGTTAATGTCTCTAATCAGATTTTTTTTTAAAGCTGGTGTATTTTTTTAACAATTGCTTATATATTGTCTCTCTTCCTTTCCAGTAGCAATATTTGTTTCCTATTTTAAGGGAGTAGGTCTATGTTGGAGTTGAATGTTCATTCCCTAATTGATTAACGTGTAAATACATGTCAGTTCTCAGACACAGAAGTAGGCAGGGTATGTACCTACAAATTAAGGAGGCACAGCAGAATATTTCAGTAATAATGCATTTCTTCATAGAAGAAATTTACTAATGAGTGTTATATGATATAATACCAGCTAAGCCTATTTCCATCATGTAAGAATAATTTTTATGCTTGGTATTTTTTCTGATGGATGTTTCCCAGTTGTCTCTCTCTTCCTGAGGTGTCCCCTACAGAGTGTGGGCACTATGCAGTTAATGTAAAACTGCTGGCTCAGCCAAGTTTCCCCAAATAGGCCCACACTGCAAGTGGTTCCTCCCCAGTGGAGGCATCTGTCATTACAGACAGGATCTAACAAAAGGGCATCTGAGTAATGCAGAGTTTTGAAACAGCATCAAAGTGCACATGCATGCACACTCACAAAAACACACACTCACCTCTTATTCTGTTTCTTCTCAAAGCATCCTCTTGAACAACCTAACAAAGAAGACAATTGCAGGCACATCAGGACCTTCACAGGACAACACAGTGCAGAGTTCAAACTCCAGCAGTTTCTAATTCTACCAACTCGGGGGGACTGGAATAGGGGATAGAAATAGGATGAAGACAAAAGCAATGTATGCCACGAAGCTTGAACAGGAACAAAGCCAGTTCTGTTATGCTGAACTGGCTTTGTTACGGAGGGACTGAGATTGTTCTGAAATTATTTTCAGAGCTATTTTGCACCTATGAGACACTCATGTGGTTGAATATAACATATACAAATAGCAGTATAATAGCTAGTCAGAGCAGTGACATGGAATTCAGATCGTTTTCTTTGCTCTTACAATTACTTCATATTTTTCTATAGCTTTTGATTCCTTTTAGTTTATATTTCAAGTGCCCAGGAAATGACATCACATTTTGCAACCCTGATCCACCCTTGTTTTTACTGATACTCTGAATTTTCCCATTGGCCTCCCTATGTCAAGCTTTGAAGTAAAGAATTCAAGCAAGTAGGACATTCAGGTGGGTGGTCACTGGACTTAGGAAATTATAGAATAAAGCAACTGATGAATAGTTTCAAAGAGGATTTTCAGCTGCAAGACATGGAGATCCAGGTGTGTTGGTGTAATCTCGTAGCATTTTGAAGGACATAATCAAATATTAGGAACATTAATCCAAGGCTTAGAAATTATTCTCATTAAATAGTATGGAATTACTCAGTAGGGTATGGAATTAGATACTTATTGGTCTGAATTTACAGTTTGGCTCTGTCACATAACAGCAGGGTATAAAAATTCCTACTTCATGTGGTTGGTAAAAGAATTAATTAAATTGTATTCTTGCTACCAGCAAGGGAGATATGGGAAAAGGAAGTTGGACATGAAGCAGTGGAAAGCAAGGACAAACTGGAGCCTTCTAGGATAACTGGACACTCATGGAATTACTTGAAAGCTTCAAGAACATGTAGAGCCAATAAGGATAACCTGGAGCCCATGCAGACTAGTTGGAGCCTGCCAAGACAATCTGGATCCCACATCTCTTTAATTTCACATTTAAACCAAACCATACAGTTATCTGAAGAAAAAGCCAGTGCCCTTTGAGTGAAACTGCATGTGCATCTGTCATGGGGCCTGGAGTTATTGGAGGAGGTGCTTGGAAGGATTTGGAGGAGTTGTAGACCTACTGACCACATCATACCAACATGGAGTTGAAGTGACCAATGACAATTTGAACTGGTGCATCCTCGTTTGGCCCCATGTCAACCTTCTGTAATAGCTGGTAATTCTTCATATCTTCCTTGTATTACCAAACTCAACTTGGGTTTACCCATCTGGCAAAGCAAAGCCAGACTCTGACATCAGGGTTTGCAGTGAGAGAAAGTGAGGTTTTTAAAGGCAGGGAGGCAGAGGTTATAGGCAAAGTCATAAATCAATACACAGAGGCTGTACATTGCTTTGACCTAGTAAGGCAGTTTATGTTGAAGTGGAAGCTTACAGGTGGATTCAGAAATTTTCTGATTTGCCATTGGTTAAGGAGGCAGAGCTTTGTCTAAAGACTTGTGGTCAGCAGAAAAGAATGTTTGCTCTCGTCCATGGGTGTGACTTCTTCCAAGACCCTCAGGAATAAATTTAGAGCAAAGGATGGCAGTCAGTTATCAGTCCTCAGTCTCTGCTTATCTGATGTCTAGATCCAGGTATGTTGGTATAAGCCTCAAAGAGTCTCCTATCATTTTGAGAGACATAGAAGAAATTAAGAACAAGACTCAAGGGCTTAGAAATTCCTCTCATGAGACAGTATGGAATCACTCACTAGCATTTGGAATTAGAGACATTAGAAAATGGATGGCATTTTCCATTTGGAAGTAGTCTGCATTCCTGAAAAATTAGGACCATATGTCAAGATATTATCTTTAGTTTCTATAAGGACCCAAATATTTTGAGGCTGTAACTTCCTTAAATATTGTTGTAAGCTATTTTTACCTCTTTGCTTATCAGGTGCTTCTTTACTTCTCAGGTCTAGCTAGGTGCCTGGAATTCCCGTAGGGACTCAGGATGTTCCTTTATATCTATGCACAGCAGGGATGGAAGAGGGTGTTGGCAGGTCTCTAAGAGGGTTCTCTGCCACATATCATCAGTCTCAAAAAATTTTCTTTGTGGCCAACCTTAACCCAGAGTCATCCAGGAAAACAAATTCTGAAAAGCATAGAACTCTTTTAACTACATGAACACAATAAAAAACTCTAAAGCAGGGTTTCTTCTATTACAGGTAAAGGATAAATGCTCATGTCTTTAAAAGCCAGAGAATACTGCTTTCATGAACTTCTGACAGTGAAATTCACCTGCTGCACAAAGGAGCCTATTTTAAGAGATAAAGTACACACTGGAATTTAGCCTTGTGGTATCTCAAGTCATGATGAGAAGGCTTTTGGTTAGAACATTTCTTTCTCTGAGATCACATAACTGCAGGAGAAAATACCAACATCAACAACCCAACCAAAATGTTTTTATTTGGTGAATGTTAGGTTCAAAGTTTTGTCTGGACAATATTTGGAATGGCTCAGAAGTACTATCATAGGTTTCATTTCTTCATTCATGTCTCATCTCTGTAGCATCATTTTCACCCAAACTCTGAAGATAAATAGCATTGAGCCATTGAAGATGAAACCCACTTAGCAATCCCTATGTGGAAGATAATGCCATCGACCACCTTCTGTCTTAGGAATACATTTAAAAAATGGAAATAATGCTTCTCTGCACCTACTCTTTCACTTGTACTGCCTTATTAAAAACCAAGTCTTCTTTAAACAGGAGACTCAGCACATTTGTCTACTCTGCTGCCCCAAGCCAAGTGAGTGTAAATCCTTAAATCCTACAAGTGCATGCACATGGCCACCAAGGCACAAGCACATCATGCAGTGTTAACTTGAAGTAACAAATGAGGACTATTCCAGGACTTCCAGAGGTTCCTGTTCTGAGCCACTGTTACATCCTGAGAGATGGCCACTCTCCATTCAATGGAGATTTTTTTCCCCTTTTCGTAACATGAGGCATAAGCATCTGAGTAAAGTGTAGTTATTTTTGAGTCTGACAAGTGAGCATATATTATTGTTTGGCATGTCTTCTTTAATGTTCAAGCTCAAGACAAAAATCTAAAAAATACAGAAAATGTCTAGGTAGAGAATTACTGATCTACACTTGAAGAGTTAAAAAAAATCCAATAGATATTTCACCCACAATTTTTTCCCCTACTCTGGGGAAGATCTTTTACTTGAAAAGTATGACTCTAGATTATCTAGTCTGTAGCTATGATGGTACCAATATTGCAATGGAATCCAACATGAAACTTACATACATTTTATTACCCGGACTTATTCTCCTTTTTGAAAAATTAATTACTGTAAAATTGGCCATGTTGACACTCATAAGAATGTTATTTATTTGACAAATATTGAAATAGACCATTTGAACAGATGCAGTCTTAATATATTGAAGAAATGCCAATCCTGAAAATGCTACAGAGATTTTCCTCCATATATTTTTGTCTAAAGAAATTGGATTTAGCTACCAGAGACCACTCCTTATTTACTATTAGATTTACTGGAAACTGAAAGGACAGAATTATGTTGCCTCTATACTCTGACATATGCTGGGCATATATACAATACAATGAATGAGTACATTGGGTAAGAAATGAGAACTCCTTTATTTTTTCCCTGCTGCAAAAAAGGTACTTACTTAACATTCTCAGATATATGATACGCAATATTTTGTCTGGTAACAGGCCAAAAAGGTTATTGGGATACACTTTGTGATTTTTTTTGACAAACAACCTGCTATAGCACGTATTCTGCCAGGTCTGTCAGAATGAAATAACTTTGAAAATAGAAATGATTATATTTTGTCTGTCTTTAGTTTAAAAATGCAGTGAGTTCCCTTGAAATATGATTTCCAAGTTTTGAAGTCATTATGAATGAGTGCATTCCATTCTAACTCCAGAGGTTTTCCAAGGGAGAAATTGATGGGCCCAGGACGGAGATACACACCTGTCTTGTCCATACAATTCAATAGGCTTCGTAGATAAATCTTTTATCAATGTAAATGTCCTTTTTAAGTCTAATTTATAAAGAATTGTTGTGCTTAATTCCCTTGTTCTCTGTAGAATGATTTTTCAGAAGTCATTACTCTTTTCTCTATTTCTTTTCAGTTTTAAAGATTTGGACATTAAAAATTAACATTTTTCTTCACTGTGACTAATTTCCTAAGACACTAAAATGATGTAGAGTGTATACTATGAAGTAGGATTGCCCGGTTACTAATCTTAATTCTGCATTTACTAAACGTGTGATCTTAGGTAAAAGACTGGACTTCTAGGTTATTCTAGATTACTTTTTGGTTTGTTTTGCTGTAAAATGGGGATAATAAAAGTACTTTATCAAGTTGTGGTGATGATCAAGAATTTATATAAAGTGCATTGGACATTACATGGTGCTTAGGACATCTCTTTTTTCAATATTCTTGCTTCCATTCTCTTAATCTAGTGTGATATTTTAATCAATTTGGGGTAATGTTGATTTGATATCATACCTGAACATTTGATATGTCTTCATTCCTTACTTTCAACAGTGTTAGGTTTTTGTTTGTTTGTTTTGTGTCCATAAAGAGGAGTGACTTCACTTCAGCATTGATTTTTCACCTTGAAAAATAAAGCAAAATAACAGATTCCCTTTGGGGACAATCAAAGATAAAATCAAGCAATCCATTTACCCTACCTGTATGATTTTCTATTTTCTCCCCATTTCTTCCAAACATCCAGGTACCTTTGAGTACAAACATAAGATACCTTTGAGGACTGTGTGTGGGTAATAATATGTAGGTTCATCTCACTGGGGATTGTCAGACAGTGGGTGCAGGACAGTGGGAGCAGAGCACTGAGCATGAGCCAAAGCACAGCGAGGCATCACCTCACCTGGGAAGCACAAGGGGTCAGGGAATTCCCTTTCCTAGCCAAGGAAAGGGGTGATGGATGGCACCTGGAAAATTGGGTCACTCCCACCCTAATACTGCGCTTTTCTGTTGGTCTTAGCAAATGGCACACCAGGAGACTATATCCTACACCTGGTTCGGAGGGTCCTATGCCCATGAAGCCTCACTTATTACTCTCACAACAGTCTGAGATCAAACTTCAAGGCAGCAGTGAGGCTAGGGGAGGGAGGCCCACCATTGTCAAGGCTTGAGTAGCTAAACAAAGTGGCCAGGAATCTAGAACTGCATAGAGCCCACTGCAGCTCAAGGAGGCCTGCCTGCCTCTGTAGACTCCATCTCTGGTGGCAGGGCATAACCAAACAAAAGGCAGCAAAAACCTCTGCAGACTTAAATGTCCCTGTCTGACTGCTTTGAAGAGAGTAGTGGTTCTCCCAGCACACAGCTGGAGATCTGACAATGGACAGACTGCCTTCTCAAGTGGGTCCCTGGCCCCTGAGTAGCATAACTGGGAGGCATCCCCAAGTAGGGGCAGACTGACCCCTCACATGCCTGGGTACCCCTCTGAGACAAAACTTTCAGAGGAACGATCTGGCAGCAACATTTGCTGTTCACCAATATCCGATGTTCTGCAGCCTCCACTGCTGATACCCAGGAAAACTGGGTCTGGAGTGGACCTCTGGCAAACTCCAACAGACCTGCATCTGAAGATTCTGACTGTAAGAAGGAAAATTAACAAACAGAAAGGACATCCACACCAAAACCCCATTTGTACATCACCATCATCAAAGACCAAAAGTAGATAAAACCACAAAGATGGGGAACAAACAGAGCAGAAAAACTGAATATTCTAAAAATCAGAGTGCCTCTCTTCCTCCAAAGGAATGCAGCTCCTTACCAGCAATGGAACAAAGCTGAATAGAGAATGACTATGATGAGTTGAGAGAAGGTTTCAGATGATCAAACTACTCCAAGCTAAAGGAGGAATTTCAAACCCATGATAAAAAAGTTAAAAACCTTGAAAAAGGATTAGACGAATGGCTAACTAGAAAAACCAATGCAGAGAAGTCCCTAAAGGACCTGATGGAGCTGAAAACCTTGGCACGAGAACTACGTGACAAATGCATAAGCCTCAGTAGCCGATTTGATCAACTGGAAGAAAGGGTATCAGTGATGTAAGATCAAATGAATGAAATGAAGCAAGAAGAGAAGTTTAGAGAAAAAAATAAAAAGAAATGAACAAAGACTCCAAGAAATATGGGACTATGTGAAAAGACCAAATCTACGTGTGATTGGTGTACCTGAAAGTGACGGGGAGAATATAACCAAGTTGGAAAACACTCTGCAAGATATTATCCCGGAGAACTTCCCCAATCTAGCAAGGCAGGCCAACATTCAAATTCAGGAAATACACAGAATGCCACAAAGATACTCCTCCAGAAGAGCAACTCCAAGACACATAATTGTCAGATTCACCAAAGTTGAAATGAAGGAAAAAATGTTAAGGGCAGCCAGAGAGAAATGTCGGGTTACCCACAAAGGGAAGCCCATCAGATTAACAGCAGATCTCTTGGCAGAAACTCTAGAAGCCAGAAGAGAGTGGGGGCCAATATTCAACATTCTTAAAGAAAAGAATTTTCAACCCAGAATTTCATATCCAGCCAAACTAAGCTTCATAAGTGAAGGGGAAATAAAATCCTTTACAGACAAGCAAATGCTGAGATTTTGTCACCACCAGGCCTGCCCTAAAAGAGCTCCTGAATGAAGCACTAAACATGGAAAGGAACAACCAGTGCCAGCCACGGCAAAAACATGCCAAATGGTAAAGAACATCAAGGCTAGGAAGAAACTGTATCAACTAACGAGCAAAATAGCCAGCTAACATCATAATGACAGGATCAAATTCACATATATCAATATTAACCTAAAATGAAAATGGGCTAAATGCTCCATTTAAAAGACAGAGACTGGCAAATTGGATAAAGAGTCAAGACTCATCAGTGTGCTGTATTCAGGAAACCCATCTCATGTGCAGAGACACATATAGGCTCAAAATAAAGGGACGGAGGAAGATCTACCAAGAAAATGGAAAACAAAAAAATGCAGGAGTTGCAATCCTAGTCTCAGATAAAACAGACTTTAAACCAACAAAGATCAGAAGGGAAAAAGAAGGCCATTGCATAATGGTAAAGGGATCAATTCAACAAGAAGAGCTAACTGTCCTAAATATATATGCACTCAATACAGGAACACCCAGATTCATAAAGCAAGTCCTTAGAGACCTAGAAAGAGACTTAGACTCCCACACAATAATAATGGGAGAATGGAACACCACACTGTCAACATTAGACAGATCAATGAGACAGAAAGTTAACAAGGATATCCAGGAATTCAACTCAGCTCTGCACCAAGAAGACCTAATAGACATTTACAGAACTCTCCACCCCAAATCAACAGAATATACATTCTTCTCAGCACCACACCTCACTTACTCCAAAACTGAACACATAGTTGGAAGTAAAGCACTCCTCAACAAATGCAAAAGATCAGAAATTATAACAAACTGTCTCTCAGACCACAGTGCAATCAAACTAGAACTCAGGATTAAGAAACTCACTCAAAATCGCTCAACTATATGGAAACTGAACAACCTGCTCCTGAATGACTACTGGGTACATAACAAAATGAAGGCAGAAATAAAGATGTTCTTTGAAACCAATGAGAACAAAGACACAACATACCAGAATCTCTGGGACACATTCAAAGCAGTGTGTAGAGGGAAATTTATAGCACTAAATGTCCACAAGAGAAAGCAGAAAAGATCTAAAATTGACACCCTAACATCACAATTAAAAGAACTACAGAAGCAAGAGCAAACAAATTCAAAACCTAGCGGAAGGCAAGAAGTAACTAAGTTCAGAGCAGAACTGAAGGAAATAGAGACACAAAAAAACCTTCAAAAAATCAGTGAATCCAGGAGCTTGTGTTTTGAAACGATCAACAAAATTGATAGACCACTAGCAAGACTAATAAAGAAAAGAGAGGAGAATCAAATAGATGCAATAAAAAATGAAAAAGGGGATATCACCACTGATCCCACAGAAATACAAACTACCGTCAGAGAATACTATAAACACCTCTATGCAAATAAACTAGAAAATATGGAAGAAATGGATAAATTCCTTGACACTACACTCTCCCAAGACTAAACCAGGAATAAGTTAAATCTCTGAATAGACCAATAACAGGCTCTGAAATTGAGGCAATAATTAATAGCTTACCTACCAAAAAAAGTCCAGGACCACACAGATTCACAGCTGAATTCTACCAGGGGTACAAAGAGGAGCTGGTACCATTCCTTCTGAAACTATTCCAATCAATAGAAAAAGAGGGAATCCTCCCTAACTCATTTTATGGGACCAGCATCACCCTGATATCAAAGTCTGGCAGAGACATAACAAAAAAAGAGAATTTTAGACCAATAGTCCTGATGAACATCGATGCAAAAATCCTCAATAAAATACTCGGAAACCAAATCCAGCAGCACATCAAAAAGCTTATCCATCATGATCAAGTGGGCTTCATCTCTGAGATGCAAGGCTGGTTCAACATACGAAAATCAATAAATGTAACCAAGCATATAAACAGAACCAATGACAAAAACCTCATGATTATCTCAATAGATGCAGAAAAGGCCTTCGACAAAATTAACAGACCTTCATGCTAAAAACTCTCAATAAATTAGGTATTGATGGGACATATCTCAAAATAATAAGAGCTATTTATGACAAACCCACAGCCAATATCATACTGAATGGGCAAAAACTAGAAGCATTCTCTTTGAAAACTGGCACAAGACAGGGATACCCTCTCTCACCACTCCTATTCAACATAGTGTTGGAGATTCTAACCAGGGCAATCAGGCAGGATAAAGAAATAAAGCGTATTCAATTAGGAAAAGAAGAAGTCAAACTGTCCCTGTTTGCAGATGACATGATGGTATATCTAGAAAACCCCATCGTCTCTGACCAAAATTCTCCTTAAGCTGATAAGCAACTTCATTCAGCATAGTCTCAGCATGCAAAAATCACAAGCATTTTTATACACCAATAACAGACAAACAGAGAGCCAAATCATGAGTGAACTCCCATTCACAATTACTTCAAAGAGAATAAAATACCTAGGAATCTAACTTACAGGGGATGTGAAGAACCTCTTCAAGGGGAACTACAAACCTCTGCTCAATGAAATAAAAGAAGATACAAAGAAATGGGAGAACATTCCATTCTCATGGGCAGGAAGAATCAATATCGTGAAAAAGGCCATGCTGCCCAAGGTAATTTATAGATTCAATACAATCCCCATCAAGCTTCCGATGACTTTCTTCACAGAATTGGAAAAAACTACTTTAAAGTTCATATGGAACCAAAAAAGAGCCCACATTGCCAAGTCAATCCTAAGCCAAAAGAACAAAGCTGGAGGCATCACGCTACCTGACTTCGAACTACACTACAAGGCTACAGTAACAAAAACAGCATGGTACTGGTACCAAAACAGAGATATAGATCAATGGAACAGAACAGATCCCTCAGAAATAATGCCACATACCTACAACTATCTGATCTTTGACAAACCTGACAAAAGCAAGCAATGCAGAAAGGATTCCCTATTTAATAAATGGTGCTGAGAAAACTGGCTAGCCATATGTAGAAAGCTGAAACTGGATCCCTTCCTTACACCTTATACTACAATTAATTCAAGATGGATTAAAGATTTAAATGTTAGACCTAAAACCATAAAAACTCTAGAAGAAAACCTAGGCCATATCATTCAGGAGATAGACATGGTCAAGGACTTCATGTCTAAAACACCAAAAGCAATCACAACAAAAGCCAAAATTGACAAATGGGATCTAAATAAACTAAAAAGCTTCTGCACAGCAAAAGAAACTACCATCAGAGTGAATAGGCAACCTACAGAATGAGAGAACATTTTTGCAATCTACTCATCTGACAAAGGGCTAATAACCAGAATCTACAATGAACTCAAACAAATTTATAGGAAAAAAACAAACAACCCCATTAAAAAGTGGGCAAAGGATATGAAGATAAACTTCTTGAAAGAAGACATTTATGCAGCCAAAAAACACATGAAAAAATGCTCACCATCACTGGCCATCAGAGAAATGCAAATCAAAATCACAAAGAGATACCATCTCACGCCAGTTAGAATGGCGATCATTAAAAAGTCAGGGAACAACAGGTGCTGGAGAGGATGTGGAGAAATAGGAACACTTTTACACTGTTGGTGGGACCATAATCTAGTTCAGCCATGTGGAAGTCAGAGTGGTGATTCCTCAGGGATCTAGTACTAGAAATACCATTTGACCCAACCATCCCATTACTGGGTATATACCCAGAGGATTATAAATCATGCTGCTATAAAGACACATGCACACATATGTTTATTGTGGCACTATTAACAATAGCAAAGACTTGGAACCAAGCCAAATGTCCAACAATGATAGACTGGATTAAGAAAATGTGGCACATATACACCATGGAATACTATGCAGCCATAAAAAATGATGAGTTCACGTCCTTTGTAGGGACATGGATGAAGCTGGAAACCATCATTCTCAGCAAACTACCACAAGGACAGAAAACCAAACACAGCATGTTCTCACTCATAGGTGGGAACTGAACAATGAGAACACATAGACATGGGAAGGGGAACATCACACACTGGGGACTGTTGTGGGGTTGGGGGAGGAGGGAGGGATAACATTAGAATATATACCTAATGCTAAATGAGGAGTTAATGGGTGCAGCACACCAACATGGCACATGTATACATATGTAACAAACCTGCACGTTGTGCACATGTACCCTAAAACTTAAAGTATAATAAAAAAAATGCCCAAAAGTCAGGGAGCACCAGGTGATAAGTGTCAGAAAGAGAAAATTGGGTGAAACAAAATTGTGTACAGTTCCCTTTTTCTCCTTTAGCATTGATACCTTCATGCTTTTTAAAGTATACTTTATATTTTGCTCTTATTTGGTGGTATGAAACATTCATCTCTGGAATAAAAGTAATAGAAACCAATGCAACTTTCACATTTTTCTGACACTATTCTTCCATTTATCAATAGCATATGAGCTAATTCATGATAAAGAAATGTGTATTTATCAGTAGAAAGACTGATGTTAAATGTGCAGGAGACAGAAGGTAGGTGGGGTGAGGTCTCAAATAATTTAGGATGAGATAGTGTCTGTACTTTGGATGTGAGTAATGCCTTAACCATGAAGTCTCAGCATCTAAGTCAATGCCCCCATCTTATAAGCAGACCATATCGAACAACTCATAGATTGTCAACTTTGCCTCCCAAGTGTAACTGGAAACATTTCTCAATTGTTAAAATCATTATCTACCATTTTTCTAAGTGTTTAGTGCACATCTCATAAAGCCACATGATGGGTACATTTTGGATAAATTGCAAGGTGAAGAGTTATGAAAGCTATCAGTAGATTATTTCATTTTTATCTCTCTCAGTTTTATATTCATTCTATTGTGTGTCACATACCTTGTTCCAGTATGAACTTATACACCTCCAGCTTGTCAGGCAGAACCAGCTTGTTCAAAGATCAAAATAGCAATTTTAAAATGGCCATGCCATATTGCAGTGGCTACAGAATTTGAGGGGGCATGTCCATGGTTCAGGCCTATCCTAGATGAAGTGGTAAAATATTGGTTTCAGTCTGTGCTAACCATAATCTAACTAGCAATTCTAATTCCTACCTTTTCAATGCTCCTATAATTTCCCTGTTCAGGATTCAGTGATATATCTAGGAAGTTGTTTCATAATTATCTGTGCATGTATTGATATCCCCAATTAAACTTGAACTTTAAGAGAGAAAGGTTTATATCCCTTCATCTCTGAATTCAAGCTCCTAGTCTCCTGTGTAGGAGCCAGAATGTGTTGCAATCAGGGATGGATGCATGAAAAGTAAAAGAAAAGGTCAGTTAATATTCCAACTACTGTCCATTAACCTAAACTGACTACACACATTCTATCTTTTACTACCAGACCTGAAGCACTTTAGGTAAGCATAAAGGTGGAGGTAAAATACCAGAACCTGAGACAGTCCTAGAAAGAGTAAAGCTAACTCCCTGTCACAGAATTGCTCATAGACAGGCAGCATGAAGGAAGAGAAAGGGTATCTTGTGTGAGAAGCAGACCTGGGTTCAAATTCTGACTGGAGCATTTTCTAGCTGTAGGAGTCTGGGTAAGTTATCTAGTCCATTGCTTCTCAAAGTATGGTTTCATGAGCTGCAGAATCAGCATCAGAATCACTTGCAAGCTCACTGGAAATGCATATTCCCAGGCTCCATTCCAGACATACCAAACTAGAACCAGAGTTTGAATTTTAACTAGGTCACCAGGTTATGTTTGTGCATGTTAAATTTTGAGAAGCACTGGACTAGACAGTCTGAATTTTCCTTTCCTCTACTGTAAAATAAGGAAAAAAATTATCAACCATCAGAAACATGAAGAATACAAAAATAGATGTCAAACACCTAGCATATAGTGACTATGGAAAAATGAAATCTATTAACAACAGTGATAATAATAAAAAACAGTAAAAACTTTAGATATTGAAGGTAAACAAAATTGGAAAAACAAACTATATGTAAGTTTGTATGCAGGTGTATATATATATATGTATATATATATATATATATTTTCCAATCTATGGCAATAAAGTTTCTAGAATTGTATTTAACTTAGATCATGGCAGTGGCTCTCAAACGGGGGCTCTCTTGTCCCAGGAAATATCTGGCATTGTCTGGGGACATTTTTGGATGCTATGGCTTGGTGGTAATAATATGAATGGCATCTAGTGGGCAAAGGCCTGGGGTGGCACTAAACTTCCTGCAATGCACAGAACAGCCTCCTAAAACAAGGAATTTTCCAGCCTCAAATGTTCATAGTGCTAAGAGTGAAAAACTGTGAAACTGATGCTTCTAGAAATGGCACATGTTGCAAGTGAAGGTTTTCCAAAAGGGACACAAGTGAAAACTATACCGATGTACCCAAAATATCAATTATGAGTAGAATTATGCAAATAGCTCAAGAAAGGAAATTGATGAATGAATAAGAGACTTTACCAAAAGAAAAATTTTCCCCATCTCCAAGTTCAAGCTATTCTATTAGTTTGGTCTCCAAGAAAGTTAAATTGATATAGTTCTTGTCCTCTAGGAGATTATAGTGAAAGCTGGGGATTAAGTATTAAGGCATTTGATGATAGAGATGTGACACATTATGATGTAAAATATGAGAGATTTTAAAAATCAAATGTTGAACAAACATTTATAACAAGGCCTTATCTCTTTCACTTACAAAATACTGTTAATCATTTTAATGCTCAACTTTATCTTGCCTGAGTACTTGGTGGGTGAGTAATACTTGGAGAATTCTTTCATTTACAACACATGGTCACATTAGTTCTCTGCAATGAAACACACACTGGGTCATGAAAACCACACGTCAAAAGAAAATTTTACTTTATTTATACCTCAATTTCATGCATAAGTTTCTCTTGCCATTCCTCTTTTTATTAAGTTTATGATTTTGTGGTTTATTTATAAGCAGAATGCTGTCCCAAAATGGATGAACCTGTTTACCAGTAAATCAGTAAACTGTAAACATTGCTATAAAATAAAAATGTTATAATAAATCAAAAATGAAGAATTTTAGTTATCTGAAGAGAACATTTTTGGTAGGTTACATCAACTAACTCAACTCCTGCACCCATAAATCAGTAATGTTTGCTGGTTTAGGAGCCTTGTAGAGCATAAATATTCTCCTTTCTCCTGCTCAGGACATCTCTGTAGTAATAAATAGGCCATTGGTTTTGCCCTATTACTCTCTTTCTATATTACCCTTTGCAACAATCACACATAAATCCATAGGCTTATGGTTTCCTTTATCATAAATTTTACATACTTTAATTCATCATTCTTCCTTTCTTAGTTGTAGCATATATTCCAGAAAAATATCACAACAGTCAAACTACACAGATGCTTTTGCTTTTTATATTCAAATTATAGTTCTCACCATTAATTATTTCATTAATGCTGTAAATGTACTTACCATCTAAAAATAAATTATTGTTTCTCCCATTGATAGACCTCTATTCCATTGATAGACCTCTGTAGATATGAAGAGGAGTGTATTTTTGAGTAGTGGAGAGGAAAGGAATTTCATGGGAATTTTTGTTTTTGAACACATATCATTCATTAATCACCCCCAAAATAGAATCTTCATATCTTTGGGAGGGGGGCCTTACCATGTCCTCATTCAATGCCATCTTGTAACAGACTTAATGATAAAAATGGCCTCCAAGAACATTGTGAAAGGGTGAGCATGTAATCCATGTCAGAGCATTTGGATTCTCTTGTCAGGGCCCTTGAATATTATACGAGACAGAAAAATAATTGGAGCTCATTCATCCCAGAAGCTGCACACAAATGAGGCAATCAAGGAATCACTGCTACCTGGACTTTGGAGAAGGCTTTGTCCTTGTTAGCTTCTGGCATTAATTTTTTCTGAGCTATGAATGGTCTTATTGTTTAAATTCTTTTTGTTTCTTTCCTTAACTAGCAATGGTTTCTATCACTGGGACTAATAAATAAGTCCAAATTGGTATTCCTTATGACTAATTTCAACATATGACAGTTTGTTAGGTGAATATGATTTACTTCATATCAATCATCCATCAATTACTTCAAACCAATTATCCACAAGAGCCATACTTGTTAAATGTTAATGTTTATGTAAATATAATTTACTTCAAATCAATTATCCATCTGAGGAGTTCCAACTCAGAATATTGATATTATTATAGAACATATTTGTTATAGGAATTGCAGTAATAACTGTAGCAGTTTAAAATAAAAATCAGAATGCCTTTAGAATAAATATTCTTCCACAGAAGGACTCAAGACTATGAAAGTCACAATAATTAAATTAACACAGTAGAGTTCCACTCCTTATGGGGAAATAGCTGCAGTTATAAACAACCGTTAGTATTCCCCATCTCCAAATCTCCCCCAGTAGAATGGGGCCAGGCTGGGTACTAAGTCAGAGGCAGATCAATTGACATTGTGGTAACATGAAGGGTAGGAATGATTAAAGGGCAAACTCATTGTAACATGTTGTAAATGAGGCTATAGTGATATGGAGCAAAACTGATGGGACCATAACTACTGGTTGAAATTTAATCAGAAAATCCCTGTGTGAGCATAGATCACCACAATGTCAAGAACTAAGAAAACATAAAGATGATCGATTAAGTTTATAAATAGCATGTGACAACTGATTTCTATGTAAGTCCATTAAATGACAGCTAAGTAAATGAAACTGATTGATAAGTATGACTGTTTTAACTTGACAGATTTCACTAGATGTCATAGTCTTTTACAAACACTTACCCCTGTCACCACCAATATTTTCAAAGTTAAGCCTTTTGAAGTATCTCTCCCTAATTTAAAATTAGACCAACAGAAAATATATGTATTGATGATAAATGAACATAGAAAATGATAATTCCTTGAGGTAGTCCCTTATAGCCTGTACTAAATACCTTCTTTTGGGAATTAATTAACAGTTGCCCAATGAAAAACCACTACAGTCCTCATCTTCTCAGCTCTTCCTCTCTGATTAGTAACCAGAGAAGACATCCCTAAGAATTTTCTGGGATACCATCAGAAAAATCATGGGCTTAAATTTGAGACATACAGAATGTTAAAAGTTTACACAGCTCTCCTTGAGTATGTAGAATACTTGAGTCATCTTTAAGAAATCATTGTCCAAGGAAGATAAAATTGCTGGCTGAAAATGTCAAAGTGAAAAGCACAATATGCTTATTCTGATAACTGGATATTGACTAATCGGTTGTAGTACCTGTCCCACAGAAGTGATCTGCATTAGCCCATTTTCATGCTGCTGATAAATACATACCCTAGATTGGGCAATTTGCAAAAGAAAGAGGTTTAACTGGACTCACAGTTCCATGTGATTAGTGAGGCCTCACAATCATGGTGGAAGGCAAGGAGGAACAAGTCACATCTTATGTGGATGGCAGAAGGCAAAAAGAGAGCTTGTGTAGGAAAACTCCCGTTTTTAGAACTATTACATTTTGTGAGATCCATTCACTATCATGAGAACAGCATGGGAAAGTGCTGTTTCAATCATCTCCATAATTCAATCATCTCCATCCTAGTCCCTCCCACAACATGTGGGAATTATAGGAGCTACAAGATGGGATTTGGGTGGGGTCACAAAGCCAAACCATATCATGATCTATCTTTTTTTATTATTATTTTTATTATAGTAGTATGCAACCTTAGAACATATATTCCTCTGTAATCTTCAGTCATCTCTTGCACAGATGAATGAGTTTATATGGTGCTGCTGTTTAATTATTCAGATCCATACAATAATGAATAGTTAAGATTGATTATGAAAGAAAGAGTAACAGCAAAATACTCCAATTAAGCAAGCATTTGGTTTAGAAAACTAATCTAGGCTTATATTTGTTATTTTCTCACATTTTACAGTTGTTTAGGGTTAAATCCAAAATTTCCTGAGTTTTGTCCCATGAAAGCTAACATCTTATCATCTAATATTTACTTCTCAACTACGAGCTATGGTTTGAGTATTTGTCACCTTCAAAACTCATGTTGAAACTTGGTTCCTAATGTAGAAGTGTTGAGAGACGGTACTTTTAAAAGGTAACTAAATCATAATGAGAGAGCCCTCATGGATTAATTTATTCCATGGATTAATGGGTTAATGTACTAATGGCTTAATAGGTATTATGGGAGAGAAACTGGTGGCTTTATAAAAAGAGGAAGAGAGATCTGAAGTAGTGTGTTGGCACATTCAGCCCCCTCACCACATAATGCCCTGCATTGCCCTAGGATTCTGCAGTCTCCACCAGCAAGAGGGCTCTCACCAGATGCTGACCCTCAACCTTAGACATCTCAGCCTTTATGATTGCTAAAATTACATACCTGTCTTTATAAATTACTGAATTTTAGCAATTCTGTTATAGGCAACAGAAAATGGACTGGGACACTATCATAGCAATGACTTATAGAAGTTATGAAGCTATTTGCTTGCATTTTCTCAAGTTGATATCCTATTCTTGATTAATGTATAGCATATCCGTTCTTTAAATCAGTACTTGTCAAATTTTAACGTTTATATAAATCACCTGGGGATCGTTTTAAAATGCAGTTTATAATTTAGCAGCTCTGGGGCAGGATCTGAGATTTTGCATTCTACCACCCAGCTGCTAGGTAATGTTGATGCTGTTTGAGGTCCTTGGGGTAGTCAGGCTTAAGTCAGGGATCAGCCAGTGTGTTCTGTAAAGCACCAGATAGGAAACATTTCTGGTCTAGGTGATCTCTGTGCCATCTACTCAATGCTCCCAGTTTAGTCAAAAGCAGCCAGGGACAATGAAAAAATGAAACCATGTAGTTGTGTTTCAGTTAATTTTGTTTACAAACACTAAGTTTTAAATTTTCTATTTTTTTTTTTTTTTTTTTTGGACCAGGTCTCACTCTGTTGCTCAGTCTGGAGGGCAGCAGCATGATCATAGCTCACTGCAGCATCAACATTTTGGGCTTAAATGATCATCCTGCTTCAGTCTCCCAAATAGCTGGGATTAAAGGCATGTGCCACCACGCCTAGCTAAATTGTATAAAAAATTCTGTAGAGACAGGGTTTTACTATGTTGCCCAGGCTGGTCTTGACCTTGACCTCTTGCCTTGGCCTCCCAAAATATTGGGATTGCATGCATGAACCACCAGGACAGACCAAAAATATTATAAACTTTTTTCAAACTTTTAAAAATGCAAAAAAACTTCCTTAGCTCATGAACTGTGTGAAAACAAGTGGCAGGCAAGATTTGGCCTGGGACCACAGTACACTGACCTCTGCTTTAATTTGTCATTCTATAGTAGATTGAACTGTTTGCAAGAAGTGGACTGTGTTGATTAAAGAACATGACATTCTCCTCCATCTCTACATGCTCCAAGTTGTTTACAGGAGTTCTCTGAAAAAGCAAAAGAAGTAGAGTTTCATGTGCATGTAAGAAAATATCCTGATTATTTGTCCTGACAGATTAGATACTAAGACCACATTTTTAATGTTTATTTTAATTTCTTGAATTTATATTTAGAGAAGATATCAGGCATCTGTTGAATTGTTCTGTATTTAATATTACAGTATGGATCAATGGGACATATAAAATACATTTAGTATGATTTATAGAGATAATTATTTTCCAATTATGTTTTAATTGGAGCTTTAGGAGACGATTGCAATTTCTTTTTATTTAATATTTCCACATGTCCATACCACTAGGACAAAATTTAAATATCTACATAAATCATTACATTTAAGTTTAAACCTCAGATTTAAACTTAGCTTAGGGAAAAACTTAGCTTGGGAAAAACTGTGCTTAGCTTAGGATAAACTTATTAATATCCAGGTAAAGTCTTTGACCCTGTTCTTACAGAAATCTGACAGGATGTGTTAATGTTAATGTTTGAGTTTTACTTCGATTGCCTTTGGCCTTGACTATGTAACATGCTTGCTTTCTGTGATGGCGTAGCTTTGGACAACTTAGAATAAGGGTAGCCTAATCCTGGAACAACAGAAACTTTATGGCAATTATAACTCTAAAATCCAGAACATAGCATATCACTTCATCAGTTCTAAGATACCATAGACTGAAAGTTGTATCTTTATTTTACATGCCACTAAGGAATGAGGAGTAAAAACACCACACACACACACACACACACACACACACACACACACATCTAAAATAAGCTAGCCTTTGACAATGCTAGTCCATCAATTTTGAGTCACATGCTAATTTCATATCTGGTTCTTAGAATCAAAGAAATACAGTCTTTAAACCTTAAGTGCACATTTAGGCTAAAATTATCTAATTTTGTATTTATGTGAGATGATGATTATGATAACACTGCTTAAAATACTGATTACAGTATCCAAAATGTATTATTTTCATTGCTTCATTGCCTTCTAGATGGACTAATATGATTATTTTTTATGACAAAATGGAGTCTCAGACATGTGGAATACTTTATTCGATGTTACACAGATACTACATTCATCAGGGAATTTTAGCTGCTAAAATAAGTGAATCTGTGCTCAGATTCACTTATTTATCACTCTTGCAAAGACCAACACAGATATCATTGATGGAAGGTGGCTGTTCCCCAAGCAGCTATTGGAAATCCTGAACTCTTACATACTATGGGTCTACCATCTTCTAGGAATAGTTTCCAATTTCTCCATGCTTGTGCTCTCAAGTCCGTGCAAGTGGAAGTAATACAAGAAAGTGCACGTTGCAGGTTTTTATGGTGTCGCTCAACAGTTCTGCTCACATTCCTTTCTCCAGAAATCAGTCATGTGAGGTCCAACTGCAAGGAAGTTGGGAAATGCATCAACCCTTGGACCAGGAAGAAGAAATAAATTAGTATTCAAGAGAGAATCCTCCAGGTTTCTTGTCTTCTCCTTCGAACTGAACCCTTCCTAACCCTTTTAATATTTACATTCCAAATTCTACCCCAAAGATAAAAAGAGGGCCAAGATCAATGATTTAAGTGATCCTAATTGTTTCCTGACTTTCCAGTTTTGTTTCTACTTTGGTGGCTTTTTTTTTTTTTTTTTTCGAGACAAAGTCTCACTCTGTTGCCAAGGGTGGAGTGCAGTGGCACCATCTCAGCTCACTGCAACCTCCACTCCCAGGTTTCAGCAATTCTCCTGCCTCAGCCTCCCAAGTAGGGATTACAAGTGTGCATTGCCACACCTGGCCAATTTCTGTATTTTTAGTAGAGGTGGGGTTTCATCACGTTGGCCAGGCTGGTCTCGAACTCCTGACCTCAGGTGATGGCATCTTTTTAATTTCAGTGTTCCAAGATGGGCAATTATGGATTTCATTTCCTGAAAGTTTATGATAGCACTTGCTCAATTATGCAGAGCAGTATTTCTTACCACACTGGGGGTATTATCTTTGTGTTAGTCCACTAGTCTATGGTATCAGCTAGTGGAACTTGTAATATTTTAGCACCTTGGAATATTAGTGTAATGGTTCTAATGGCAGCTTACATTTGCATGGGGCCAGGAGATGCTTTCTGAAGATCTGTACACATGTTCTTGCATTTCATCCAAACTACAGGTTTGGATCCAAACTACTACAGCCAAGCTATAACTAGCCAGTGCTAGAAGAAAATTGGCTCATTTTAACTATATACTGGTAGAATAGATGAGATTGCCAAAGATGCAAGAGTGTTTTGTCTTCCCTTTTCTCTGTGGTACTTTTTGATTACACTATGTGTTTCTGACCCTCATTGTGAATAAGAGCCCATCATTGCCACTGGAGAAGAGTCTGCCAGGCACATGAGCAGAAGCAGTTCTCTTTGCTCTCCTTCCTCATTGAAATATCCAAGTGATAGGCTTGAAGCCTCAGTCATCAAACAGCTTGAACTTGTGGTATCTCATTTAGCCTGTGGCTATGAAGTTTTTAAAATAATGAATAAGTTATCTGGATGTCTTTGCAGGGCTCAGCAAAGCAGAAATACTGTCACTTATGGGAACACAGGGACAATTTCAGTAATACAAAGAAGAGATATCAAAAAGGCTAATGCTGATTTTTTCTCTTTCTTTCTTTTGCCTTTTATTTATTTTATTTATATTATTTTTTATTATACTTTAAGTTCTGGGGTACATGTGTACAACATCCAGGTTTGTTAGATATGTATACACATTGCCATAGTGGCTTGCTTCACTCATCAACCCGTAATCTACATTAGGTATTTCTGCTAATGCTATCTCTCCCCTAGCTCCCCATGCCCAAACAGGCCACAGTGTGTGATGTTCCCTTCCCTGTGTCCAAGTGTTCTCATTGTTCAACTCCCTAGAAGAAAACCCTAGAAGAAAAGCTAGGCAATATCATTCAGGACATATGCATGGCCAAAGATTTCATGACTAAAACACCAAAAGCAATGGCAGCAAAAGCCAAAATTGACAAATGGGATCTAGTTTAACTAAAGAGCTCTGCACAGCAAAAGAAACTACCATCAGAGTGAACAGGCAACCTACAGAATGAGAGAAAATTTTTGCCATCTATCCATCTACAAAGGGCTAATATCCAGAATCTACAAATAACTTACACAAATTTACAAGAAAAAACAAACAACCCCATCAAAAAGTGGGCAAAGTAGTATATGAACAAACACTTCTCAAAAGAAGACATTTATGCAACCAAAAAACATATGAATAAAAGCTCATCATCACTGGTCATTAGAGAAATGCCAATCAAAACCACAATGAGATACCATCTCATGCCAGTTAGAATGGCGATCATTAAAAAGTCAGGAAACAACAGGTGCTGGAGAGGATGTGGAGAAATAGGAATGCTTTTACACCATTGATGGGAGTGTAAATTAGTTCAACTATTGTGGAATACAGTGTGGTGATTCCTCAGGGATCTAGAACTAGAAATACCATTTGACCCAGCAATCCCATTACTGGGTATATACCCAAAGGATTTTAAATCATTCTATTATGAAGACACATGCACACATATGTTTATTGTGGCACTGTTCACAAAAGCAAAAAATTGGAACCAACCCAGATGCCCATCAATGATAGAATAGATAAAGAAAATATGGCACATATACACCATGGAATACTACGCAGCCATAAAAAGGATGAGTTCATGTCTTTGCAGGGACATGGGTGAAGCTGGAAACCATCATTCTCAGCAAACTAACACAAGAACTGAAAACCAAACACCACATGTTCTCACTCAGTGTTGATTTTTATATGTAAAAACCCCTAAAGATTCCACTTAAAAAAAAAAACCTGTTATAATTAACAAACGAAGTTGCAGGTCACAAAATCAACACACAAAAATTGGTTTTGTATCTGTACATTAACAATGATCTATCAAAAAAGGAATTTAAGAAAACAACCTCATTTCCAATAGCATCAAGAATAAAATGCTAAGAAATATACTTAACGAAGGAGGTGAAAGATTTATATACTGAAAATATAATTCATTGCTGAAGAAAATAAAAGAAGATGGAAATGAATAGGACAATATCTTGTGTTCATGGATTGAAAGACAACATTGTTAATATGTCCATATTACATGAAGATATTACAGATTAAATAAAATCCCTACAAAAATGCTGAGGCTTTTTTGTGGAAATATTAAAAATGCCTACAGTTCACACGGAATCAGAAAGGATGCCAAATAACCAAAAGATTCTTGAAAAATAATAAATTTGAAGTCCTCACACTTCCTTATTTCCAAGCTTCTTACAAAGCTACAGTAATCAAAACAGTGTGGTATAGGCATAAAGACAGGCATGTTTACCAGTGAGACAGAATACTAGAAATGCACAAGAAACAAATCCTCATGTACATATTCAAATGATCTTTCACAAGGATGCCAGCACTACTCAATGGAAAAGTATAGCCTCTTCAAAAAATGGTGTTGGTAAAACTAGCCACATGCGAAAGCATAAAGTTGAGATTTTACTTTATACTATATATAAAAATTAATTCAAAATAGATTCAAAGCCTAAACAATATCTAAAATTATAAAAGTCCTAGAGGAAAACATAAAGCAAAAGCTTCATAACATTGGTCTTGACAATGATTTCTTGGAAATGATACCAAAGCACAGTCAACAAAACCACAAATTGGCAGGTGATACTACATCAAACTTAAAAAACATCTGCACATCAAAGGAAAAAATTAACAGAATGAAAAGACAACCTAAAGGATGGGAAAAATATTTGCAAATCATGTATCTGATAGAGCGTTAATATATAGAATACATAAAGAATTCCTACAACCCAATAACAACAACAAAATAAAACAAAATAACTGGTTAATAAATGGGCAGAATATCTGAATAGACAATTCTCCAAAACAAACCCATATAAATATGGCCAAAAAGCATATGAAAAACTGCTTAACATCACTAATCATTAGGGAAATGCAAATCAAAACTACAATGAGATATCACCTCCTACCCATTAGGATGGCTGGTTTAAAAAACAAAAAAACAACAGGTGTTGTTGAGGATATGGAGAAATCGGAACCCTTATGCACTGTTGGTGAAAATGGAAAAGGGTGCAGTCCTTGCAGAAAACAAAAAATTAAAAATACAATTACCATATGATCCAGCAATCCCATTTCTATGTAATAAGTAAAAGAATTGAAGCCAGGATATAGAAGAGACATATGCACACTTATATTTATTGCAGTATTATTTACAATAGCTAAGAAGTGGAAGAACCATTGATGGATGGATGCATAATGTGGGGGGTATATACAAGGCAAGGTTATTCAGTCTCAAAAAAAATGAAATCCTGTCACATGCTACAATAGAAATGGGCCTTGAGCACTCGATGCTAAGAGAAATAAACCAGTCGTGAAAACACAAATACCATACGATTCCACTTACATGAGGTATCTAAAGTGGTTGACTTCATAGAAACAGAAAGTAGAATGACGGTTGCCAGGGACTGTTGGGAGGAAAAATGGGGATTTTTGTTTAATGAGTATAGTTTCAGTTTTGCAAGATGAAAAAGTTCTGGAGATCTGTTGCTCAACAATATGCATATAGTTAACATTACTGAACTGTGCACTTAAAAGGAAGATATTAAATTTCATTGTGTGTGTGTGTGTTATTACCACAATTAAGAATTAAAAAGTGCAAGGGTCTAGGCTGGAGGCTTGCTTGTGATGCTTAGCATATTGAGTCTAGGTTCCTGGGTCCAGTAATCAGGTTTGTAAAGAAGAAAACAACTGATAAAAACACCTTTTACTAAAAGGTTCTCAAGCCATAAACTCATCTAAACAGCTGGATGAATTTCAACAAAAGATCAAGGTTAAGGTGATACTGACACACTCTCTAGAACCCATAAAGGCTTGGAAATTAGTTACTAACATCAGTATTAAATAATCAAGTCCACTCTTTTCTGCAAGCTCAAAACTTTAAAATAAAGACATTTGTCACTTTATTAGTCACAATGAATCTAATAAAGACATTTAGACACATTGGCCTTTGTCTAAAGGCCAATTAAGGGCATCCTGTGCAAAATCATTAAAAAATATGACGTTTAAGAGAGATCTGACTTTGCATATACATGCCACCACTTCTTTCATCGTTCATAGCAAACAATACAAAATGCTACATAATGAGACTGAGGCTGTGACACTTCATATTTTCAGAGGCAATGGTGAGTCACACCCGCAAGGATCTCACATATGTCTTTGGAAAATACTTTCATTATTTAATTCCTGCCAGAGCTAAATAACTCTTCTGGGTATCTAATTGAAGTGTGTAGGGCCATGTGAGAGTCAATTCTTTCTGGAGAAATGGCTTGCTAGTTTCTATCTTACAATGTGTGATTCTGGGGATTATAGCACTCACCTGTTTTTTGAAATATTTTAACAATGTAAATGGTTGCAATTTTATTAAAAGTATTAACAAATCTCACTGCAAAAAGTTTTACTTTTGACTGTATCTTTATCACTGAACACACACACGCAAAGACACACACACAAATATTGTTTTTGAAGAAATAAGTTTTTTGTACCTACTATGTATTACTTGAAAGTAAAAACATAAATTGTTATTCCAGCTGTAGGGGGATTTTATTATTTGCCTTAGTTTGGCTTCCCTATATGTACACATGGAAACCGGGCTTCAAATGCAAGTGGCTTATTAGAGACGTAAAGCTAGGTGAATGAGAAAATGAGACAGGAAGTACAAGGCAAGTAATAAAACAGTACAGTGTATAGAAATATATTGACAGCTAAATCCATAAATAATTTTAAAATTTCTAATAGCCATATTTTTAAAATGTAGGAAAAAATCAGGGGCAATATTTTTTAATAGTATATTTTTCTTACCCAGTATATCCAAAACATTATCATAACACGCAATCAATATACTATTATTGAAAAGGTTATTTTCTATATATATATTTGAGACAATGTCTTGCTCCTGTAGCCGAGGCTGGAGTGCAATGGGCGTGATCTCGGCTCACTGCAACCTCCGCCTCGCTGGTTCAAGCGATTCTCCTGCCTTAGCCTACCGAGCAGCGAGGATTACAGGTACCTGCCACCAGGCCTGGCTCATTTTTTGTATTTTTAGTAGAGACGGGGTTTCGCCATGTTCTCAAACTCCTGACTTCAGGTGATCCCCCACGCCTTGGCCTCCCAAAGTACTGGGATTACAGACGTGGGCCACCGCACCCAGCCTGTACTTTCTTATTGAAATTCTTCAAACTGTGGCGTGCATTGTGTACTTAAAGCACATTTTAGTTCAGACAGTCCACATTTCAGATGCTCATTTGGGTTGCGGTTAGTGGCTGCCATATTGAGCTGTGCAGTAAAAATGAGATGTTATGAGGCAGCTTTCTTTGTGTTTGGCGCTTAATCCTGCTGTGAAAATGCTGGTAACTAAAGTCAGAAATATCCTATGAGAGAGCAAGTGCGTTGTGATATGTATTCAGCAAGTCCTGTCGTTTGAGAATGGAGAGCTCCCCCCAGGGATGTTAACTCCCTCATCACTTCTCACCTGCCAATGGGACAGAAGAAAGTGGAGTTCAGTGGCCCGAGGAATCCCACTGAGAAGTGACTAGGGTGCCCTCCAATAGCAAGGGTGAGAGGGTATTGGTGGGCAGTGGTCAGTCAGCATGTGCTGCATTATTCGACACTATTTATATGAAAGTCAAAACAAGATCTCACTCCCAGATGAGTCTTCTCTTAGACAATTAAAGCAAGATACTTGGAAGTCTATCTTTAAGCATTTTCTTCAGGATCAAAGATTCCACACTTGCTTTCAGAAACACTTTAATTACTTAAACTACTGTTAGAGTCAAATAGCTCCTCTGGGTATCTAATTGAAGTCAGTAGGACAATTTTGAAGCCTTAACCTTATTCTTTCCGGAGAGCTGGCTTGCTATTTTCTACCTTAAAATTCATGATTCTGAGGACTATGCCACTGTTTTTAAAGGCTACCAACAAGGCAAACATATTGCAGTTTTGATGAAAGCTCAAAAAAATAGCCTGATGGAAAGCTTTTACATTTTTTTCATAATAGATTAATAAGTCCAGCTCACAGATTACTCTGGTATATTTTAGTCTTCTGTTGGATATGTTCAAGTGTCACAATTCTTTTAAACATACATAGGATAACAAAATGAATTGTTAAACATAAGACTGAGGCTGTGATGCTTCACATGTTTTAAAGCAACTATTGAGTCCCACCCAAAAATCATGGTTAATCTATCTTTGAGGCACCTCAATTTCATTTCTTAACATGCAGGTCATTGTTTGTGGAATTTCCTTTTTGATCTCCAGCTGAGAGACCAAAACCATCAAAAAAACATGACATGCAGAGTGAGGACATCAAACACTGCATCCTGCTATATTTGCTTGGTTGAGAAAAATACTCAATGTCATAGTTTCCAGACATGCACATTAAAATAGCCAAAACCTAGCATGCATGGATATCATGAGTACATTAAAAAATGGTATTTGAAGGTACATACACCCCATCTAAAAAACCTTCAGGGCCAAACTTCAAGGCACAGAAGCAGTGAAGGATTGGAAGGCGACGAAGTGGTGTGCACTGCTCATGTTTCACCCGAACCACCAGAGATGGAGCTGGAGGTTGAAGGTACAGGATGTCTCAGAGTCGACAATATGGCACATTCTGCTTTCTGTGCTTTGAAGCAGGATGAGAGAGGACTTCATCTACTTACTCACTCTTGTCTCCTGTCCCCTCTTAGCCTGAGTTGCCCCACAGAGTTTATGTTCCTGGAATCTATGTGATTTCACCTGGACCCCTTTAGTGCTTACTGGGGCCTGAAGCTTCAACCAAGTTTGGAAGTGATGGGAGATACTGAAGACCTGGACATGTGGCTTGTCAGCCTAAGGTGGTGGAGGTGTGCATGTTTACCAAACATCTGGGACATTAGAAAGGTACGAAGGTCTATGAGAGTCCATACAATGGCCTATGCCGCAAGTGATTCGATTTTTGTCATGTAATTATGCCTTGCAGCTTATTTGCTGTAGGTTAGAAATTAAGGGTGTTTTGGCATGGCTTCCAAGTGTCCTGTGGTCTAGCTCTGTTTTAGGTTTTCTCTGCATTAATACATGGGCATTTGACTTGAAAAAGAAGTTAACACTTGAGTTTATGTGCAGAAGATGATGCAAGCCCAGTAAATGAAGTACTGCAAAGCAACAGAGGCTTTTGCTTTTAGTACTATATAAAGAAAATATACACAAGATTAAAAAAGTCTTTGAGAAAACAGGGTAAAATCATTATCACATACAATCCTACCATAAGATAAATATTTAATTTTAACATGTTATATTTTACTCATTCAGATATTGTAGGGAAATAAAATTTATACACCTTCTAAACATCTAAAAATTATTAAACATAATTTTTTAAATGTTCTAAAAGAGTTCTCAACTTGTTTGAAAATATTACTAATAAAGGTAATTATAGGGTCATAAACTTTTCAGACAAGGCTTTTGTGCTAATGAAAACAGTTTTCCAGGTTAATTCACTCTTCTGTGGTAAACACTCAGTCTGTCAAAATATATTACCCTTTTCCTTCTTTGACTAAATAGGATGATATCTAAGATTAAAGGGTGTCTTAAAATTATCTGACATTATGAACATTTTAATAAACAATACTTAATGTCAGTCAGTTGTCTTGATCCCATTTTCTAACCATGATCAATAATTCTTCAATAAACACCTTCATTTACTAGTTATTTATTAAGGCATTAAATTAATTCCTTTTACTGAATCAACTTTCTTGGGGAAATTATCTAAGATGTTGGTTTTTTTGTTAAATTATATTTTCCTGGTAAAATTTACAATTTTTATATTATTTTACTTTTGTTTTCGGTTCCTCTGTCCCAACCATTTTTAATATTTAATTTAATTTAATTTAATTTAATTTAATTTAATTTAAGAGTTCCAGGGTACATGTGCAGGACGTGCAGTTTTGTTACACAGGTAAACGTGTGCCATGGTGGTTTGCTGCACCTATCAACCCATCAGCTTGGTATGAAGCCTGGCATGCATAAGCTATTTTTCCTGTTGCTCTCTCTGCCTCACCCTTCCCCATGAGTCCCCAGTGTGTGTTGTTCCCCTCCCTGTGTCCATGCATTCTCATTGTTCAGCTCCCACTTATAAGTAAGAAAATTCAGTGTTTGTTTTTTTATTCCTGTCTTAGTTTGCTAAGAAGAATGGCTACCAGGTTCATCCATGTCCCTGCACTACCATTTTGAGTTTTAAAAAATAAATTTACTCGACTATCTAGGTTAATGTCATCTGGCATATTTTTTCTGCTATAAATTGAATTTGATGGAAAAAGTTTGAGTTACCAAGACTCTAAAGGTACCACCCTTCCAGTTATGTATGGATCAATTAGAAGAGCTTTGCTTTTGAATTTCTCCAGGACAGCCTCCTAAACAATAGGCAGAGATTCATCTTCCATGTATGCATACAAAAAATAAAGCAGGGTTATATCATAGGGCCAATTGTATCCATTTGTTTAACTCAGATTTCCTTATGATTAAGATATGTATTTGGGACACTGTTCACAATATACTTGAAGCCCTCCAGGGAAATCTAAACAAGAAGCTATGACTGCTCTGAAAAATATCTAACATATCTACACTGTCCAGTGGTGCTGCTAATGTATATACCCTTTCAAAGTGCACATTCCAGGCAGCTCAGAGCAAATTATGGGGCTCTTTGCAGAATAAGCACAGCACCTGGCTATATGCCTGAATAATAGCCCTAACTTTCATTATACTTTACAGTTTACAAGTGCTTTTACCATGCATATGGGTGAGCATATGGTTCAGTTTCTCTCTAACAATCCAGCTTTCAAATATATTGCTTACCATCAGATTTGGCAACAGAGTGCGTGAACCTATTTTGGGGTGAGAGAATGTATCCCGTCATTGCATCCTGACAGCCTGACAGACACTAGGTGGACGTATCTGAAATGAGGGGTTTCTTCACTGAATCCTAAGAGGAACCCTGTGAGTAAGCATCTTTGATGAGGATTCTAAGTTCCATGGAAGTAAAATAATTAGTGCAAGTTAAGCTTGCTTGTAAATGGCCATGCTGGGAGATTAACTTGGATCTCTGCCCCCCAATTTGGGCATTTTTACATTATTAATCTATACTAGTGACTATGTTATACAGCTAAAATAATTATTAGCCCAATTAGAAATGTTGTAATTAAATTTTATCATCAAACCAGAACATCTCTGATGACAGGCTAAGTGGAAAAGTGGATTCTGAAAACAGAATGTTCTTTGAAGTCATGATAGTGAGGGATACTATCTGGTATTAAGTTATCAATCAGGATCAATCTTAATTCCCAATAGCCTATTAGGATTCAGTCTAGACGTGCTGTCACTTTTGCTTCTAGACCTCAGGATAATCCAACACTTTTTAAAAAATGTTATTATTGTTATTATTATTAGAGACAGGATCTTACTCTGTTGCCCAAGCTGGAGTGCAGTGGTGTGATCACGGCTCACTACAGCTCCCAACTGCTAGGTTTAAGCATTTCTCCTGACTTAGCCTCCTGAGTAGTTGAAATCACAGGTGGATGCTACCATGCCCAGCTAATTTTTAAAAAATATTTTTCAGAGACAGAGTCTCACTATGTTGCCCAGGCTGGTCTTGAACTCCTGGTCTCAAGCAGTCCTCCTGCCTCAGCCTCCCAGAGTATTGAGATTATAGACATGAGCCATTTCACCTGGCCAAAACAGATTTTTCACTTTAATCTAAAGAGATGTAAGAATGAGCTGAAAGTGACCCCTTGGATGCACCATCAGATGCTTCACCTTGGTGCATGGATGCTAGATGGTGCTAACAGTTCTGAAGTATAGGATTGAAAGTGTTAAGGTGAAGTGTAGTAACCACATGAGCAAGACAGTGCTTTGAGACTATTTTCCAGTATAAAGACAGAGTAATTTTCCAGTATGCAATATTATGATAAGCTGTGATACAACAGGAATCCCCTTAGTAGTATAATATACCATAATCAGATATCAAGCTAAGCTGATGCAAAGTCTAGAAGTCATGTTCTAAAAGGGGCTAAACATCTTTCAAAATGCTTGTAATCCTGAGCCATGAGGCTATACTCTTGCATTTTCTGCCAAGAAAGAAAATAATCTCTTGCCTGTTGTTCCTGAGATTTGCAAGTACTCCCTTGCACAGGGATAGCCCAGATGGGTTGGCATGTCCAACATTTAATCTGCGATGTATTTCCAACTAAGTCTAGTAGTCTTATTTGACAGTCAGTGGCACTGCCCATACTGCTTTAAAAGGCAAATCATCACAAACTTGGCTTACATCATAATTCACTTAAAGGACCAACCAAATCAAATATTAGACATATGGAATAACACTTCCAGGTCTCTCCCTTAATTTCATTCTGAACACAAACTGACATTCCATTTTGTACAAATTGCAGTTATTTATGGAAACGGTTGAGTGTAGATTAAGTAATTGCACTAAAAAATCAATATACTTGTGTTGGAATAGTGTGTATCTATCTAGTGAGATGATAAGGAGAGCTAGGTCTCCATCTCTGAAGACAGGAATGTTAAGAAAATGGTTTTTAAAGGACTTTCCTAGATCTTTGGTCTGTGATTAAAATAGAGGAAGAAAGAGGAGGTCATAGGAAGCAGGAACTGTGGAGTCTGCCAGGACTGGTGTGGAATTTCTTTCTTAATTTTGCTCTGGGCTAGGGAGAGCTAATGAGTGGGATGGCTGATTTGTGAGTACTTTGCACCTTCCAAATTATTTGTCATGACAAATCTATGTTGTTCCAGTGGTTGAAACACCCACCAGAGAGTGTGGAAGTTTTAATTGTCCCATATCCTTGAGCATACATATCTCATTGGTATTATAAGGATAGTCGGACACCCAGGGCTGTAACTGACAGATGGAAAGAGAAAAATGTACAGTACATGAAACCACTTCGCAAAATGCCTGGTTGATAGTTGCCATTCCACAGTGTCGGTTTCCTTCCTTGTTCTTTAATATGCTTTCATAGCATGCTGCACACTCCTTTGCTAAACTATTCATTTTAATCTATCAATATTTCATTATTTGCAAATGAAATTATGAGTTTCTGGATACCAAAGTCTTTCATTATTTGTTGGACACCAAGAACTCAGTACATAGCATTTATTGGCTGACCTTTGAAATAAGGTGTCCTTTGAAGTAAAACAAAACAAAAAAATCTCCAAGTTAATATGAGTACTTTTTAATATCTTGGAAAATTAAACCCCATAAAATTTATCTGGTGATAATACTCCTTCATAAGAGAAAAAAACATTAATTTTTAAAAACAACATTATCATGAACTATTACATCTAAGGTACATGAGGTACAATCAGTAACAAAAATACTCATGTCCACATCCCAGCTTCAGAAATATAACATTTACGTATCATTCACATAAAAGGATTGCTCTCTTAAATAAACAAATACAGTTGAAGACAGTGGTGTCCATTTCCAATCTTCTTCTTCCACCCACTATCCTTGTAACTGTGAGAGGTGACAGCGTGATGGCAGCCCTCCCAGCCCTCACTTGCTCCAGGTGCCTCCTCTGCCTTGGCGCCCACCCTGGCTTCCCTTCAGCCCGCCGCTGCACTGTGGGAGCCCCTTTCTGGGCTGGCCAAGGCTGGAGCCGGGTCCCTCAGCTTGCAGGGAGGTGTGGAGGGAGAGGCGCCAGTGGGAACCGGGGCTGCGCCCGGTGCTTGCAGGCCAGCATGAGTTCCAGGTGGGCGTGGGCTCGGCAGGCCCCGCACTCCAAGCGGTCGGCTGGCCCGCAAGCCCCAGGCAGTAAGGGGCTTAGCACCTGGGCCAGCAACTGCTGTGCTCAATTTTTCACCGGGCCTTAGCTGCCTCCCCACAGGGCTCGGGACCTGCAGCCCACCATGCCTGAGTCTCCCCACCAACCCACACTGTGGGCTCCTGTGCAGCCCAAGCCTCCCCCATGAGCACTACTCCCTGCTCCACGGTGCCCAGTCCCATCGACCACCCAAGGGCTGAGGAGTGCGGGCGCACGGGGTGGGACTGGCAGGCAACTCCACCTGCGGCCCCAGTGTGGGATCCACTGGGTGAAGCCAGCGGGGCTCCTGAGTCTGGTGGGGACTTGGAGAACCTTTATGTCTAGCTAAGGGATTGTAACTACACCAATCAGCACTCTGTATCTAGCTCAAGGTTTGTAAACATATCAATCAGCACCCTGTGTCTAGCTCAGGGTTTGTGAATGCACCAATCGGCACTCTGTATCTAGTTAGTCTGGTGGGGACTTGAAGAATCTTTATGTCTAGCTAAAGGATAGAAAATGCATCAATCCACACTCTGTATCTAGCTCAAGTTTTGTAAATGCACCAATCAGCACTCTGTGTCTAGCTCAGGGTTTGTAAATACACCAATTGACACTATGTATCTAGCTAATCTAGTGGAGACATGGGAAATTGTTGTCTAGCTCAGAGACTGTAAATACACAATCAGCACCCTGTCAAAATGGACCAGTCAGCTCTCTGTAAAACAGACCAATCAACTCCCTGTAAAATGGACCAATCAGCATGATGTGGGTGGGGCCAGATAAGACAATAAAAGTAGGCTGCCAGAGCCGGCAGTGGCAACCCGCTCGGATCCCTTTCCACACTGCAGAAGCTTTGTTCCTTCGCTCTATGCAATCAATCTTGCTTCTGCTCACTCTTTGGGTCCACACTGCCTTTATGAGCTGTAACACTCACTGTGAAGGTCTGCAGCTTCACTTCTGAAGCCAGAAAGACCACAAACCCACCGGGAGGAATGAACAACTCCATAGGTGCCACCTTAAGAGCTGTTAACACTTACCACAAAGGTCTGCTCTGCAGCTTCACTCCTGAGCCAGTGAGAACACGAACCCACCAGAAGAAACTCTGAATGCATCCAAACATCAGAAGGAAAAAACTCTAGACACGCCACCTTTAAGAACTGTAACACTCACTGCGAGGGTCCATGGCTTCATTCTTGAAGTCAGTGAGACCAAGAACCCACTAATTCCAGACACATTTTGGTGACCATAAAGGGACAATCACTTATTGCTAAGTGGTGAGACTATTGCTGAGTGGTGAGACCATCGCCTATCGCTGAGTGTAAGACAATCACCTATCACCAAGCAGTGAGTACCATTGGACCCCTTTCGCTTACTATTCTGTCCTATGTTTCCTTAGAATTTGGAGACTAAATACAAGGCACCTGTCGGCCAGTTAAAAGTGACTAGCATGGCCACCGGACTAAAGACATGGGTTTCAGACATTCTGGGAAAGGGCTCTCTTAACAACCCCTGACTCTTCGGAGTTGGGAGCATTGGTTTGCCTGGGAGCAGCTTCTGCTTTTCCTGTACTTCTGGGCTGAGCCAAGGGTCGACAGAGAGGAAAGCCATGCAGCTCCAGGGTCCCGACAACAAGTTGGTTGACTCTGTGGCCATGAGCGGAACTCTCAAAGGCATGTCACCCAAGCAAGACTCACCCATCTATCCTATCTCTCCTGACCCTTGCCCCCTGGGTCCTAATGCCTGCCAGACAAACTTCCTTTCACCTCTCTTCAAGGTTAATCCCACTTCTAAAAGTTGCTACCTGTCTATGTTGCTTTTCTAGTTTCTCCTATAAGAATGATTTCTAGTATAAACTCCAGCAATCTGTTACCTTCTTTAGGCACCTGGGCTCGCCAATCACAAAAACATAATTTTTGCCCAAAGTTCCATCATACTGGGGACTACCTGGAATTTTTGGATCCCTCCTCAGACTGACAGGCCTAAAGACAGCTATTCCTGAAGCTAGGATATGGGGATCCTCAGAAATTGTATCGTTCCTATTCATGTAAGTGAGGACAAAAGGTATCACTCTTCCAACTCTGGAGATCCCTTCCCTCCCTCAGGGTATGGCCCTCCACTTCATTTTTGGGGCATAATATCTTTGTAGGACAGGGGTAAAGTCCCAATACTAACAGGTGAATGCTTAGGACTCTAACAGGTTTTCGAAAATGCATTGGTAAGGGTCACTAAATCTGATTTTTCTCAGTCGCTACTACTTGTGGTCTAGGAAGACAGGCAATGGTGCAGGTTTTCAAGGATGCATTGGTAAGGGTCACTAAATCTGACCTTCCTTGGTCTTCCATGTGGTCTGGGAGGAAAACTAGTGTTTCTGCTACTGCATTGGTGAGCACAACTATTCTGACCATCAGGGTCCAGGGACCATTGGAGCTTCTTGGGCAGGGGTCGTTTCTGCTGCTACATTGTTGAGCACAACTATTCAGATCAGCAGGGTCCAGGGACCATTGTGGGTTCTTGGGCAGGGGGAGAAACAAAACAAACCAAAACAGTTGGCAGTTTTGTCTTTCAGATGGGAAACATTAAGGCATCAACAGGCTCACCCTTGAAATGCATCCTAAGCCATTTGGATCAATTTGACCGACAAACCCTGAAAAAGAGGTGGCTTATTTTTTTCTGCGCTATGGCTTGGCCCCAATATTCTCTCTCTGATGTGGAAAAATGGCCACCTGAGGGAAGTACAAATTACAATACTGTCCTGAAGCTTGACCTTTTCTGTAAGAGGAAAGGCAAATGGAGTGAAATACCTTATGTCCGAGCTTTCTTTTCATTGAGGGAGAATACACAACTATGCAAATATTACAACTTACATCCCACAGGAGGACCTCTCAGCTTACCCCCATATTCTAGCCTCCCTATAGCTCCCCTTCCTATTAATGATACTCCTCCTCTAATCTCCCCTGCCCAGAAGGAAATAAGCAAAGAAATCTCCAAAGGACCACAAAAACCCCCAGGCTATTGGTTATGTCCCCTTCAAGCTGTAGCAGGAGGGGAATTTGGCCCAACCCGGATACATGTCCCCTTCTCCTGCTCTGATTTAAAGCAGATCAAGGCAGACCTGGGGAAGTTTTCAGATGATCTTGATAGGTACATAGGCGTCCTACAGGGTCTAGGGAAAACCTTTGGCCTCGCTTGAAGAGATGTCATGCTACTGTTAGATCAAACCCTGGCCTTTAATGAAAACAATGCAGCTTTAGCTGCAGCCCGAGAGTTCGGAGATACCTGGTATCTTAGTCAAGCAAATGATAGAATGACAGCCAAAGAAAGGGACAAATTCCCTACCGGTCAGCAAGCCATCCCCAGCATGGATCCCCACTGGGGCCTAGACTCAGATCATGGGGACTGGAGTCATAAACATCTGTGGACCTGTGTTCTAGAAGGACTAAGGAGAATTAGAAAAAAGCCCATACACAGCCCTCTAAACACGAATACTATCTTAACTTTCCAAGCCCCTTTATGCATCCAACACAACCTGTTATCAGGCCTGCCTCTGGGGCACCTACTACTGCATCAGTGTAATTACACCCTGCAGCTTCAAGCCCCAACTGATCATGGTAGCTTTTGAGTCACCCAAACAGCCCCATTCAGATGGCTTGTCCACTTCTCAAGGACTCAAGGCCCCCCAAAATCATCACCTCCTCCCTGTTTAACAAACAGTCCAGGTTTTGTAATGGCAAACATACTCCCTACATGACCATTCACCCCTGGACGCCCTGCAGCAGCACCCCCACCACTAGTGAATGCCTTCTCATCCCCTCTTTCAATCACTCTCTCAAGTTGTTCCTAGTGGATACAAAACATTTTTTTCTCCAATGGGAAAATAGAACACAGGGAGCCACTCAGTCTGCTCCCAACACCCCTTTCCAGCTGCTCACTGGAGCTACCTTGGCAAGTACTCTAGGAGTATGGGAAAATGAAAACAACAAACTCACACACCTTTTTAACATACATAACCACTTCTGTCTACCTAGCCAAGGTATGTTCTTCTTATGTGGAATGTCAACCTATATCTGCCTCCCCACTAACTGGAAAGGCACCTGCACCTTAGTCTTTCTAAGTCCCAACATTAACATTGCCCCAGGAAATCAGACCCTATCAGTACCCCTCAAAGCTTAAGTCCGTCAGTGCTGAGCCATACAACTAATACCCCTACTTATAGGGTTAGGAAGGGCTACAGCTACAGGAACTGGAATAGCTGGTTTATCTACTTCATTATCCTACTACCACACACTCTCAAAGGATTTCTCAGACAGTTTGCAAAAATAAAGAAATCTATTCTTACTTTACAGTCCCAAATAGACTCTTTGGCAGCAGTGACTCTCCAAAACCGCTGAGGCCTAGACCTTCTTGCTGCTGAAAAAGGAGGACTCTGTACCTTCTTAGGGGAAAAGTGTTGTTTTTACACTAACCAGTCAGGGATAGTATGAGATGCTGCCTGGCATTTACAGGAAAAGGCTTATGAAATCAGACAACACCTTTCAAATTTTTATGCCAATGTCTGGAGTTGGGCAACATGGCTTCTCCCGTTTCTAGGTCCCGTGGCAGCCATCTTACTGTTACTCACCCTTGGGCCCTGTATTTTTAACCTTCTTGTCAAATTTGCTTCCTCTAGAATTGAGGCCATCAAGCTACAGATGGTCTTACAAATGGAACCCCAAATGAGTTCAACTAACAACTTCTACCGAGGACTCCTGGACTGACCCACTGGCACCTCCACTGGCCTAGAGAGCTCCCCTCTGGAGGACACTACAACTGCAGGGCCCCTGCATCACCCCTATCCAGCAGGAAGTAGCTAGAGCAGTCATTGGCCAAATTCCCAACAGCAGTTTTGGTGTCCTGTTTAGATGGGGGATTGAGAGATGAAAGCATGCTAGCAGCCCTCGCAGCCCTTGCTTGCTTTTGGTGCCTCTTCAGCCTTTGTGCCCACCCTGGCTGCTCTTGAGGAGCCCTTCAGCCCACTGCTGCACTGTGGGAGCTCCTTTCTGGGCTGGCTAAGGCTGGAGCCAGATCCCTCAGCTTGGGGGGAGGTGTGGAGGGAGAGGCACAGCCAGGAACCAGGGCTGTGTGCGGTGCTTGCAGGCCAGCATGAGTTCCAGGTGGATGTGGGCTCAGCGGGCCCCACACTCAGAGTGGCCGACTGGCCCACAAGCCCCGGGCAGTGAGGGGCTTAGCACCTGGGCCAGCAGCTGCTGTGCTCGATTTCTCGCCAGGCCTTAGCTGCCTCTTTGCAGGAGCAGGGCTCAGGACCTGCAGCTCACCATGCCTGAGCCTCCCCCTTCCCCACCGTGGGCTCCTGCACAGCCCAAGCCTCCCTGACAAACACCGCTCCCTGCTCCATGGCGCCCAGTCCCATCGGCCACCCAAGGGCTGAGGAGTGAGGGTGCACAGCGTGGGACTGCCAGGCAGCTCCACCTGCAGCCCCAGTGCGGGATCCACTGGGTGAAGCCAGCTGGGCTCCTGAGTCTGGTGGGGACTTGGAGAACCTTTATGTCTAGCTAAGGGATTGTAAATACACCAATCAGCATGCTGTGTCCAGCTCAAGGTTTGTAAACACACCAATCAGCACCCTGTGTCTAGCTCAGGGTTTATGAATGCACCAATGAGCACTCTGTATCTAGTTAGTCTGGTGGGGACTTGGAGAATCTTTATGTCTAGCTAAAGGATTGTGAATGCACCAATCAGCACTCTGTATCTAGCTCAAGGTTTGTAAATGCACCAATCAGCACTCTTTGTCTAGCTCAGGGTTTGTAAATACACCAATCAACACTCTGTATCTAGCAAATCTAGAGGGGACATGGAAAACTTCAGTGTCTAGTTCAGGGATTGTAAACACACCAATCAGCAACCTGTCAAAATGGACCAATCACCTCTCTGTAAAACAGACCAATCGGCTCTCTGTAAAATGGACCAATCAGCATGATGTGGGTGGGGCCAGATAAGAGAATAAAAGCAGGCTGCCTGAGCCAGCAGTGGCAACCTGCTCTTGTCCCTTTCCACACTGTGGAAGCTTTGTTCTTTCACTGTTTGCAATCAATCTTGCTGCTGCTCACTATTTGGGTCTACACTGCCTTTATGAGCTATAACACTCACCGCAAAGGTCTGCAGGTTCATTCCTGAAGCCAGCGAGACCACAAATCCACTGGGAGGAATGAACAACTCCAGACATGCTGCCTTAAGAGCTGTAACACTCACCACGAAGATCTGCAGCTTCACTCCTGAGCCAGCAAGACCACGAACTCAACAGAAGGAAGAAACTCTGAACACATCCTAACATCAGAAGGAAAAAACTCCAGACATGCCACCTTTAAGGACTGTAACACTCGCCGCAAGGGTCCACAGCTTCATTCTTGAAGTCAGTGAGACCAAGAACCCACCAATTCCGGACACAACTGGACATATCACTATCTTCTTTTTTTTATAGTTTTGGTATATATGTGTGTATATCTAAACAATATCTTGTTTAGTTATACATAGATTCTGTAGTCTAGATTAATATTGTTCTAACACATTGCTCTCTAACTTCTTTCATTCAATACCTATGTGTAATCCATCCATATTAATATCAACAGTGGTTCCTTAATTTGCACTAACTGTACATATATATGTATATATACAGTGTATATATACACACATATGTGTAATTATGTAATTCATGATATAAAATTAAAAATTATACATACAGTTAGTGCAATTAATTTATTTTGTGAAACTAACTATATATTCACATATATATACACACATGCTAATATATATTTACATGATATATTGTCTTATAATAAAACATTTATACATACTCTTTTTCAAATGGTTACTTGGGTAGCTTTCAGCTTTTTTACTTTTTTTCAATAGTGTGTGATATAGTTTGGCTGTGTCCCCAGTAAAATCTCAACTTGAATCGTATCTCCCAGAATTCCCATGTGTTATGGGATGGAAGTAGGAGGAGGTAATTGAATCATGGGGGCTAGTCTTCCCTGTGCTATTCTCATGATAGTGAATAAGTTTCCTGAGATCTAATGGGTTTATCAGGGGTTTACACTTTAGCTTCTTCCATATTTTTTCTTGCTACCTCCATGTAAAAAGTGCCTTTCACCTCCTGCCATAATTCTGAGACCTCCCCAGCCATGTGGAAGTGTAAATCCAATTAAACCTCCTTTTCTTCCCAGTCATGGGTATGTCTTTATCAGCAGCGTAAAAATGGACTAATACAATACATTGGTACCTTGAGTAGGGTGTTGCTGAAATGATAACTGAAAATGTGAAAAGAACTTTGGTACTGTGTAACAGGCAGAGGTTGGAACAATTTGGAGAGCTCAGAAGAAGATAGAAAAATGTGAGAAAGTTTGGAACCTCCTAAAGGCTTGTTGAATGGCTTTGACCAAAATGATGAAAGTGATATGGACAATGGACAATGAGGTCCAGGCTGAGGTGGTCTCAGATGGAGAGGAGGAACTTGAAGCAGCTGGAGCAAAGGTGACTTTGTTATGTATTAGCAAAGAGACTGGCAGAATTTTGCCCCTGCCCTAGAAACTGGTAGCATTTTGCCACATATCCTAGAGATGTGTGGAACTTTGAACTTAAGAAAGATGATTTAGGCTGGGCACAGTGGCTCACACCTGTAATTCCAGCACGTTGGTAGGCCGAGGCAGGTGGATCACAAGGTCAGGAGATTGAGACCATCCTGGCTAACACAGTGAAAACTCGTCTCTACTAAAAACACAAAAAATTAGCTGGGTGTGGTGGCAGGAGCCTGTAGTCCCAGCTACTTGGGAGGCTGAGTGAGGCAGGAGAATGGTGTGAACCTGGGAAGCGGAGCTTGCAGTGAGCTGAGATCACACCACTGCACTCCAGGCTGGGTGACACAGTGAGATTCTGTCTAAAAAAAAAAATAAAAAATAAAAAAATGATTTAGGGTATCTGGAGTAAAAAATTTCTGAGCAGCAAAGCATTCGAGAGGTGACTTGGGTGCAGTTAAAGGCATTCAGTTTTGAAAGGGAAACAGCATAAAAGTTCAGAAAATTTACAGCCTGATAATGCAGTAGAAAAGAAAAACCCATTTTTTTGAGGGGAAATTCAATCTAGCTGCAGAAATTTTCATAACTACCAAGGATACTAATGTTAATTCCAAAGACCATGGGGAAATTGTTGCCAGGTCATGTCAGACACCTTCACAACAGCCCCTTCCATCACAAGCCAAGAGGCCCATGAGGAAAAAGTGGCTGTGTGGGCCAGGCCTAGGGTCCCCATACTGCATGCAGTCTAGGGAATTGGTGCCCTGTATCCCAGCCACTCCAGGTGTGGCTGAAAGAGACCAACATAGCACTCAAGCTGTGGCTTCAGAGGGTGAAAGCCCCAAGCCTTGACAGTTTCCATGTGGTGTTGAGCCTGTGAGTGTACAGAAGTCAAGAATTAAGGTTTGAGAACCTCCACCTACATTTCTGAAGATGTATGGAAATGCTTGGATGCCCAGGCAAAGGTTTGCTGCAGGGGCAGGACCCTCATGGAGAACCTCTGATAAGTCAGAATGGAAGGAAAATGTGGGGTTAGAGCCCCCACACAGAGTCCCTACTGGGGCGCTGCTAGTGGACCTGTGAGAAGAGGGCCACCGTCTTCCAGACTCCAGAATTGTAGATCCACTGACAGCTTGCACTGTGCACCTGGAAAAGCCTCAAACACTCAATACCAGTCCATGAAAGCTGCCAGGATGGAGGCTATGCACTGTAAAGCCACAGGGGTGGTGCTGCCTAAGACCATGTGAACCCACTTCATGCATCAGCATTACCTGGATATGAAATCTGGAGTCAAAGGGGATCATTTTGGAGTTTTAAAATTTGTCTGCCCCACTGGATTTCAGACTTGCATGGGCCCTTGTGACCTCTTTGTTATGGCCAGTTTCTCCCATTTGGAACAGTTGTATTTACCTAATACCCATACTCCCATTTTATCTAGGAAGTAACTAACTTGCTTTTGGTTTTACAGGCTCATAGGCAGAAGGCACTTGCCTTAGCTCAGATGAGACTTTGGACTGTGGACTTTTGGTTTAATGCTGAAATGAGTTAAAACTTTAGGGGACTGTTGGGAAGGCATGATTGGTATTGAAATGTGACAACATGAGATTTTGAGGGGCCATGGGCAGAATGATATAGTTTGGCTGTGTCTCCACTTAAATCTTAACTTGAATTGTATCTCCCAGAATTCCCACGTGTTGTGGGAGGGCCCCAGGGGGAGGTAACAGAATCATGGGGGCTGGTCTTCCCTGTGCTAGTCTCATAATAGTGAATAAGAGACTGGCAGCATTTGCCCCTGCCCTAGAGACTGGTAGCATTTTTGTGGAACTTTAATCTGATGGGTTTATCAGGGGTTTCCACCTTTGCTTCTTCCTCATTTTCTCTTGCTGCCACCATGTAAAAAGTGCATTTCACCTCCTGCAGTAATTCTGAGACCTCCCCAGCCATGTGGAACTGTAACTCCAATTAAACCTCCTTTTCTTTCCAGTCTTGGGTATGTCTTTATTAGCAGATTTGAAAGCAGACTAATACAATGTGCTATTATAAAGAATGGGTCTGTAAAATTCTTGTACATGTCCCCTTTAGGCATGTATTTAAGAGTTTCTCGGCTGGGTGCAGTGGCTCATGCCTGTAATCCCAGCACTTTGGGAGGCTGAGACGGATGGATCACCAGGTCAGGAGATTGAGACCATCCTGGCTAATGCAGTGAAACCCCGTCTCTATTAAAAAAATTAAAAAATTAGTCAGGCATGGTGGTGGGCACCTGTAGTAGCAGCTACTCAGGAGACTGAGGCAAGAGAATGGCTTGAACCAGGGAGGCAGAGTTTGCAGTGATCCAAGATCTCACCACTGTACTCCAGCCTGGGTGAGAGAGCGAGACTCCGTCTCCAAAAAAAAAAAAAAAGAATTTCTCTAAGAGGTTTTAAATGGGTGGTTAGGAAGGAAATTGCTTGATCACAGAGCATAAGCAATGTGAATTCTTGGATTACACTACATTTGTTTCTAAGGTGGTTGTACCAACTTATGTTTCCACCAGAAGCATTTGAAAATTTTCATTCCTCTACATCTTGAATAGCACCAGGTATTATTATATTCTAATATTTTCTAATCTTATAGATGTGAAATAAGCTTTTGCCTTGTGTTTTTCATCAGCATTTCCCTGATGAATAGTAATATTGAACATCTTATTGGTCCATTCCTGACCATTCCTGTATTCTCCCTCCTGGCAAGAATGTTTTTATTTTTACTCTTCTGTCTCTCAGCCCTGTGGTCTCTGTCATTTGTTAAGTCTATGTGTGGGTCAGTCCTTGAGGACTCCGTTGGGTTAATTAGGACATGTGTCTACTCTTCTCCCAATCGCACTGAGCCTTGACTACTGTAGTTTGAGCTAGTCCATAACCACACTGATATGGGAGTATTTTGGTTAATCTTAGGTCTTTATACTTACATATACGTTTTAAAATATCTCATCAAGTTCTATGAAAAAAAAAACATTTTTAGCCCCCATTAATCCTCCTCTACTTCAGATATTCCTTTCAAGATTATTTTCCTGTTCTCCTAAATACCTTCTTTAGGGATTTTTTGGGGGGAGGTGGACTTCTTTTTATGACAAATTTTCAACATTCTGTGATTTAAAAAAAAGTACTTATTTTCTAGGCCGGGTGCGGTGGCTCATGCCTGTAATCCCAGCACTTTGGGAGGCCAAGGCGGGTGGATCACGAGGTTAGGAAATTGAGACCATCCTAGCTAACAGGGTGAAACCCCGTCTCTACTAAAAATACAAAAAATTAGCCGGGTGTTGTGGCAGGCGCCTGCAGTCCCAGCTACTCAGGAGGCTGAGGCAGGAGAATGGTGTGAACCCGGAAGGTGGAGCTTGCAGTGAGCCAAGATAGCACCACTGCAGTCCAGCCTGGGTGACAGAGTGAGACCCCATCTTGAAAAAGTGTTTGTGGGTATAGTTACGGGTTGTAGTTCTTTTCTCTTGGCAACATGAAGTTTTTTTTTTTTTCCTACTCTCCTCTGGCTACATTTCACGCTGTTGGGAAGTCATCTCCCAGTCTCCATGTGACACCTTGGTGGATAATCGATGTGTGGGTGTGTGTATATGTTGCTGCCACAGACATTATTTCATTCTTTCTTATGCCTATATAGTATTCCATTGTGTGTGTGTGCATGTGTGTGTGTGTGTGTGTGTATGTGTATAACATTGTCTTTATCATACCATTTGTTGGTGGACACTTAGGTTGATTCCATAATACTGCTATTGTTAATAGTGCTGCAATAAATATATGAATACATATATCTTTTCTGTAAAATATTTTGTTTTCCTTTGAGTGGATACCCAGCAATGGGATTGCTGGATCAAATGGTAGTTAGTCTCTAAGAAATATTCGTACTACTTGGGAGGCTGAGGCAATGAGAATCACTTGAACCCAGGAGGTGGAGGTTGCAGTGAGCTGAGATAGCACCACTGCACTCCAGCCTGGGCACAAAGAGGGATTTCATTTCAAAAAAATTTTTTTCATACTATTTTCCATAGAGGTTTTACTAATTTACGTTCCCACCAGCAGTGTATAAAAGATTGCTTTTCCTTGCATACTCAGCAGAATCTGTTGTTTCTTGACTTTTTATCAGTAGCCAATCTGACTGGTATAAGTTGTTATCTCACTGTGGTTTTATTTTGCATTTCTCTGATGATTAGTGATAAGAAGCATTTTTTCATATGTTTGTTGGCTGCTTGTATGCCTTCTTTTGAGACATGTCTGTTTGTGTTCTTTGACAATACAATGTTGGTGGGAATGTAGATATTAAGTTGTTGTGAAGATGAGTACATTTCCACAAGCTACATAGACATGAAATAGGCAGACACATAATAAGATTCAACAGATGGCAATTACTGTTGGATAAATGGTCAGCACCCAGTGGATTAGTGATAAAAGAAAAATGCACAACCATGTGTCAGCGAACTACAACCCGTGTGCCAAATCTGGCCTACTGCTTGTTTATGTAAATAAAGGAAACAGCCACATTCATTTATCTGTGTACCATTGGGAACTGCTTTTTCACTACAAAAGCAGAGTTGGATAGTTGCTGCAGAAATCATATGGCCCACTCAGCCAAAAATATTTACTTTCTGTATCTTTTCAGAAATGTCAGGTGAGCTCTGTTCTACAGCCATATCCTAGACTAATATGGAAAGACAAAGGGGATATCTGTGATTTAGTTGCCACATGAATGTGTGGACTTCCTTAACGTTGAAGGGAGGTGAAATGTGGTGGAAAGATCAGATGCAGAACTAAGAGGCTAGGACATCAGAGTTTCACAACGCCCAGGTCTCATGTTTGGTCAAACTTGATAAGTTCCTTATACAAAACGAAGATCAGTACAGAGTATCTTTATATAATTGCCCTGAAATATGATATATGGATTTATAATAGGAGAGAAAAAATTCCATCTTTAGTTATGTGCTCCTTCCCGTAGAAGTAAAAATCAAGAAATTGCCATCAACCTTATCCTTCCAGATGGCACGCTTCTTCGTAATGGTTCTCTTAACAAACACAATTCCATAGTTTTCATACTCTAAAAGACAGGAGCTCTTTAAGAGAGCCACCAGCAGGCTATAACAGTAAAGAGAACAAAAACAGATTTCTTGAAAGAACTGTAAGTAAAATATGGCACAACTTAAATGGTGTGGAAGCAAAAGCAATAACCAGAAACAAGAAAATTCATGGTAAGGGACCTGCCTTTGGGCACATCTCTCCCACAGGTGGCTGGATGCCTACTAGGTCAGAGGCATCCTCCCTGTGCTCACATCTTGTGGCCAAGGAAAGAATGGCAAGTAGTGCCAAACCTAATGGTGGATAAGATACAGACATATGTAGAAAAAAACTGGCAGAAGGGGCTAAGTTCTTCCCTGCTTTGTGGACTCAAATCTGTCTACAAGAGGAAGCCCAACGATTAGCCAATTTGTATGAACTATGCAAGCCAATTTAGATGTGATGTTTTCTTTCTCTCTTTCTTCTCTTCCTTCCTTTTCCCACACTGTCCTACTTTCTCTTTGTTTCTTTAACCCTTCCTTCCTCCCTCCCTCTCTTCCTTCCTTCCTTTCTTCCTTCCTTCTTTCTTTCTTTCCTTCTTTCCTTTATTTCTACCTTCCTTCCTTACTTCCTTCATACTCTTTTTCTTTCTTTCCTCCTTCCTTTAATTCTTCTTTTCTTCCTTTTTTCTTTCTTTTCTTCTTTACTTCTTTCCAAACCTCCTTCCTTCCATCTTCTTTCCTTTCCTTCCTTCATCTTTCCTTCCTTTATTCCTTACTTCTGTTTTCTTTTTTCTTTCCCCCTTCCTTTTTTCTTCTTTCTTACCTTCCTTTTTTTGTTCTCTGTTTCCTTCTTTACCATCAAACTCCATCTCTCTTTTTTAGTGAAACATCATTGCAATTTTCTTTTGGAGAAGCACACCTCCTATATTGTGTGTAGTACTAGTGAGGATGTGACTACAAATGCCCTTTCCACCTCATGTCAAGGAAAGAGAGATGAATGACCAACACTAGGTTAGTTGGACATTAAATTAGAGCTCTGACTCCTGTTTTGGCTAAGGGCAGGTGGCTGGTTCTCGCTCACTCCAGCAGCAGTATGGACGTAGCAGGGAAATTACTTTTTCCCACTGCATGGAGTCCCTGGAGCCTCTGGGTGCCTTTTCAGTTCAGTCTTGAATTTTTAGTTCTTCCTTGAATTTCATACATTATGCCCATTTCCTTTGAATCATTTCTTTTTTCTCTTAGGTCAGTTCTGAATAGTTTTATTGCACACAACCAGTGATCCCTAACTGATACACTTAGGCACCAAAGTGCACTGCTTTGCTCTTGATCCAGCAATTCTGTGGTCTCTAAAATCAGACTTTATAGGTAGATGGTGGCTGTTACACTCTGAATTGTGCCCTCTACAATTCATATGTTGAAGCCCTAAATGCCAGTATATCAGAATGTGGCTGTGTTTGGAGTTAGGCTCTTTAAAGTGATGACAAAGTGAGGTCTTTAGGCTGGGCCCTGATCTAATAGGACTAGTTTCTTTATAAGAAGAGATTAGGATGGAGATATATCCAGAGGGATGATCATGTGAAAACAGAGAGAAGACAGCATCTACAAGCCAAGGAGAGAGGCCTCAGGAGAAATGAACTCTATGAATAGCTTTCCCTTGGACTTTTCACCTCTAGAATGATAAGAAAATAAATGTGTATTTGTTAAGCTAGTGAGACAGTGGTACTTTGTTATGGCAGCCCTAGAAAACAAATACAGTAGCCATTCTCTTTATCTGGCACAGAAGCAACTTTATTAATATATTAAGATAGGAATGACCTTGTGATAAATGCTCAAAAGGTGATGTTACTTTACTGCTTTATTAATAGTCCTACCTTTACTATTGTTGATGAGCCTATATATTATAGTGCATTGGCATAAGATTGAATATATGGATACCATATTAATGCAGATGCAGAAAGTTTCAAGGCTATTGAGAACTCTATCCTAAAATGAAAATAATTCCTAATGAGGCTGATATGTTCACCTTTAAAAACTTGTCCCTTTTCCTTAAAATTTTTGTAATTTTTTTTTTTTTTTTGAGATGGAGCCTCACTCCATCATCCAGGCTGGAGTGCAGTAACAAATCTTGGGAAATTTTGTAATTTTTAAAATGCAAATTCTCTGGGAAATGGTACATCTTATCCTGACTACACTAGAAAGCACAACCTGAGGAAAGGACTATGTTTAGATGCTTCATGTGGAAGGTGCATCCCAGAGCAGAAAGGCTGAGAGAAAAAGGAAGTGACATTGAGGAGGATGAAAGATGATATAATATTTAGTGCACTGGCCTCTGCTACACAACAAATCATATAAGAAGATATATAGCAGATCAACAGGTGCATTCACTCAGCCAGGTGAGTAGTCTGCAGACAGACAGAACAAAGAATCCATTGGAAGGTTGCACTGTAGTGAGGAAAGGGGAAGGAATTTATTGGTTCAGTTCCCTTCTGCCTTCTGTCTTCCATTGGTGGCAACTTACCTCATGATACAGAACTCCCTTTGTTATTCAGCCCCTTTGACAACTTGAGAAGCCAGGAGGATCCAAGGACTCAAGGAGATGAAATCTCATGATCCTATTTCCATGAGCAATTTTTCAGCCTCTGCAGTCATTGAAGTAGAAGAAGTTGATGGTTCAGGAGACACTGAAGTCACAAGAACCCAAAAAGGCACACAAGATCTGAGAGTTATGCAGCAGTATTTAAACCAGTTATTTATATTTTGGATGTGAATATGATTGATTAAAATATTTTGCAGTAAAGCATAAGAGTCAGGCTTAGAAACATTGCCCATCACTTTTGAGCATATTCCATTACCCAGAACCTTTGTACACATTACACAGCCTCGGTGGCTTGCTGTCTGGTTGGAAAACCAACAGAGTCTGGAGAACCTATAACTGCCTTTCTGCAACATGAAAATCACACTGATAGTTATGCTTCTTACCTCTGTACAGTGTTGCACATAATTTGAATTGCATAGAAAAGAGTTCACAATTGTGGGGTATATTATAAGATGTCTAATAACACAGGTAATATTATTTCATATTTATGTGAAATATGTCCAGTTTATACGATCTTATCTAAAAGAGCTTCAATGGCATTAGAAAAGGTTTAAAGGAGACTTCTAAAGATCATCAAACGGATACAATACAGGCAGGTAGATAAAAGGAATTGGAGTTGATTAGCCCAGATTAGACAATGACTAGGCAAGAGGGCTTTTTGGCTCAGGATCATTTGAGCACCTACATTTTATGTTCCTCTTTTCCTTTAATTTTCATTTCCAATAAAAATAGAATGAATAACTAAAGATTAATTTATTTTGGCCGTGCATGGTGGCTCATGCCTGTCATCCCAGCACTTTGGGAGGCCAAAGCGGATGGGTCATGAGGTCATGAGTTCGAGAACATCCTGGCTAACATGGTGAAACCCCGTCCCTACTAAAAATAGAAAAAAATTAGCTAGGTGTGGTGGCGCACGCCTGTAGTCCCAGTCACTCAGGAGACTGAGGCAGGAGAATGGTGTGAACCCAGGAGGCAGAGCTTGCATTGAGCCCGAGATAGCACCACTGCACACCAGCCTGTGAAACAGAGCAAGACTCCATCTCAAAAATAAATAAATAAATAAATAAATTTATTTCTGGAAATAGAGCATTAGTGCTTCTCACATGCAAAATATAGAAAAGAAAGAGGGAAAGGGCCACTTAAACCATAGTTCACACTGCAGTTAAAAAAGAAACTCACCCTAGACATACCCCTTTTGAAGCCTCATCCAAGATATGAAGTTTAGACTCCAGATGAGACTGAGAGTAGAAAATGCAGGGAAGAAAAAATGCTCATGTGGCATCCTCTGTGAAGTGAGCAAGAGACAAGCATCATCAGGGTGTCACCCTAGCCCTGAAGTGCATGCACACCTGGTGTGTACGTCAGGAGGCTGCCAAAGTCCTGGAAATGGTGCATTGTTGTGCAGGCTCCTCAGAAGGTGTGGTGTTCATTACTGAGGGCACTCTACGTTCCATCCAACTACCAGCAGCCACTCCAAACAAACAAATAAACAAACAGTTCTTCACCAAAGAGGCTACAGCTGCCCTAAAATGGATAGCCTCTTTCTTTTTACTCCCCAGGACCCATGGCATTATCCATAGGAAGAAGCGAAGTTGCAGGAAACCTAACCTGTCTTTTGTTTGCTTGTATACATTTCCTTCATCTGAACACTATGTTTCTCAACCCAGGAGCCAAATAAGTTTTGCATCCATGTATTTCGACTCCAAAAACATTCAAAGACAAAACAAAACAAAACATTAACCTTATTCCATAGTGATAAGCAGATAAGAACATGACTCTGCAGATTCATTTAAAGATCCATCAGAAATATCCTCAAGTGTATTGTCAACAGGATTTGAGAGATTATGCAACAAGAGTAATCATGGAAAGAGAACAACATAGATCAAGAATATGTGAGATTAAATGGAAATGGTTTCTGAATATTTAAAATTACAATTACAGAAAAAAGGTGTGGATTGGAGGCTGAGAAATGTGAGTTGGATAATGAAATGTTGACTACCCTATAATTCAGATTTTTGAAAAATAAAGAGAATAAATGGATGAAGAAAAAGACATGTTATAGATGGAACACTGGAAACACAACATGATTATAAGAAGGCAAAGGAAAGCCACCAGAAGCAGAATAAACCAGAGTCCTCTGAGAAAGGGATTTCAGATTTTATGATCAACCAGGCAAAATTAAAGATATCTATGTATCCTGGTAATTTTTTAAAAAATCATCATTAAAGAAAAGAAATCCTATAATTTCCCTGGCAGAATAAAAGGATCACATGAAGATTGCACAAAGTAGGAAAAATAATCAAATGGCTCCTTTTAAATAGTAAATTCCAGAGTATAATATAGCAATCAATAGAATTATGAGAACCAATGATTGTGATATAGATTCAATACTCATTTAAGATACTCATTTATAGAGGTGATAAAACCATTCTTACAAAGGAAGGTAGTTATCAAGTTTAACAGCCTCATTTTTGTCCTGATGGCTACTTAAAGAATCTCTGCAACTTCTGGATATTCATGGTTGATCCAACAACTCATTTTTTCAATCTTAGACTTCAGTGATAAGGTGGGAATAAAGAGGATATTGTTCCATAGAGACTAAGACACAAAGATAAGTCAATAGCTGGTGAGGGGTGAATATTAATATTTTTTGAAGCTAGAAAGAATGTGGGTATTTTGTAACTCACAGAATAGACTGAAGCTGAAAGTCTTATCCTAAAGCAGCATTAGGATTTGTGCCTAAATTTGAGCCCCCAAAGCCTCAAAATTTAGACACAAAGATACCTCTCTAAGCAAGGGTACTTAGCTGGACTAATAGTAAGATTGATCAAATGTCTGGCTACAAAGTAGGTAGATATCTGAATCATCTGATCCACTCTGTGATTCTGGTGTAAATCCAGGAAGTTTGCCTTCTGGACACTCAAAACCAAATAGTCTGGATTCAAGATGGCAATACGATACTATGTGACACGACACGATACGACACAACACGACACGACACGACATGACACAATACGATACAATAACTGAAACTCTACATTTTAAAAATGGTGAGTGCAATTGTGCATATATTTGATCAGCTGGAGTTGTCTTAGGGCTCATTGATGTTCTTTTCTTTATTAGATCCCATTTTTCTCTTTATGTTTCATTTTGCATAGTTTTCTATTGCTATATCATTAAACTCACTGAACTTTTCTTCTGTTATGTTTCTAATTGGCTATTATTTCTATCTAGTGTATTTTCATCTCAGGCACTACAGTTTCCATCTCTGTAAATTTTATTGGGTTGCCTTTATATCTTCTAAGTCCCTGCTTTTTGAGCATATGAAATACATGTATAATAACTATGTTTAATGTCTTTTTCTATGAATTCTAACTTGTATGTCAGTTAGTTTCTATGTGTTAGTTTCCATTGATTGATTATTCTATCATTTTGCTACTCTTTCTGGAAAGTTTCTTCTGATCTTGCATGTGAATATAAAAAAATGATAAAACTGACTTAAAGCTATTATCACCATCATTATTATTAATGTAACATTATTTCAGTTATCAATATTGAAATAATTATTTCCATGATGTAAGTAATAGAACAGGAAAATATTTGCTGCCATAACATATATTTAATTTGTTAGAAACTTCCATTTCTACTCTCATTTTCCCTTTAGCACCCGAGAAGGCATGTAACAGCTGAAAAATAACTTATGATTTAATTCTCACATGATTATTTCTTTGAGAAGGATCTATTTACTTGGATATAACATAGTGACCCCTTCCATTCATTCCCTCTTGTCTGAGTAAGAATTCTTGTCTTTTAACATCCTCAAAGTTTTATTTGATTCACAGAACAACTTGCTAATATTAAATAATTTTAGCTCAGGACACAGATCTTTAAAATAAATTTAATTTTATCTTGCAATAAAGAATATTTGAACATTGTAATTGAAGATTATTAGAATTTATAAAGCCAGAAGATATATGTTTAAATTACCCAAAAAGTATCAAAAGTATTTTGTATCTTTTATATACTTTAAGAGCAAAAGCTCATTCAGATTTTTTTTTGCAATGACCAATTTCATTTATTTTGATAAACTCTATGAATGGATTCTACCTTATATCAATGTTTGTATATATGAAAAAACACCCTACTGGTATTTTACCCAGTCTCACATCTCAGCTTACATCCTGCAATGTTTTCTTTTTCTGAGCTCCTTCAGTGACAGTGTGTGTGGGTTTGTGTGTATGAGAGACAGTACTGAGGGCATGCCTTTTCATGTCCCAGAACTACCCACTCATTCTTTTATCCTCTGCCCTCAGGGGAACACCAGTTTCTGCTGACCTCTTGTGGCTTGCTTGTTCTGGAAGCTGTTTATTATGTTTCCAGTCTCCTGCCAGCCTTTTTCATTTAATCTCCACTTCCTGGATCATTTTCTTCCTACCTCATACTTTATTTTTCTAATCCTCCTCTTGTAGCACTGACAATTTTGATTTATAACATGTCTTGTATGGTCTTCTCTTTTCCTGGAACTGGTAATGTATTTTCTTTTTCACCCCTATGACCCATGTCTCTGCATCTAGCTTGTTTATTTCTCAGTGCCAAATACAGCCATCAAATCCCTTGTAATTTAGGCTCTGAGGCTTTTCACTTCTATTCTTTACCACAACTCCATTTTTTGTATTTCATATTTTGTTCTTAAAACTGCATGATTCCCCAGCCCTACTGAGCACCAACCCTGTACACTTCCTCCCCACAACCCCACTCAAATTTGCTTCTCTAGGATTCTATTACATTAGTACATTCATTTGGAGGGTTTTCTTTAGTTCCCTTTCCAACTTTAACTATGTCTGCCTTGCTGCTTTCTTCTGTTCAGTTTCATCTCCATAGACTGATTTTCAGTTCCAAGTGCTCCAGATGGGGCCATACACCTGCACTTTGATGGTGGAAATGTGAAAATATGAAGTTTGTAGCCCTGAGAATCAGGATATCAAAATCTAAAATGTGTTTTGTTGTAAAATGAAACAGTCTTCTTTCTGCACCAACCCATTCCTTGCTTGTAAATTCTTTACAGATCTGGACTAGAGATCCTCTTTTCTTTCCTTTCCTATTTCTCTGAAGTGATGATGTAAATAGGCCTTGTTACACACGGGAGAGTAACCTGTTATTTCTCCTAGACAGATCCCCAGGATTTGCTCCCATTTTAGTCTAATTTTGTCCCAGTTCATGCCCACTCCTTGGTTCCCATCCCATTCTCATATCTGGATACACTACCACTACTGTGTAGACCAGCTCCTTGCAAACGTCATCAAACTCAAATGCTAAATATGAAGGTAAATAAAACACTGCTTCTCAAAACTCTTCTAGTACCCACTAAAATCATTTTGAAAAACAATATCCTTCTTTTCTTATTTTTAAGTTAGCAGCTAAAATTTTTCACATGCTTAACACTAGCAAAAGACATAATTACCTGCACTCTCTCTCTCTGTATCTCTCTCTCTCTCTCTATATATATATATACACATAAAATATACATATTTATAAATATGTATTGAAATATATTATATATACTTAAATCAAATATCATTTATTAATGTTATTGATAAAAATCAAATATAAGTACAAATATATATATTTAAGTAAAAATATTGAACCTGATGATTCAGATTATTCTGTTTATGAAATCCTAACTGAACTCACATATATCCCTTAGGAGATTTGCTCTTAAGGTTTAGTGCCAATTCCAAACTCCATGGGTCTACAAATAGTTGCTGAATTATTATTTTAATTTTGTAAGTGTAGCTAACAATGCATTTTTTAAAAAAATATGATTCAAAATCCACAGTTGATACTAACATTCACTCTTGGTGGTGTAAATTCTATGGGTTTTGACTAATGTATAATGATACATAGACATCATAATAGTGTCAGACAGAGTAGTTTCACTGCCCTAAACATTCTCTGTGCTCCACCTATTCATCCACTCATCTCTCTCCCCAAACTCCTAGTAACCACTGAACTTTTTATTGTTTCCATAGCTTTGCTTTTTCCAGAATGTCATCTAGCTGGTATCATAGTCTGTAGTCTATTCAGACTACCTTCTTTCACTTAGTAATATGTGTTTAATATTCCTGCATGTCTTTCATGGCTTGATAACTCATTTCTTTTGAGCACTGAATAATATTCCATTGTATTCATTCACCTACTAAATGACATCTTGGCTGTTCTTTAAGTTTCAGTGATTATGAATAAAGCTGTAATAAATATTTGTGGCAGATTTTTATATAACTTTTATACTTATTTGGATAAATACCAACAAATATGTTTGCTCGATCACATGGTAAAATTGGATTTAGTTTTACAAGGAAATGGCTAACCTTCGAAAATGGCTATATAATTTTGCGTTCCATTTGATGTTTTGTACACTTTTGTCTTCAGGACCTCCAAGGGCATCTGGCACACAGAGGATATTAATCAATATTTGTTTATTACTAAATGACAAGAAGCACCTAGGCAGTGTCTTTAAAATGTGAATTTCCCAGCTAAATCCCTAGAGATTCTGATTCAGTAGGTCTGGAGTGGGTCCTTGGGATCTGCCTGTTCGGTCAGCACCCAGGGAATGCTAATGGGCATGGTCTGGAAACCACACTTTGAGAAACACTGGAGCTCATTCTGGCAAACTTCCCTGTGTGGCCATTTCAGAGAGGGTGGTCTTGGCCTCTTCTGAAAAATGGCAGTTCTTAATTCTTACTATTTCTGTGTCCCTGTGCTCTACATGGCTACTAGATCATCTTTAAAATAAACAAGGCTTCCATAATGGGAGGTGAAATGGCCTTTTATTCCAAAATAGATTTAGTTGAATGAAGCTCAATAAATGTAAATGTAAATTCAGAACAGAGAACATTGGATAAGTATTCAAAACAATGAGATTGGCAGGGTATTATATTGTTCAAGCATAACGAAGACACTTAAACTCTACAGGGATATTCAAATACCTTCCTGCAACAAACGAAAAACTTGTATAGTTAAAAGCCACAGGAAGACTATCCTAAAACAAGTCAGTCTCTTATATAACCACAGTGCAATGATCAAAATCAGGAACTTAACATTGATACAATGCTAGGATGTAATCTAGGGACCAACTCAGATGCTCCCAATTGTGAGACTGTCCAAAATCATGGTTCAGTTGTCCTGTTTATTGAGTCTCTTTTAATCCAGGGCAGTTCCTTAGTCTTGTTATGGCATGAGTACTTTGCAATTTTTGTGTAGGATATCTTAAATTAGGGCTTTTCTGATGTCACTTTATGATTAATTTCAAGTTACAACCTTCCTAAAAATGCTTCAGTTTAAAAGCAATCTATTTATCATTTAGCTCAAGGTGGATGGCTCAAGGTGGTGGAAACTGGATGCCTAAAAAGTGTTGGAAAAGTTTCCAGATTAAATTCTGATTTTCTATAAGATGAAATATTTTGGTGAGAAATAAAAGAATTCTGTAGGGTAGGGGTGTTTCTTCAAATTACCAGTATTGTAAACTGAGAGCATACCATCTGACATAATTGAATCTATCTTTTTTGTTTTTTTAACTTTCATCCTCTCCTTTTTTGCTTTCATTTTCCTCTTGTAACTAAGTTATTGGGGAAACCAAGTGATTTCTCCTACAGAGTGTCCATAGTGTAGAATTTATAGAATGCTTGTTCCTGCTGTAGTTTTTAAATGAAATTCCCTGCAATAGAAAAAATAATACTCCGGTGATAGATACATAACTCCTGTTCCCAGTTCTAGCAGTTACTTAAGCAAATGTTTTCTAAGCCTTTAGCAAAAATTAAGAGCTACTTTGTAAAAGTCAGCATGGGTTTTCTAGGTAAACATTTGGCAAGGTTCTTCTCACTTCATTTTCTTGATGCAAGTAAGACTGGTAGTCTTGGCTAAAGTGTTCAGTCATGTTAAATCTGTATTTCAAAAAAAATGATTGGCAAAACGTTTTTATTTTTAAGAGTAGAATGCACCGTCTCTCAGAAAACTCTTCTATGTCAAGAACTTCATGAACACCAACTGGAATTCTCTCATGATCCTACAAATCAGAAGTCAGGAGTCAGGCAGGTTTACATTCAACTCCTAAATTTCCCTCTTTCTAGCTATGATAACACAGGTGTAGAACTAACCTTCTAAATCTCAGTTTCCTTATCTGTAAGACAGTGGTAACTATAAGACCTGCTTTATATAAGGTGTAAAAATAAAATGTTGTGAAAATTAAATGCAGGTAAGTTCTTAATAGCTTTGTGCTATTAGTTGTCAGCATTTCCATGGCACAGATGAGAAGACAAATGGCCTGATAAGCTAACTGTCTGGAGTAAAGTCTCTCAGCTCCAAATTTGGGAACCATCATTATTTCAATAATATCTTGCTGACTCCTTGTGGACAAGCCAAAAGAAAATGCGAGCTGAAAAGCCATACAGTTCTACAGATTTGCTTCAAGTTCAACAACTTTCAAAGGTTCCTTAAAAAAAGTAACCAATGCCAAAGCTAAAGTGTAATTTCTGTAATAGAGTGGGTCTTTATTGCCATCTCATCTGTGTGGAGATGGTGCTAAAATGTAGAGATGTTTTTCAGATGGCAAATGAAAATAAACAACTGCAGATAATGCTATAAGTGGGTTAGCATTTTTTAATTAATAGGTTAAAATAAAAATATAAATTAAAATCATGAGATTTAATTCACAATAAATGAAATTTCTGAACTTGGTCCCATATAGAACAACTTTATAGATCCCAGATAAGTTATTGTTAGATCTTGAGCCTGCTGTGAAATGTAAAACAGGATTTTGGTTTAACTATTTGAATCTCTCCCTGTCTGCATTCAGTGAGTTATTTGATCCATGGAAAGAGAGATGATGGATTCTGCAAGCAGCATATCACAAGCTCAGAGATTCCACAAGCGTGAATGACACTGGGAAACTCTGTTTTGTCACTATGGCATAACATTGAACAAAAACCATGCCCCCTCAGAGTTTGTGCTGTGTTGCAACCAGCTGAAGATAAATCAGAAAATATGACCTGATGCTATTTTATAGAAATCTCCTTGTCCTGGGGATTATTGAGGCAATTCCATGATCATGAAGTAGAACAATGCATACAGCCCATCCAGGAGAGAACCAGAGGACTCCAACTTCTCTATGGGAGCCCCAGAAAGCTGTTTCTGAGTGCTCCTCTCCTTCCTCCCTATCTGGACGTCAAAAGAACCAGTACTAGACCCGATAAGCCTACCTTGGTTGTCACAGGGGTGGTTTGTGTGGTGGCAAATGAGACTGTCCCAGCAATTGAAGGTGACTGTTTATGGAATTACATGGAGATGTTATGGGAGCACATATTCAGCCCCTTCTATAATGGGCCCAATTGTGTCCTCCCAAATTCATATGCTGAGTCTTAACCCTCAGGACCTCAGAATGTGGCTATATTTGGATATGGAACCTCTAAAGAGGTAATTAAGGTACAATGAAGTCATATGGGTGGACCCTAGTCCTATCGAACTGTGGTGTTATCAGAAAAGATTGGGACACAGACACACACAGAAAGACAACCACATGAGGATACAGAGGGAAGACAGCATCTACACCAAGGAGGGAGGCTTCAGGAGGAACCAGTCCTGAGACGCCTTGACCTCAGACTTGCAGCCTCCGGAATGTGAGAGAATTAAATCTTTGTCATTGATGCCCTGGAGCCTATGGTACTTTATTAGTACATCCCTGGCTGATTAACTCAATTTCCTACAAGGCAGTTGGCTTCAAGACAAAATAATTTCATGTTGAAATCCCAACATACTGAGACACACGAGCTGATCTGCTGATAGTTCAATGTGCCAAACAGACAAAAACAGGGAACTGCTGTTGAACCCATGGGGCTAGCAGGGAGGTGAGGATTAGAGGAGTCTGGATTCTGGCCTCTCACCTTCTTTTCCCCACACCTACAGTCCCTGAGGATGTTTTGCAAGACAAAGTGTGGAAGTCACTGAGCTAGCACAAGTATCTGCAAACTAGAGGCCACTGTAAGCCATAATGGCCCTTCATTTTAAGGAAAGCCCATTGCAACCCAGTCTGTTGATTGCAGGGTCCTCTCTGGTTTATGATTTACATTTTGAAAACTTCTTGTAAAATTAGCTTATTACAAGAACATACATGTCTCAAAAATTTTGCAGCATTCTCCAACACAGACAGCATTGCACATTTTCACACACTAGAATTTTCATCATGGAAGGTCCTTGGTGATGGGTGGAACCTCTCTGAGAACCAGTTCCACAATTCTTAGAGCCCAACCAGGTGGGATTTTCTATTCATGAAGCTGTGGCATACCTCATGCAGATCAGTCCAGATGCCTGATCAATTTTTCCTATAAATCATTAAACTTGGATCTGTGTGGCAATGGACTAGATATAGCAGCCTCTTCAGTCATGCTAGGAGACCCTTGGGATAACTGCTGTCCTTTGCTGCTAGGCAAGACAATATTTCGTATATGTACCCTGCCCAGCCCCTGCCACCCTGGCTCACTCATAAATATTCTCACATGGGGTCTATGATATTGTGAATATATACATATATATGATACACAGATATACACAAATACGCATACACATATATGTGTGTGTTTTATGCAGGCTTCATTACATAGGGCTGATTGACAAGTAGAAATGTGATTGGACAACACACACACACACACACACACACACACACACACACACACACACAGGTTTTTGTCCACAGTTCCCAACTTACAACTCCCATTACCCTTATTTTGGTCTTTGGCTATAATGTTGGGACAGTTTAGGTCTCAGAAAACAGAATCTCTCTCTGAATTTCTTCTGTCCTCTTTTCCCCTGCCCAAGGCAAGATTGTAATCTGATTGTGGGTCAAAAGGCCCTCATTCTAGAGAGCATACTTCCCTATACCTTAGAGGAAGAATGCTACCCAGAGAGTCCAAGAAAAGTCTGAATAGACTCCTTCCTGTGTTTAGCTCCTGTATTTTTGGTCCAATTGCATTTGTACACAGTTATCAATCATGTCTATATAATGAAGTCTTCATGTAACCCAAAGAGGACTGGGTTCGAAGAACTTCTGGATGACTGAACATGGTTGGAGGGTGGTGTTCCCAGGGAGAGCATAAAAATTCTGTATTCTTTCCCCCACACTTTGCCCTACATCTTTCTTTATTTTATCCTTTGTAGTAGTCTTTATAATAAACCATCAATGTGTTTCCATGAGTTCTGTGAGCCACTCTAGCAAATTAATGGAACTAAAAGAGCGGGCCATGGGAATGTCAACTTGAAGCTGGTCATTCAGAAGTTCAGGAGTCCTGGAGTTGCTACTGGTGCCTCAGGGTAGAGGGTAGTTTTGGGGACTGAATCATCACCATGTGGGATCTGACACTATATCCAGATAGAGAGTGTCCAAAGTTAATTAGAGGATACACACTTGTTGTCCACTGCTTGGTATGTGATATGATTTGGCTTTGTTGCCACCCAAATCTCATCTTGAATTGTAGCTACCACAATTCCAATGGGTCGTGGGAGGAATCTGGTGTGAGGTAATTGAATCATGGGGCCAGGTTTTCCCATGATATTCTTGTGATAGTGAATAAGTCTCACAAGATGTGGTAGTTTTATAAAGGGAAGTTCCCCTGCACACTCCCTTTTTCCTGCCTCCATGTAAGATGTGCCTTTCTCCTCCTTTGTCCTCTGCCATAATTGTGAGGCCTTCCCAGCCACGTGGGACTGTGGGTCCGTTAAGCTTTTATAAATTACTCAGTCTTAGGTATGTCTTTATTAGCAGTGTGAGAACAGGCTAAGATAGTTTGCATGGGGAGAACTCTACATTTTGTTTGAGAAGTCTTCTCTGTTGTTTGCTGTGGTTTGAAAGCAGAAGGAAAACATGGTTTGAGAGTTTTTGCTTAACAGGGTCCCCTCACTCCTTGATGAGAAGTTACCCACTAAATATTTTTCTATATCAGTCACATGGAAGAAAGTGTGCTATGAGTGCATCCCTTGAAATCCTCCGGAAAATCATCCTGGGATTGCATCCTAACTCTGCTGTCACAATGAATGGGATTTTTATGAAGGAAATGGCAGCCCTGAGTTCATGGCAAAACAACCCATCACCCCAGAAGGACAGAGGAGGTTTACTTCATAATAACTATTCTTAGGTGTGTCAGCTCAGAAAGAGAGGTAGGGAATCATAGGGAGATTACACAGATTGCTTCCTGGCCGTGGCCCTATAATTAGCTTGCAGAAGATTCTCTTCCAGTCTTTGGGGTATAACAGAGAGATCCACATTCTTGCACTGCATGCTCACTGCTGAACTTCATCTTCTATCAAGGCTGTTTGAGAATGACGTTTTTGTTTGTGCTGCTGTCAAAGAGCTCAAATTCTGATGCCCTTCTTTTGCTAGGAATAGGTATTGCTTCAACTGAAAGTTGCCATTATCTCCGGAAGAGAATAGAATGGGAATTATAATGAAAAGAGAGGGATAGAAATATCAGCTTTCAAACTTTGCCTTTGTCATAACTATATTATTTATCTTTTAGATGACTGTGAAAATCTGAAATTATGGAGGGAGACAAATTACTATTTATCCTCCAGGGAAATTCAAAAAATTTCAGAAATGAATACTTAATGAGAAACTGTCTATACACTTGTCTCCTTAAATTCTGATGACTAAAATTGTTTATTTTAAATTTTGTTCTATTCATATCTAGACTTGGCTATTTTTTCTCTATGCAGATAGCTGCTGAAAAAAGAAAGATGGTTATTAGATAGTTATTTGTTTAATTTTAGATGTTTTCTTATGTACTGCTATGCTCTATTTTATAAATGACTTGGGGATACAAGCACACATATACACACGTATCTCCATATTTATTTTAAAAACTGTCTAGCTTTAAATCAAAATATAAAGTATATAAGGGAAAACAAGTTATCAACTCATTTAAAATTACAGGAAGGCTATAATTCAATTCATTCTTTGAAGCATTTTGAAAGGATAAGATGTGTCAATACATTGCAATTAAGTTGTTTCACTGTATAATTCATTTGCACTATGAAATCTCTGATGTTTCCTGAATTGATGCATCTTGTATCCATTTAAAATATACATGAATTATTTTCATTTATATTTGAGTTGCCACTGACTAAATTTGGATTTTTATTTCCCTAAGTGGAAATTGAGCTTTCCATTAAAACAATCAATGCCATTTTTTGTGTGTGCCAAGGTTTTCATCCAGTGATGAGTATACCTAATCTGTAGCTGTGGAAGATTAAGGTGGTCACAGATTCTTTTTAGTTTCTTTCTCTAAGAAGGAAAGCCTATTTTCTTGCCCTATAAACTGGGGCTTCCCTCCACATTTGATTATGTTAAAGTGCCGAGTCTGGACTTCAAGAAGCTCTGGAGCTTCCACTTCCTCTGCTTAAACACTGATATCTGAACATGGCTAAGCTGGCCTCCTGGAGAAATTGAGACCATATGGAGCGGAGGTGCAGCCATCTTAGCTGTTCCATCTCTCCTAGGTTAGTCCCCATCCACATTACTGAGCCAAGAGATACCACAAGCAATAGAGATGAGCAATCCTAGCTGAGCTCTGCCCAAATTAGCAAACTGAAGTATCATGTGTTAAATAATCAACTCTTGTGTAAGCCACTGTATTAGTTCATTCTCACATTGCTAATAAAAACATACCCAAGGCTTGGTAATTAATAAAGGAAAGAGGTTTGGTTGACTTGTAGTTCGGCATGGCTGAGGAGGCCTCAGGAAACTTACAATCATGGTGGAAGGGGAAGCAAACACATCCTACTTTACATGGCAGCAACAAGGAGAATAGGAGCCAAGCCAAGGGGGAAGTCCCTTATAAAGCCATCAGATTTCTTGAGAACTTACTCACTATTATGAAAATAGCATGGGGAAACTGCCCCAGTGATTCCATTATCTCCCACATGGGCCCTCCCATGACAGGTGGGGATTATGGGAATTAAATTCAAAATGAGATTTGGGTGGGAACGCAGTCAAACCATATCAGCCACTATATTTTTATGTATAGTGTATAGGTTCCTAGCCAAAAGATTCTTAGACTCAGGGGTAGCAACAGATAACTTAGTTGACATCCCCCTACTAAACATTAACTGAAGACTTAATTACAAAATATATCAGTGCAAAGGCTGATAAAAGATAATATATGAAAAACAAACTTGGGTAATGAAGAAAATGCAATTATGTGTCAATATTTACCTTGTCCTTTTTAGAGAAAAAAAGCACAAAATTATGTTTTTTTATATATGATAAAAGCAAACAAGTGGACAAACAGATTGTCTCCTAGAGCCAGTTTTTTAGGGGGATTTGTCTCATAAAAAGTGTATATAGCAGCTATATTAAAGAACATGCAGAAGTTATTTTTTTATATCTGATTTTGGCTGGGCATGATAGATAGCTCATGTTTATAATCTCAGCACTTTGGGAGTCTGAAGTGATGTAGTAAGCTGTGATACAACCACTGGAATCCAGCCTGGGCAACAGAGAAAGATGCTTAAAAATAGTTAGAGAAAGCTGGAGTTATAGAAAGCCAGTCTAGTGTCAAATGGGTGATTATTTCTGGGGAAATATTTTGATAAGGGAACCAAGCTTAGAAGACCTAAACATATTGTATGATTGCTATACCACTTGCACTTTTTTTTCAACATATCCTTTATTCCCATAGTGCTTTTGTTGGAGTTTGCAAATTTAATATTGCACAGTTTGTCCATGAATACCTTTAATAGAGTTAGTCTAATGATGATGGTGTTGGTGTTCTACAATTGAAAGAATCCTGATTTACACATGTGTTAAGATAGAAAGTCATTCTTGACTTTATATATACACTTAAAAACTTTTTATCAAGATTTATTTCATGAAATGTTAAATATTCAGTGGTGTAAGCAATTATCCGGTTAGACTTTTTATTTCTGTGACTTAGCACAAGAAAATACTATTTTTGCTCAGACAATATTGTGTGTGGGTTACGCGTTGATCATTTTAAATATGAAAGAATAACTGCATAGTGTTTGGACAGTTCCAGTTTTGCACATCATGGCCTCCCTAGGGAATTGCCAGGATGAATTAGATGTGAACTGCACCTCGAGTAGCATGCACTTATGTTGAATTAAACAGCAAAAAGCATCTACTCCAAACAAAGCTTGTAGTGTGTGAATAGCTGTCACAGACCTGCTTTTGCTAATGATGATTTGATATGAAATCCAGATGTTCCTGGAGGAAGGGAGATAGCATTAGTGCCCTGATTTCTCAGCCTGTCATGAAACCAGGCCTTCACAATGTGACCACATTACAGCTTTTCTCACCAGAAAGTAGGGGATAGTTGATCCCTAAATTTTGAGTTCATCTCATTACTTGGTTTAGCAATGTTACAATGGGTGTCAACAGTGGCAGAGATTTTGAAAGTTCTTGTGCTTTTTCTTGTGCTCCTGCAGTTGGCCCCCATCTTTAGCTCATGCCTGAGCTAGCTTGCTGGAAGATAAGAGACCTATGGTGCAGTTATCTCAGATGATAACCATAGGAGTGAAGTCAACAGGGAACCAAAATACCATTTGGCTGAACACAACCTAAATGTGCAACCCATAATCCATCTCATAAGTTAGACAACTGCATTTTATTTCAAGCCATCATGGTAAGGTAAAGGGTGTTTGCTGTGCTGCATTATTGTAGCACTAGATAATCAATCTTTTCTTAAGCATACCCTGGTTTTATTGACAGTAGTTGTTCCTCAGTATCCAGAGGTGATTGATTTCTGGACCCCCCCACATGTTTCAAAACTTGAGAGTGCTCAAGCCTTTATATATAACATCGAAATGAGACAAGAAGTCTTCTCTTGATGGAAGGTCTTTCCTGGATAGAAGGGTTCACGGTCTCACGGGCTTCAAGGAACAAAGCTGTGGATCACAGCTGCGAGTGTTATAGCTTGATTACAGAAAGGCAGGGACCTGAAGAGTGTGCAGTGGCAAGATTTATTAAAGCGAAAGTGAAAGTAAAACAAAAGCAAAAGTAAAGCTTCCAGGCAGTGGAAGGGGGCCCAGAAGGGTTGCTGTTTCTGGCTTGGATGCCTTATGCTTGTATCCCCTTAAGAATCTTCCCGTTTTCCTTTTTCCGTCCTGTAGGATTAGCTTATTTTCTATCACTTGTAGGTTGGCAGGCCTGATTGGTTAAAAGCACTAGGCTACAGCTGCAGCTTAAACTCCCTATATGATTGATTGAAGTTTCAATCTGTTAGTTTGCAGCTATGACTCATTGTGGCTTAGAGGAAAGTCCCCTTTAATTGGTTAGAGTTTCAATCCCTTAGCTTGCAGCTATGACTCATTTTGGCTTAGGGGAAAGCCCTTGGGGAAGTCCCTATTGACCCAGGAAGTCCAGACAACTTAGCCACTTAGTCTCTCAGTTCTCCATCTCAACAAGAAAGCCCAAGTGCTGTTGGGAAGTTGGGCAACAACTGTTCTAGCTACTTACTGCTGAACTGGGGCATAGAAGTGGCTCTGCAGTTGAGTTTTCCTCAGGAGGGGAGTCTTCAGTGTCATGGTGAAGTAACAGGTTGGCGGTTCAGTCTAGGGGTCCTCGATAGCAGGTGCTAGTGGTGGTCATTTGGGGCTCCATCTGTAGAACCATTCGCAGTTTCATGGATTCTATTCTGAAAGGATAAATTTTACAAGGAGGTTAAAAATGCAGGCTCCACAGATAGGCAACATCACAATAGCCACCAAGGGTCCCAAGAAGGGCAGAAACCAGGGCATCTATTGGTTGACAATACTCCAAGACCTGTGTCTTGAAGCTCTTGTGCCTGGCAGTGTATCTGGTCTCAAAGCTCCCTAAACTTCTTGGTGACAAGTCTAGATTGATTAATGACATAGCAGCACTCTTCTCCTAGAAAAACACAGGTTCCACCTCTTTTGGCTATTAATAAATCTAAGGCCCTCCAATTTTGAAGGGCTACTGTTGCTAAAGGGTTAGGCTGGCTTTATAAGGTGACCAGTGAGTCTGCAACTCATTCCATGTCATCATTTAACTCCTGTGATAATTTGTACTAGAATTGAGTGGTGGTGGTAATGCCACCAATGCCAGTTCCTAGTCCTCCTTTTATCCCAGCCTCAATAATAAATGGCAAGACTACTGCCCATTTGTAACGGGGTTTGGGTAAAAGAAAATCCTGTAATTCCTGATCCATATAGACAGTCATAGGGGGGCACCAAAAAGGAGAGAAAGCATAGACTTTTGGAGGAACTATTTAAGCAGTGGTAAGCTGAGAAGCCACAAACAAAAAAGATCCCTGATGGTAAGCAAGAGAGTCGTGGAGGTAGGGTAATCCATGTTTTGCACTGGAAGATGGCTGCATTAATGGTTGTGCTAAATTTTACACAGGTGAGATTTGATGTATGTGTTATTTCTAGACTTGAGACTAAAGGGCCCACCAGGGCTGTGGTGTTTGTTCTCAGTTCATGGCTTTCCAATGTTTGGGAGCAGGAACTGGGACAAATAGTTTAAAGCATAAGGGGAGGAACATCCAGCAGTCAGTTGGATTTTGGCTGGAGGCCTTGTGAATTTCAGCAATGGTGACATTAAATAAATTTAGCAAGTGGTAGTGACTGACTAATCCTTGTGCTTTTAGGTCTTTGACGATCTTTTGTAACCCGTATTGGGCTTCTGGTCTGAGGGAGTACAGCCTTCGATAAGGAAAGGAGGTAGGATCCTTTAATTTAACTTGAACTGGATAAGTGTTTTTTGCTCATCTGTATTGTCCTTTCTCTGCTCACACTTCAGGATTAACTCCCTCCTCGAGTAGAGGGCAGCAAACAGGTATTCCTTCTCCTATATTCAATATATAATGCTCCCTGCTTTAGCAGTATATAACTATATAGTGGTCTCTCCCTAGTAAAGGAGTAGGGCTCTCAGGAATAATAAGAAATGCATGAGAGAAAAATAAGGTTCCCCAGTCACAACTTAGGGAGTGGGAGAAATGCCTAGTGACTGGCTGTCCTAGGAACATTTTGATGGTGACATACCTGGACAGTAGTTGTCCAGGACAGAAGAGTAAAACTGAGAAGGCCACACCAGTGTCCAGGGGGAAGTTATTTTCCTGGACATCAATGGTTAAGCTTACCTGGGGCTCTGTGCAGGTGATGGCATGGGCTGGCAGGCACCCTTAGTCCTGTGTTAGACCATCTGGTTAGTGGCCTCTGGCCCAGAGGACCTTTGCCCTCAGGGGCAGTGTGCCTTCCAGTGATCCCCCTGGCACAAGGGACATAGATGAGGGGTGGCTTATTTTGGTTTGGGCAGTCCTTATTGAAGTGCCCCTGTAAGCCACACTGACAACCAGCCCTGTTAGGTGGGTTGCCTGCCCAGCCTTTCTTTCTTTTAGAGCCACCAAAGTTTGTCTGCCTGAGAGCCATGATTAAGATGGCGGCCTTTTTCTTGTCTAGTCTGTCTCATTCAGCCTGGTTCAGCCTGCTCCTCTTGGTTCCTATTATAAAACACCGAAGTGGCCAAATTCAATAGAGTTTCTAAATTTTGCTTGGGGCCCAGGGCAGGTTTTGAAGTTTTATTCTAATGTCTGCAGCTGACTGAATGACTGAACTTATCCTTTAAAATTAGTTGGCCTTCAATAGAGTCAGGTGACAAGGAGGTATAGTTTCTTAATGTCTCCCTTAGCCTCTCTAAAAATGCCATAGGGTTTTCTTCCTTTCCCTGCATTATGGTGGACATCAATTAGTAATTCATTGGCTTTTTTCTGGTCTTTCTTAATCCCTCTAGTATACAAGACCGTAAATGCCTGTGACTCCAGCCTCCATGCTCCGAATTGAGGTCCCAATGGGGATCCACACTGGGAACCGCCTGTTGGCCCCTGTGGAGAACTGTTTCCTTTCTTCTGATGTCATTTTATCATTTACCTGGCTTAGCTACCAGAGATCCCCAAACTCCAGGGCCACTTTAGTTGGGAGTTAATGTTTGACCTATCAACAATATAATATCTCTCCATGCTAAATCAAAAGATTGTCCTAATCCCTTTAAGAGGTCTATATATCCATCAGGATTATCTGATAATTTTCCTATGTCCAGTTTGATCTGTTTTAAGTCTGAGAGGGAAAAGGGTACATGTATTCATGCCAGGCCAAAGTCTCCTCCTCCTCCCATGGCTTGGAGGGGCACAATCGAGGGCCATTGGCACCTTACGGTTCCTTGACTATCTCTTTGTCTGGTTGCTTTTGGGCCAAAGGGAGAGACCTTACTAGCGGGAGAGAGAGATTTGGGGAGACCTGAGTATGGAGGTGGAGAAGTTCTACAATTCTAATCACTGATCCCAGACAGGAAAGCTGGTAATTAAAGTAGACTCTACAATCTGAGGTAAGTTTAGGGCAAAAAAAGGAAAAATGTCATAGACCTTCTATCAGCCACTGGCATGCCCTTTGAGGTCCCAGACAGTGCCTAGGGTATAGGTTATGAGGGACAGGTCCTGTATAAGTATAGTGATATCCATTTGCATAAGAATAAGGCTGGGGGCACCATGAGCAAGGGTCTTTGGATTGCCACCCCACTCAACTTAGGTTCCTAGCCAAAAGATTCTTAGACTCAGGGGTAGGAAAGATCCTAGAGGATAGGGCCTCAAGAAAGTCTTCTCTGAGGACATTAGGACCCAGGAGGCATGGGTCAGAAAAGACAGAGAATGCACATATGGGCAGCTGCAGAGTAGAGGCTTCTCACTGTGCCATGATCTAAACCAGGTCAGTGCCAGGAGTAAGGGATGACAGTTTTCTTCCTCTAGCCAGCCCTCAGCTTTTCCCAGGAAAGGCAGAGAAAAGTGGAACTGGTTCCAGCAGATCAATGCTCTAAGCACAGAGGGATGGGGGTAATTAAAGAAAGAGTCCTTTCCCAGAAAGCCTCATACCTGTGTCTTAAGTCCAGTGGCCATGCTTGTCACTTTTAAATGGCAGACAGGTGCCCAGTGTTTTCCTCTAATTTCTGGTGAGAAGATAGAAGAGAATAGCAAGCGAAAGGGGTCCAATGTTACTCACTGCTATGGATAATCCCTATATGGGCGACCAGAAATGAGATGAAAATTCTTCTCCTGATCTAAGGTCTTTTCTCAATTGAAGGGTTTCTGGTCTCAAAGGCTTCAAGGAATGTAGTCATGGACCAGTGGTGAGTGTTACAGCTCAATTAGAGAAGGGCACCAACCCAAAGAGTGTGTGCTGGCAAGATTTATTAAAGCCAAAGTGAAAGTAAAACTTCCACGCGGTGGAAGGGGACCCAGAAGGGTTGTCATTTCTGGCTTGGGTGTCTTATGCTTATATCCCCTTATGACTTCCCCACCTTTTCCTTTTTCTGTCCTATAGGATTAGCTTATTTTCTATCTGTGGGTTGGCAGGCCTGATTGATTAAAAACATCAGGCTGCAGCTAGAGCTTAAATTACTAATATGATTGGTTGATGTTTCAATCCCTTAGTTTGCAGCTGTGACTCATTTCGGCTTAGGAGAAAGTCCCCTTTGATTAGTTGAAGTTTCAATCCCTTAGCTTGCAGCTATGAGTCATTTTGGCTTAGGGAAAAGCCCCTTGGGGAAGTCCCTATAGACCCAGGAAGTCCAGCCAACTTAGCCACTTAGTCCGTCAGTAGTATTTGCATTTAACCTACATACATCCTCTTATATACAGTTAGCCCCATGTTCTACATCTGTGGATTCAACCAATATTGGATCCAGATATTTGGAGAAATCAAGAGCATCTATAATGAACAATAAACACCTTTTTTGTAACTATGTACATAACTATGTACTTAACTACTACACAGTGTTTACATTGTATTAGGTATTATGAGTACAATTATGTACCACCTAACAATGTTTTGGTCAATAACAGATCACATATATGCTGGTGGTCTCATAAGATTACAATGCCATATTTTTACTGTACCTTTTCTATGTCTAGCTATGTTCAGATACACAACATTTACCATCGTGTTGCAATTGATTACAGTAGTAAGTGCAGTAGCATGCTGTTCATGTTTGCAGCCCAGGAGTGGGAGGCTATGATGTATAGCCTAGGTGTATATAACAGGCTATATCATCTAGGTTTGTGTAAGTACACTCACTAATATTCACACAACAAAAAAAATCATTTAATAGCACATTCTCATAAGGACTAAGCTCTAATATTTTCTTTCCCAAATTCTCATCAAAGGGGTCTGGGTAGTCATGCCCTACAAACTTGTAACTTCTCATCAAATGCATTTTATTTAACCCTACATATCATGATGTACTTTCCAATATGACTCTGGCAAAACATTATGTGACAAAGAAGAAAGTGAAAATATTTTACCCCAAAACATGTTTCTTTGTCAATTCTTGAAATTACCCTGCAAATCTGTCCTAAGTGGGGGAAAATTTGCATCTGTAAAGAATCTCTATTAACATAGCTAGGTCTTTATCTTCCAGATGTTCCCTATCTTAAAAAGATTAACTTAAAGTCTAGCATGCTTTAGAAATCTGAACAGAAAATATTTGTCATCTATTTTTTCTAAGAGCTGCCACAATAAGATTTCAAGAGAACCTTGGTCTCCACAATCATTTATTTTAACCTGAATATCCCAGGTCTTTAGACAAACTCAACGAATTCTCAACCAGAAAATACTTAAATTTACCTATAGCCTGGAAGCCCCATCCCCTCCCACCCCACCCTGACCTTGCTTGAGTTGTACTGACTATCTGGACTAAACCAATATATTTCTTAAATATATTTGATTGTGGTTTCATGCCTCCCTAAAATGTGTAAAACCAAGTCATACCCCCATCACCTTAGGCACATGTTCTCAGGACCTACTTAGGGCTTTATCATGGGTCATGGTGACTTATATTTGGCTCAGAATAAATCTCTTCAAACATTTTACTGAGTTTGTCTCTTTTTATCAACACTCAGAACATAGCCCTGTTGTTAAACAATACATTATTGTAATCTAGAGAGGATTTAATATATATGGGAGGGTGTGCAGAGGTTATATACAGATACGACACAATTTCATATCAAGACGTTGAACATGCATGGATTTTGGAATACTCTGGAGGTCCTAGGACCAATCTCCTACTGGTACCAAGAGACGACTGTACTTTAAATCATCTCTAGTTTTTTGTTTCTGTTTTTATTTTTATTTTTAATAATCCCTCATACAGTGTAAATGCTAAGCATAGTTGTTATACTGTATTGGGTTTTGGTTAAGTTTTTATTGTTGTATTTTTATTTTTAATTTTTAAAAAGTATTTCTGATCTGAGGATGGTTGAAATTGCTGATGTGGAACTGGAAATATAAAAGGCTGACTGGATGTGAAAGTCATCCCAGTAGGATAAAGAATATATGCCATGGCGTGAAGGCAGACAATCAACCCAGGTTTGTGTTAAATTGATAAACTTAAGTTATAATTTATTGATACAATACACATGTATTGTTAACATAGGTGGGACTGAGTTGAATTGAGTTTCATAGCATTTATCAAATGCTGTGTCCCGAAGGGGAAAGGTAGGTTCATGTGTTCTCACTCTTTGAGGCATGCTTGTATTAGTACTTCCTGACACATCACGGAGGAAGTCAACAAAAGCAGAGAATTATCTCAAAAATTGTTCAAAGACCCCTAATAGTACAAAAAATTTTGTTGAATAATCAAGACCCATAGGGGCCCTGTGTTCATGGAACTTCCATTGTCACCAAAGAGATAAAGTGATATAATAGACATTGGTTGTCAAATTAAATGACAACATGACGTGCTTAACTTGGGAGCCAAGGAGCCCCACGGTGAAATCCTAGCACAATCACTTATCAGTTTTAGATGTTTGGAGAAGGCGCTTAAATTCTATTAGCATCAGCTTTCTTATTAAAAAAAATTGAGCTATTAATATTACTTCCATGTGAGTGTTGCTTGGAGAATTATTAAATTCAATGGTATATTCAGAATGCTTAGCAGAGCACGTGGAAGATCTTTAACTGCTCAATAAATTATAGTTATTATTATTAAGACAACTTACACCTCATAGAAGCTGGAAAACTTGGGAGAAGCAGTTTATTGAAAAGAAAATTAGCATAGAGTTTTGATAAGTGATGCAGAAAAGTAATGAATTACCATACTTGTGACACAGAATTAGGTCTTTTAGAAAATAAGGCAGATTATTATTACTTTTAATTCATCCTGTGGGATCTATGCCCAAGGATTCAGAAGAAGCACAGCCAGGATTGAGTTCTCTCTTTGAAACAGGATGTAAACACATCTGAGGAACAAAGATCACCCAGGGCAGTTTTTAACCATGTTGACTAATCATACAAATTTTAATGGATGGTGCAAACAAAAATTGCTGATGCTTCCAAAATCATTAATGATTTCTTTAGTCATGTGAAGACTTGGGAACTATTAAACCATCAACTTATATCTCGCTCAGAATAAATCTCTTCAAACATTTTACTGAGTTTGTCTCTTTTTATCAAAACTCAGAACATAGCCCTGTTGTTAAACAATACATTATTGTAATCTAGAGAGGATTTAATGTAATGTATCCTTTTCATTCCAATTCCAATAATAAAAATAATTGCACATTAGGAAAAATTGGACAATATAGGAAAGCTAAAACAAGAAAAAAAAATGGAAATCTCTCTTCTCGAAGAATCAATGTTTCATGTATTTTATCTCAATCTTTCTTCTTCTTGACATTTAAAGGAGAACCATAAACTACACTGAAAATTATTTTACAGAAACTCAAGACTTTTACCTTTCTTCCTGCGAAGAAAACAAGGTGTTATTTCATTGTCTGTGACAGATGATGTTGAGCAATGTACTCTCACATTCCAAATGTAACATCTCAGTAAAATACCCAACTTACCGTTGCACCCTTAGAACTGCTATAAAAGACCTTGATATGTTTGAATCCTTGTTCCACTGAAAGGTGAGAGGAAAGGAAAATGTGCTCAGTTGTATGACATGAAAAAGATTGTATAAAACAGCCTGATATTGGTAGGTTGAAAGTATACTGATGAAGTGAAACTAACACAATGTGTTGAAATAAGACAGATAAGTACACTTTCTGGTCTCTCTCTCTCTTTAGAAAAGCACACCTCTAAAATTTGCTTTGGTTTTTAGTTTGTGAACACTCTGCCTTTTCTCTTTTCTTCCTTAGAGTGTTCAAAAATGACCTCAGAATGCTACTTGTGAGCTCAATCCATGGATAATTGTGGTAGGAGTTTATCAGCCAGTCTAATACTCATTCTAATTAAACAAGTCAAAGTTCACTGGGTTTCTCAAAATTATGTCTAGAGCCATCACAGTTTATGGATCCAACAGGAGGTTTGATGAAATACAATCTGCCCCTAGCTGAGAAGACTGTTGAAAACCTACATGGGCAATTACACTTGTAGGATTTAAGATTGACTCAAGGCACCCTGGATTGGAGAGGATGCCCTGAGTTGAAGTAAATTCATGAGACCCCATAATACACAGTGTTTTGCTGGGGATGACATAACCAAATTCATGCCTGGTGCTCCTGGATTTCTAGTCTGATTTCTACCCTGCCAATCTCTCCACTAGCCAGCTGTCAGTGTACACATGTGCTTCAGTGGTTCTGAGCTTCTCAATACACAGCCCAGGGCAGTAAGGGCCAATCCTTCAAGCAGATAAAGGAAATTGATAGTGACCCACTTCTGCAGCCCAAGATCTAAACCTTATTAAGAAAAGTGATGCCTATTTATCATCTCCATTCATGTGCCTTGCAGGGGGAAAAAATGACTAAAGTAAATCCTGCAACGCATGTGCCAGAGACTTGAATTTTACTTGGATTATCTGTAGAGTTAATCTCCAAAGACACAACAGATCATAACAGAGCAATGGATCAGTGCCTGGCAGATGCATGTAGGGTGTTCTGCCAGATGTCAGAAGAATACTTCTTCATATCATTACCCTACCTCCACTTTACAAACAGATATTAAGAATACAGAGGGGAGATTCTCAAATCACAAGCTTTCAAAGTTAACATCCAAAGAAGCCGTAATCATCACATATATTCCTAGACAATATCTCATTTTTTACCATGTATTAGTTAAACACTTAATTGCCCCCAACCCTTTGCTTCACTGGGAACATATCATAATTATGAAACTTCCTAACCAGTGTACATTCAATATATTTAAATTTCATTTTTTATGATTTCAGCAAGGTTGATGACCAACTTGCTAGACAACTAAATAAAACATATTAAAATTATACATAGGTAAGAGTAGCTTAATAGGATTTTTCTGACATTTCAGTATTTTGCTGAAACATGCTTTATTTTCAGAGTATGGTAGCTGCTAGATGCAGTCACATAAATGAAAAAGGAATTTGGCCATTTTCCTAACCACAAGCATCATTGTTTCTACAGCTGTCTCCCCCACTTCTGTGTTGGGCTCAACCGAAAAGAAAGATTTAAATGTGAAGGGAAGTCTGGACCTGGGCTCTGAGAAAGTGTGTGGAAGAAGATGGTAGCATGCACCTCATAGGGCCTAAACAATGAAGCACCTGTCCTTTACAAATATGAAAGCTAACAGTTATTCATGTTACTCAGGCTCTTTGCCCAGGTTTTAGTTCTTTTCTTTGCCCTGCAGTTTAAAAGTAATGACAATTAAATAGGAAATATTTTGGGGCATCTTCAGTTTGTAAGATGAGGTGATTAGGAACTGTTGTTTGGGAAGCATTGGAACAGATTGAGATGATTAGTCTAGAAAAGATATGTCTTGCTGTTGAACTACATGAAATTTACAGGGCAGAGAAAAAGAATTCTCTTCCATTTCAGAGGAAGGAGCTAGATCTCATAGATAAAAGCCACAGGAGACAGAGGTAAGAAAAACATATCCTCTTATAAGACAGAAAAGTTGTCCAAGTCCCCACTTGACCCAGGACATCCAGCTGGCCTCACCTCTCACTCCGCCCTCTAAACAAGCCACCACAACTGCTGTCAGAAACTGGGCAATGACCACTCTAGCTACTTTCTACTGAATAAGGGCAAAAAGTTTTCCTGCAGTTGTAGTGTCCTCCAGAGGGGAACTCTCTAGGCCAGTCAAAGGGCCATTGGATCAGTCCAAGGGTCCTGAGTAGAAGTTGTGAGTTGCGCTCATTTGGGGTTCCATTTGTAAGACCATCTGTAGCTTGATGACCTCAATCCTGGAGGAAAACAAATTTGACAAAGAGGTTAAAATTATAGGTCCTGAAGGTGAATAATAGCAAGATGGGTGTCATGGGACCAAGAAAAAGGAGAAACCATGTTGCCCAACTCCAGAGGTTGGTATAAGAGTTTGAAAGGAGTTGTCTGATTTCAGAAGTCTTTTTCTATAAATACTGGGCAGCATCTAGTACTATCCCTGACTGGTTAGTGTAAAAACAACACTCTTCCTCTATAAAGGTTCAAAGTCCTTCATTCTCAGCAGTGAGGAGGTCTAGGCCTCAGCAGTTTTGGAAAGTCACTGCTGCCAAATAGTCTGTTTGGGATTGCAGAGTAAGGATATAGTTTGCTATTTCTTGAAAACTGTCTGAGAAATCCTTTGAAAGTCTGTGGTAATAGGATAATGAAGTAGATGACCTGGTTATTCCAGTTCTCTTAGCAGTGGCAATTCCTAACCTAATAAGTAGGCATATTAGTTGCATGAGCCTGCACTGACAAACTTGAGTTTTGAGGGGCAATGATAGGGTCTCATTTCCTGGGGCAATGTCAATATTGGGACTTCAGAAGACTAAGGTGCAGGTTTCTGTCCAGTTGGTGGGGAGGCATATGTAGGTTGAAGTTCCATATAAGAAGAATATGCTTTGGCTGGGTAAATAGAACTGGCGGTGTATGTTAAAAAGATGTGTGAATTTGTTGTTTTCTTTTTCCCATACTCCTAGAGTACTTGCCAAAGTAGCTCCCGTGAGTGGCTGGAAAGGGGTGTTGGGAGCATTTTGTGTTCTATTTTTGCATTGGAGAAAAAAACGTTTTGTATCTACCAGGAACCATTCAAGAGAGTAATTGAAAGAGGGGATGAGAAGGCATTCATTAATGGTGGGGGAGCTGCTGCAGGGGTTCCAGGGATGAATGGTCATGCAGGGAGTATGTTTGCAATTGCAAAACCCAGACTGTTTGTTAAGCAGGGAAGTGCCTCTTGAGTGTTTCATTTGCCTTCTCAAACTTCCCTGAGGATTGTTGCCTTCAGGCACAGGGAAGGTGATCTTGTATCCCTAGTGCCCTGGAAATTCCCTGAATTACCATGGCTTTAAAAGCCAGGCAATTATTGCTTTCTAAGCTTTGGGAAAGCCCATATCTAGGAATTATTTCATGAATTAGGACTTTAACCACTTCCTGAATCTTCTCTGCCTTGCAGTGGAAGGCTTCGATCCAATTTGTCAAGGTATCAACACAGACCAACAAGTATTGAAATCCCTTTGACTTAGGCATATGGGTGAAGTCTAACTGCCAGTTGTCTCCAGGATAGTGCCATATTCTTTGTTTCCCCAGAGTGGCCTTATGATGGACCAAGGGATTATTCTTTTGGCACACCTCACAGGCTTTGACTTCTTGCTGGATGGTCTGGAGGATATTTGGCCCTTTAAATAGGGATTTGGCCATTTGATAAGTGTTCTCAATACTGATATAAAAAATTTGCCGGAGAATCTTAAGCATTTCCCACTGACTGGCTTTGGGTATGAGTAACTTTCACTCTTCTGACATTAACTACCCTGAAGGGAGAAAACTATTCACCCATGAAAGTCCCCATTCTGTTTCAGTCAGGGAATACTGGGGCTTAATCTCTTGGAGAGGGTTGTTCCATACCAAGGGTCCTTCTATAGGTGTTTTCAAAGGAAGGTTTCACCTGGCAGCAATTTTGGCCTCAGTGTCTGCCTGACATTTTCCTTCTGTTTTTTCTCCTTCACCTTTTGATGGTTTCAGCAGTGTAAGACTGCCACCTCTTTGAGTTTTTGCACTGTGTGCAATAACTCTATGATTTCCTTGTGATATTTAATGGGGGTTTCCCCAGAGGTTAGGAATTCCCTTTCTTTCCATATTGCAGCATGGGCATGTAGGATTAGATAAGCATACTTGCTATTTGCATAAACTTTTTTTTCCCCTTTCCCAGTTCTAAGGCTCGGGTAAGTGCCACTAGCTCTGCTAACTGGGTTCTTGTCCCTGGGGGAAGAGGCTTACTTTCAAGTACTGTTACAACACTAACTATGGCATAACCTGCCCTTGATATCACATTCTCCACAAATGAACTTCCATCGGTATATAGGTCAAGGTCAGGATTAGCTAAGGGGACTTCTAAGAGATCTTCTCAGGTGAAATAATTTTGGGCTACAGTTTGTTGGCAGTCATGCTCGACTGGTTCCCCATCCTCTGGGAGAAATTAGCAGGGTTGAGGGTCACATACACATGCGTATTTGAAGCACCGGCCCCTCAAAAGTAGTGCCTGGCATCTAAGCAGGTGGTTTTCTGATAGCCATACCATAAATTTCCTTTGGCACCTAGTATGCAATTTACATCATGAGGAGTCCAGACACTGAGATCCTTTCCTTGTATTATTTTGATAGCCTCTGATACTAAGACAGCCACAGCCAAAACTACCCATGAACAGTGAGGACAGCCTTTTGCTACTACATTAATTTCCTTACTTAGGTATGTCACGGGTTGTGGGGTTGTCCCACACATTTAAGTAATGGCTCCAAGAGTTATTGCTACTATCTATGTTACATATAAAGAGAAGTTTTGTCCTGTGGAAAGGCATAAGACTGGTGCTTGTACGAGGGCCTGCTTTAAGGTTTTGTTTAAGGCTGTTTCTGCCTCTGGTTCCCTTTCTACTAGATGAGTATTTGCCCTCTGGGTCTCCTTGATTAGAGTATAAAGTGGCCTGGCTATCTCCCTGTATCTGGGGATCCATAGTTGGCAAAAGCTTGTGATCCCAAGGAAAGCTGCAACAATTTTAATGTTTTAGGGCAAGGACAAGTCAGTATAGGCTGTATTCACTTTTTACTGAGGGCCCTGGTTCAGTTGGCTAAGATTATGCCTTGATATTTGACTTGTAGGTAGAGCTGGGCCATCAATTTAAATGCTTTGTACTCTTGATTAGCTAGAAAGTTCAAGATATCTAGGGTAGCCTGCTGGTATGAGGCTTTCAAACTGGTAGCCAAAAGTAAATCATCCTCATACAAAGAGATCAGAGTGCCTGAAATTGAGAAGTGACCTAGATCTTGGGCCAGTGCCTGACCAAATAAGGAGGGCTGTCCCTAAAACCTTGAGGCACGATTGCCCAGTAAGTTGGCAGGTGTGCTGTGGGATCCTCAAAGACAAAGAGAAACTGGGAGTCAGAGTGCAATGGAATGCAGAAGAAGGCATTCTTGAGGTCCAGAACAGTGAAACATTCTGCTTCCTCTGGTATTTAAGAGAACAGAGTATAGGGGTTGGGTACAGCTGGATATAGAGGAATTACTGCCTCATGGATGACTCTATGATCTTGCACTAGTCTTCACTGTCCATTCAGTTTTTATACTACTAGAATTGGGGTGTTGCAGGAACTGCTGCATTTTCTTACTAAGACTTGAACTTTTAAATGTCTACCTCTCTTCTGTAATCCTTTATGAGTTTCAGGCCTTAAGGGATATTGCCTTTGATAAGGAAAAGTGGTGGGGTCTTTTAGCCTGATTTGAACTGGGCTGGCATTTTTTTGTTTGTTTTTTTTTTTCTGTATTGTCCTTCCAATGCCCTGAGTTAAGTGTTGATTCCCTCCTCCAGTATGGAACAAAAAATGGTTAACTTGTTCCCCAAATTTATGTAGACAATAGCTCCAGCTTTGGCTAATATATCCCTCCCTAATAAAGGTGTGGGACTTTCAGCCATAACAAGAAAGTTATGTGAAAAGGGGAAAGTCTCCCAATTACAGCTGAGGAGGTGGGAGAAATACCTGGTAACAGGCTGTCCCAGGATTCCTCACATGGTAAGAGATCTTGAGGACAGCTGTCTAGGGCAGGAGATTAACACTGAGAAGCTCACACCAATGTCCAGGAGGAAATCAATTCTGTGGCCCTCAATGATTAAACTTACCCTGGGCTCAGTGTGTGTGATGGCATGAGTTGGTGCTTGCCCTGGGCACCCTCAGTCCTGTTGGATTATCTGGTTGAGGGCTACTGGCCCTAAGAACCTTTGTCCTCTGGGGCAGTGTGTCTTCCAGTGATTGCCTTGACATAGTGGATATGGGTGAGGGCATGGCTTGTTTCTCATTGGAGAATCTTTTTTAAAGTATTCTTGCAAATCACACTCATAACAAGCTATACTGGGTGATTGGCCTGCTCCATTTTCTGTCTTCTCTTAACCACCAAGGTTTGTTTCTCTGAGGGCCATGACTAAGGCTGTGGCCTTTCTCTTATCTCACTTTTTTCTTCTCACCTGTCCTTGTTGGTCCCTATTATAGAACACCAAGGTTGCAAGGTTTAAGAATGCCTCCAAATTTTGTTCAGGACCCAGGGCTAGCTTTTGGAGCTTTCTCCTGATATCTGCAGCTGACTGGGTAATTAACTTATCTTTTAGGATCAGTTGACCCTCAAGGGAGTTGGGGGACTGGGGAGTATATTTTCTTAAGGTCTCCCATATATCAGCTACGATGGCTTGGAGAAACAGTGCAAACTGGCAATGTAAACAAGAGTAGGGCATTTATGAATAGTTGAGCAAGGTGAATAGGAGTATGATGAGACAGAAGATAGTAGGGATGACAAGTATTTTGTGGTGCAGTCCAATTTGGTCTGGTGTCTGGAATGAGACTGGGGCCTAATAAAAAGGAGCATCTATATAGGAGCTCAGATGGGCTATACTCTGTAGCATTCCGAGGACAGGCCGGAATTCTGAGAAGGGCAAGCGGTAAAGTATTGTCCAGTCCTTTTTAAGTTGTTGGCTGAGCTTGGTGAGGTGTGTTTTTAAAAGACCATCAGTCCATTCTACCTTTCCTGAAGAATGAGGACAGTAAGGGATATAAAGGTTTCAGTGAATACCAAGAGCCTGAAAAACTGCTTGGGTGATTTGGCTAATATAGGCCAGTCCGTTATCAGACTGTGTAGAGGTTGGAAGGCCAAACCAAGGAATTCTGTCTGACAGAAGGGAAGAAATGACCGAGGTGGCCTTTTCAGATCTGTGGGAAATGCCTGTACCCATCCAATGAAAGTGTCTACCCAGATCAAGAGATAATTTAGTTTTCTGACTCAGGGCATGTGAGTAAAGTCAATTTGCCAGTCCTGGGCAGGGGCACATCCCTGAGCTTGATGTGTAGGGAAGTGGAATGTGGGGGGCCTGAACAATCCCTGAGGAGGAGGAGTAGAATAGCAGATGGAACACTGAGAAGTTATTTCCTTAAGGATAGATTTCCACAATGGAAAGGAAACGAGAGGTTCTAAAAGGCAGGCTAGTGGCTTGTATCCTACATGGAAGAGGTTATGAAATGATGACAGAATAGAATGGGCCTGTGAGGCTGGAATCATTCTTGCTCCAAGAACCATTTGCCTTGTGTAGGAAGAGATTGGTAGTTGGAAGTTTCATTGGGGAGTAGGTGGGAGTGAACAATGAGAAGGAAAAAAACTGCTTTAGGGATAGAAGTTGGAATACTAGCTGCTTTTTAGCTACCTTATCAGCATAAACATTGTGCTGAGTGATGGGACCTGATGCCTTTGGATGGCTGCTCTTTTAGCTACCTTATCAGCATAAGCATTGTTCTGAGCAATGGGATGTGATGCCTTTTGATGGCCCTTGCAGTGAATGACTCCAGCTTCCTTCGGAAGTAAAGCAGCTTTGAGAAGCGTTTTTATTAAAGAGGCATTAATGATGGAGGACACTTGCATAGTGAGGAATTTTTTTTTCCCATATAACAGCTTTGTGGTGCAGGATATGGAAGGCATATTTAGAGTCAGTATAAATATTGATGCATAGTCCTTTTGCAAGAGCAAGGTCTCAAGTTAAGGCAATGAGTTCAGCTTGCTGAGAGGTAGTGTGGGTAGGTAACAGAAAGTAGATGCACCAGGTGTGAGGCAGGAAATAGATTTTGGAAGTTATTAGAACTGTAGAGAGTAGAGAGTGAGTTGAGCATAGTTTGTGATTTTGAGGGCCTCTATAAGTATTAAGGCAGTGGCAGCTGCAGCACACAGACATGAGGGCTAGGCTAAAAGAGTAAGGTTAAGTTGTTTAGATGAAAAGGATACAGGATGTGTTCACAGGTAGGAACTCTGGCTTGACTGAAGTAATGGGGACTGTCTGTGAAGCCTTGTGGCAGTACAGCCCAGGTAATTTGCTGAGCCTGATAGGTGTCAGTGTCAGTCCAAGTGAAAGTGAAGAGAAGCTGGGGTTAAGGGTGCAAACAAATAGTGAAGAAGGCATGTTTGAGATCCAGAACAGAATAATGGGTTGTGGAGGGAGGTATTGAGGATAGGAGAGTATATGGGTTTGGCACCATGGGGTGGGTAGGCAAAACAATTTGGTCGATAAGGAACAGATCCTGAAGTAACCTGTAAGGCTTGTCTGGTTTTAGGACGGGTAAAATGGGGGAATTGTAAGGAGAGTTTATAGGCTTTAAAAGGCCATGCTCTAACAGGATAGTGATAACAGGCTTTAATCCTTTTAAAGCATGCTGTGGGATGGGATATTGGCATTGAGTGGGGTAAGCCTGATTAGGTTTTCATGGGATGGTAAGGGGGTGCATCATCTATTGTCAAGAAGGACGTAGAGGTGTCCTATACTTGTGGATTAAGGTGGGTAGATACAAGGAGAGGATGTGAAGGAGGATTTGAATTGGGGGAAAATGTGGCAATGAGGTGTGGCTGTAGCCTAGGAATAGTCAGGGAAGCCAATAATTTAGTTAAAATGTTTGACCTAATAAGGGAGCTGGGCAGGTGGGGATAACTAAGAAGGAGTGCATAAAAGAATATTGTCCAAGTTTGCACCAGATTTGGGGAGTTTTAAGAGGTTTAGAAGCCTGTCCATCAATACTCACAACAGTTATGGAGACCAGGGAAACGTGCCCTTGAAAAGAAGGTAATGTGAAGTGGGTAGTCTCTGTACTGATTAAGAAGGGTACAGACTTACCCTCCACTATGAGTGTTACCCAAAGCCTCTGTGATGGCCTCCCATACAGATGTGACACAGCTTAGGAGGAATCCCAGGCTGCAGGTATTCCTTGGCTCTGTGGACAGATTTCTGGCACTTGAAGCAAGATCCTGGGGTAGGAGTTCCTGGAGGAACACTTGGCCACTGCAGTTCAGGCATTTGGAAGTTCTTGTGTGCTGAAGATGTGGCTGGGGTTTGTCTCACAGTGGAAACAAGGAATTGCAACTCAGAAATATGTTGTTACTTGGCTGCCTCTACACTATTATTGTAAACCTTGAAGATGAGGCTAATTAAGTCCTGTTGTGGGGTTTGAGGGCTGGAATTTAATTTTTGGAGTTTTATTTAATGTCAGGAGCTGACTGAGTAATAAAATGTATACTAAGAATAAGACAGTCTTTTGACCTTTTAGGGTCTAGGGCTGCAAAGTGTCTCTGGGTTGCTGCCAAATGAGGCATGAACTGGGCTGGGTTTTTCTATTTGATGAAAAAGAGCCTAAATGCTAACTGATTTTGGAGAAGTCAGATAAAGAAAAAGGAGCATTAACCTTGACTGTGCCTTTAGCTCCAGTCACCTTTTTAAGAGGAAAGTGCTAGTCATGTAGGGGAGAGCTAGTCGTGGAAAGAAACTGTGAGCCAGACTGGAACAAAACTGTAAGCCAGACAGGGTTTGAGGAGGGGAGGTGATAAAAGGATTATAGGGTGCATGAGCAGAGGCTGAGGAAGAATTGGGACCTGGCTTGGCCTGGTGAGGAGCAGCCTGGGGAGGAGGGGAGAGGTCAGATGGGTCCATAGAAAGGAAGATTGGAAAGACTCAGTGACACTTGGGATTGGGACTGAGGGGACAGGCAGGAGGGAAAGAAGCAAGATTTGGGACTAGTTGCATTGGGAACAGAGACTAGGGAGGGACCAATGTGTGAAAGAATGCCTGGACATCAGGCACCTCAGACCATTTGCCCATTTTATGACAAGAACTCATTAGATCTTATAGGATGGAAAAATCAAGAGTGCCATTTTCTGGCTATTTGGAACCACTATTGTGTTTGTATTGAGGTCAAGAGGCATTGCAGAAGAAAATAAGGCATTTAGGTTTTAGGTTAGGTGTGAGTTGAAGAGGTTTTAAATTGTTGAGAATACAGTCTAAAGGAGAAGAAGGAGGAATGGAGGGTGGAAGTTTGCCCATAGTGAAGGAGGCAAGTCCAGAGAAAAAAGAGTATAGAGACATAGAGAGAAGGTGTGGGGGATACCTGCCCCCCAGGAAAGTGGAGAAGGGGTGGAGACAGGGAGAGAAGGGGCAGGAGGTGCTTGCCCCCTAGAAAAGTGGAAAAGGGATGGGTAGAGATGTGGAGAGAAGGGGTGAGTGAACAGCCCTGGGCTGCCTGTGGGTGTACATCCAAAGCAGGCATCCCCACAACTGACTTGCCACAAAAGGAATGTGGTTAAATGACCAAGGCAGGCATCCCTGTGGTGATCAGACATCAATGAAATGTGGGTGAATAATCAGGCAGGTGTCCCCGCATGATTAAATACCTAGGGAAGACTGTCTTCCTAAGTCTGTGACCAGGGCCAGAGTTTTGGGTCCACAGAAAAAACACATCTCCTTTGTCTCTACCAGAAAAGGAAAGGAACTGAAATTAAGGGAAGGGAGAGACTGAAGTGTGGCCCCAAGATTGAAATGGAAAGAGGTTGACGGATAGTGAGAGAGGTTGGAGAAGAGAGTAAAAAGAGGCCGTTAACCCGATTTAAAATTGGTGAGATATTCCTTGGGCTGGTTGATCTGAGGACCAGAGGTTGTATGTTGATCTTTCTCATGGAGAAAAGAGCAGGAGGACAGGGGATTGATCTCCCAAGGAATGTTACCCAGTCTGGGTCATGGCACCAGATGTCATGCACATCCGTGTGAAGAGACCACTAAACAGACTTTATGTGAGCAACAAAGCTGTTTATTTCACCTGGGTGCAGGTGGGCTGAGTCTGAAAAGAGAGTCAGTGAAGGGAGATGGGGTGGGGTTGTTTTATAGGATTTGGGTAGGTAATGAAAAATTACAGTCAAAGTGGGTAGTTCTCTGGTGGGCAGGGACAGGGGTCACGAGTTGCTCAGTAGGGGAGCTTCTGAGCCAGGAGAAGGAATTTCACAAGGTAAAGTCATTAGTTAAGGCAGGAACAAGCCATTTTCACTTCTTTTGTGATTCTTCAGGCCGTCTGGATGAATACATGCAGGTCACAGAGGATATAATGGCTTAGCTTGGGCTCAGAGGCCTGACACTAACAATGGTTACTTTACTTTTGAAATACTAGAGCCCTTTCCCCACTACTCTTTATGAACACAGAGATCACCTGGAAAAAGTCTGTGCACTTAACCCTTTTACTAGATGACCTTGGGTGTAGGAGAAAAAAAGCTCCATGTCCTGGAGCAATCAATATTTGGAAAGTAAAATCACAGGAGAAATAGGGTGTCATACAAGTCGCTACTAATTTCCTTGACAAACACTTTTTTGAAGAGCAATGTTAACTATCTGAAATCACTGTTTTCTCCATCCCAGAAGACTTCTAGAGAGGGTTCCTTTCAAAATTGGAAGTCCGGGTTCTGGGAGTCCGGGTTCTAGTGGAATGCTGTCACCATGAGATCCTGTGATGCACTAGCCCAGGAATGATGTCAATAGTCAAGCAGAGCCCTGTGCCTGTTCTCTTCCTGGCACAGAGGCACATCCAACTGAAGCAGTCCTCCCCAAATTGCATCCTGGGCTTTGGGAAAGCCTTTGTGAATGAGATCATTGAAGTGGATAGATGAAAATGAGGTTGTTCTGAAACTGGCAGGGCCTGCAAAGGATTCCTGGGGGGAATTCCTCTGCGAAGAAAACAAGGTAAGGTACCTAAAGCCCAATGAGAGCCCTCCTGCTTAATAATGAAAGACAGAAAGCTGCGCTTTCTTCACCTCACCTCCCTTACTACCCCATAAAACAAAACTTGCCAGGATGCTTCAAAAGCCAAGTGGTGCAACAAGTCACTTTGCCAAATGTGGTCTTTGAAGTCAGGGGACTCACCTCCTGCAAATGCCATTCTGTGTCTGCTCATCCACACAGGAAACTTTGCAATGAGAATGTTTACACTAGCCCTCCATAAAGCACAGAGTTACAACCCATCAGGAGGTATACAATCAGCAACCAGGATGCACTATCTGCTCTGGGCTTAGAGGCATGTCTCTGCATACCTGAGACAATGAATGTGGTGAAAGGGTTTTGATTTCCATCTTGCATGTGGAATCTCATTCCCTCTTAGACATAATGAGTAATGGGGTCATCTACACCTCCCTTGAAAAAAAATGTTCTGAGATCACACTGTAGCTCCTCATCCTCTGGGAATCATTGATATCTGTTAGATATTATAGAAAGCAATAGAGTTGACAGTACCCCCTTCCCCTGTCCTCAAGCTAAGTGATAATATCTGGCACCCTGACAGGTGTCAAAATGCTTTGTTGATCTGACTTCTGGAATCCATTTAATCCCTAACTGGGCTTCCCACAATACCAGTGCTCTGACTTCAGTGAGATTTGTAATATACACCTGTCTCTGAGGATGGCTCAACTCCCCTGGCCCCCAAGGTATTCCAAGTATTCTATCTCTTCTAATTTCTCCTGAAATTCCTTAACTTCCATTACACATCCTGTAATTCAGCCTAGATGACCAGATTCAGATTTGCACCTGTCAATCAGCCTTTCATGTTCTTAATGGAGAGAATGGAAAACATTCCATTCTTACCAGACAATTCCTCTCCATGCCCCAGAGCTGGCAGAGCACCTAATTGTGATGCTGGATAAAGTGGGTCTCCAGGGGCACTGGGCAGCTACAGTTTTGAGGACAAGACCCACACACAGCCAGTGGGCCTCAGGGCAAGGGCACTGTGGGGTGTAAGACTCTACCCAGTAAAATTAGAGCCTTCAAACCCATAACTCCTCCAATTTGAAACCTCCAATTGCCTCTGGAAGATACTGCTGCTTTCTTCTCTAAGAAAGCACCTTTTGTCTGGTGAGAGTAATAATTGTGTGTGGGAAGTCCCTTACCACGTGGTGTTCAGACATTGGAGAAAGGGAAAGGGAGTCATCACTCTGACAGCCAGGAGAGATCTGTGAAGCTGATGGAATTTCAGAGTGCAGGGTGTCCTTTTCATACAGTAGACCTGAGTGTGTGCTGCTCACATTCCAAAACAAAAGGACAGGGGAGGTGAGGACCTATATAGAGAGCCACTGCCTATATAAATCAGCTTTCCTTGCAAACCATAAAACCAAGGAACAATAGAGCTGTGAACCCTGGGAAGCATTTTGATTTTGTATTCTTTCACAGCTGTCTCATTAACAAATCAACATCTCCAGGAGAGCATATCTTAAATGTAAAGCGAACAGCTAATGTTCCTAAACTATCTCTTATTTTAAGGCCATAGGAAACCTTTTATGGGGAGTATCTTCCCAAACTCCTGTACATGACAAAAGCTCTGGACAGAAGATAGAAAGACTGGGTCACCCTGGACCCCCTCAGTGAGGTGGTTGGGTTATGTTCTGTTGAGAAACCATGGAGTGATTACATGAAGAAAGCCTCTCCTCTTTACTGGTGTCAAGAAAAACATTAGATAAGAAATGGCAACTGGGGAAAAGAGGGGTGAATTGTTGTTTAATTTTTAACACACACTGCATAATCTATTAGTATGGTTGTTCCCTGCCACAGATGTTTCAAGCATTAATTGAATAAAGGGGTGGTTTCACCAAGTTTGTCAAAGTGATTTGTTGTACTGTTTGGTGTTTGAAGAATCCTGGATATTTTATCTCCAAACAGAATGGTCCTTTGTGATTGGTGAGAATAGTTTGAGATTACATAGTCATGGAGCCTCAGAAGGACAAGTTTGTGTTTTTCAAATGATTAGATCCAATCTGTGGGTATTTGGTAGGTTGCCAATATGTTTCTTTAAATGTGTCAGCAGGGCGCGGTGGCTCACGCCTGTAATCCCAGCATTCTGGGAGGCCAAGGCTGGTGGATCACCTAAGGTCAGGAGTTCACAACACACCTTGGCAACAAGGTAAAACCCCATCTCTACTAAAAATACAAAATTAGCTGGATGTAGTGGTGGGCACCAGTAATGTCAGCTACTTGAGAGGCTGAGTCAGGAGAATCGCTTGAACCCAAGAGGTGGAAGTTGCAGTGACCCAAGATTGCATCACTGCACTCGAGCCTCAGTAACAAGAGTGAAACTCTACCTCAAAATTTAAATAAATAAAAATAAATAAATAAATAAATATAAAGTGCTCAGGCATCATTTCTAATTTAAGCAGGCAATTTCTTTGGAAAACCAAATTGTTATAAATAAAGTTTCAGTGCCTAAAAAGAAACAGCACTTGAATATAAAATTGTCTTTTTAATTCTCAGCAAGACAAGGTACTTCTATAGAAGGGTGTGCTCTCAATGATGGAGCAATGGTGGGCACACACCTGGACAAGAGAGGGGATGGGGTTCTTATCCATGACGCATGTGGCCCCTGCTGCTGTGTCATTCCCCTATTGTTTAGGGTTAGATCACACAGGCTAAACTAATTCCAACTGGCTAATTTAAAGACAATGATGGGGTAAGCACTTTGGTGGGAGTCAGGGCAGAGCAGGTAGCAGGTAATCAGAATGAGTTAGGGTGGAGCAGGTGATCAGAATGAGTCGGGGGGGGGGGTAGGTAAATGAAAAAGGTTGCTTTACAAGGAATTTAAGTTTCAAAGTAGAAGGCAAAGAATTGAACATACTGACATATTAATTATCTGAAGAGAAATTTAGAATTCATATTCAACAAAATGCAAAGGAAACCACATAGAATCATATGGAAAAACTCCTACACCTAAAATATGCTTGTGTGAAAAGAAAAATATATATATTTTATGCTTTATGCTCCATTAAAAACCGCTGGATCCTTTCTCACTGTTAAATCTACCATTAGCTTAAAAAGTTAATCTGACATTATTAAAAACTAAGATGGTTAAAAATGAAACGGGTAGATAAAATACATAGAACATATGGTTATCCACTTTAGAATTGTTAGGCAGGTTGCTAAGGAGCCCTTGTAGCAGGACTAGTGGGAATCCTTGAGATCATGACCCATATTGCCAGGCATAGTCCCCAATGCACAGGCATGGAGTCTTTAAAGTTAAAGTTTATTTAAAGAAAAACAATAATGGCAACAACTAAAATATGGTGAAAGCTATACAATAAAAATATATAAGCAGAGGAAACAAAGTGCAATTTATAGACTTGAACTGATTCTGAAACAAAAGGAGAACAGGAGGAGGAGAACAAGAAAGAGAAGGAGGAGAAGAAAGGGGCAGGGGAGAGAAAGAGAAGAGATAGGAGGAGGAGAAGGTGGAAGAGGAAAGAGAGAAGGATGCAAAGGAGAAGGAAGGGAGGGAGAAGTGGAAGGAGGAGGAAGAGGAGGAGAAGGGAGAGGAAGACAGGAGAAGAAGAGAGGAGAAGAAAGGCGAAAGAGAGAAGGAAGAAGTGGGGTGAAAAGAGGAAGGAAATAGGAGAATAAAATAAAATAGAGGGCCCAGTGAAATTACTCACCCCTGTAATCCCAACACTTTGGGAGGCTGAGCTGGGTGGATCCATTGAGGCTAGAAGTTTGAGACCAGCCTGGGCAACATGATGAAACCCTGTCTACTAAAAATACAAAAATTAGCCTGATGTGATTGCTCACACCTCTAATCCCAGCTACTCAGGAGCCTGAGGCAGGAGACATTTTTGACTCAGGAGGCAAAGTTTGCAGGGAGCCAAGGTTATGCCACCACACTCCAATCTGGCTGACAGAATGAGACCCCATCTCAGAAAAAAAGAAACTGCAGGTCCTGCCATCCAGGAAGAGAAAGAAGAGGGTGAGGATAGGGAAGGTGAGAGAAGGAGGAGGAATAGAATGGGGAGAAGATGGAGGAAGAAAAGAAGGAGAACAAGGAGGAAGAGAAGGAGCATGGATAGGAAGAGGAAAAAGATGACTATCGAATGCACTAATTTTAGGTGGGGAGTAGTGGCTCATGCTTGTAATCCTAGCACTTTGGGAGGCCGAGGCAGGTGGGTAATTTGAGGTCAGGAGTTCAAGACCAACCTGGCACACATGGTGAAATCTTGCCTTTACTAAAAATACAAAAATTAACTTGTTGTAGTGGCACATGTCTGTAATCCCAGCTCTCAGGAGGCTGAGGCAGGAGAATCGCTTGAGATTGGGGGTCAGAGGTTGCAGTGAGCACAGATTGAGCCACTGCACTCCATTCTGGGCAAAAGAGTGAGAAAAAAACCCACTAATTTTAGAACAATTGGGAATATTTCAATGAGCACCGCATCACAGAAGATGATATTGAATCATTGTTATTTTTCATATGTGTGACAATGCTAAAGCAGAAGAAATTCCTCCTTTGAAAACTCAGGCTGCAGGTGTGAGGGAAACTAAGAGTAAAATTGTCCAAACTTGAACAAACAGAAATCAAAAAATCTCAGCTAAAAGGGCCATAGGAAGAATGTCTAATGAGGGGCCATGCTGTTCTATCCCCAGGGCAGCAGGTAAGGATCAATAGGGTAGGGGAATCTTGAGGTCAGACAAGAAAGAGAAGCTCACAATGTGTGGAAGAGTTCAGCAGTGGATACACCAAATGGATAAAGACACCAGTACAAAAGCAGGACAGAAACAGGTGAGATGACCCATTTGTGGATCTATAAATAGTTCCAAACAGCTCTGTACCTCCTCAGGCAAGCAGGTGGAGGAACTGGGTGACAAGAAGTCTGTTATTAGATGAAACCATGAATTCAAGCAACTCCTGTTCCTGAAATGGAAATCTTGATGTCATGCAATGTAGCTTTTCTCAGGCTATGTATAAAAGCAACACCTGAGCATATAGGTTCCAATTAAAATTATGCAAATAAAATGAACTCTCACAACACAAATTCATGAGGATTGCTGACTAGTTGCTATTCTGAGTGACTCTCTATGAGCAGGAACAATTCATGCCCTTATGGTATTACCAGGGAGTGGATCTAGTCCATTCCTCCATGAATTGACGCAATCCCTGAGCACTTACTTTGAAACCTATGGTTCTAGAAGACTCTGCAAAAATTGGCGGATAAAAGAAAGAATGTGAAGGCCCCATCAGCTGAGAACTTCAAATGAGGATATAGGAATGAGATGGACACACACAAAAAGATTCAAAGACAACAAATGTGAAATTTGAAGTAATATACTGAACACTGCAGATAAATATCTCTGAGTTATTATTTTGAAGACACTTTATAAAGACTATAATAGATAGTCTTTATTTGTTATAGACTTATACTACAGGTGTTCCTCTGTGAAGGAGAATGGATTCCATGTAATGATCCTTCATGGGGATAGAGAGTCTTAAGGTTAATCACACTGAGGGATTAAAAACGTAGGACAGGCTGGGAGCAGTGGCTTATGTCTGTAATCCCAACACTTTGGGAAGCCAAGATGGCAGGATCACTAGAGCCCAGGAGTTTGAGACCAGCCTGTGCAACATCTACAAGACTCCCATATCTACAAGAAAAAAAAAAAAAAAAGAGCCAGACATGGTAGTGTGCATCTGTAGTCCCAGCTGCCCATGAAGCAGAGGTGGGAGGGTCACTTGGACTCAGATTAAGGCTGCAGTAAACTATGATCATACCACTGCACTCCTGCCTGGGTGACAGAGCAAGACCTTGTCTCAAAAAAAAAAAAAAAAAAGAAAAGAAAAAAAGACAGATGTTGCTGGATGAAAAGTGGGATTAGGTGGGTGGAAGTGAGGAAGCACAGGACATCTTTGGGGGAAATCACAGGGAGCCCATGAGACAGAATCCAGAGCTGTAGAAGGGAAGTTAGCACAAACATTGGCCTAAGCCCTTCTCGTAAGGGGCTGCAATGTAAAATGAAACCTTTCATACTACAAGAGACTCCAAGGACTCCTTATCCAGACCAATAAGGAGAAATCTAGCAGATTTGGAATCTTAAATTCCTTCTAAGAGGCAGAAAATATAAGACACAGACACAGCGGAGAAGACCATGTGCAGATGAAAGTAGAGACTCCAGTGATATAACCACAAGCCCAGGGATGCCTGGAGCCCCCAGGAGCTGGGAGAGGCAGGAAGCATCCTCCCTTAGCATCTCTGGAAAGAACTGGTTACAATTATAGTGAATGGAACAGCTGCCTCCAGAAAAGATAAATCCACATCACAAAGCCCAGAACCTGGAATATGACCTTATTTAGAAAAACAGTCTTTACAGATTTGTAATTAAAGTCAGATCTGGAGATGAGATTATTCTGGCTTAGGATGGCCTTAATTGAATGACCAGTGTCCTTCTAAGGACAGAAGAGGAGACATGGAAACAGAAGACGATGCCATGTGGAACCAGAGGTGGAGACAAGTGACAAGGCCACAGCCTAGGGATGCCTGAAGCCCCCAGGAGCTAGGACACACAGGAAGGATCCTCCCCTGAAGCCTCCAAAGGCATGCCACCCTGTCCACACCTTGATCTCAGACTCCCATTCTCCAGGACTTGGAAAGGATACAATTTTTATTATGCTAACCAACAAGTTTGTAGTAATTTCTTACAGCAGTCCTAGGAAACTAAAACTAAGTACAGATTTGTGACACTATTGTGTTGATTTGCCTTTGCAGAGAAGTAGGTACTATCCAGGCAAGGGTTGAAACTGGCTGTAGACAGCTGGACTCAGAGCAGGAGAAAAGGCCAGGCTTTCCCTTGTCTCCTGGATGGACATGAGCTGTGGAAGTTGGCCAGTGACTGGCTGTAAAAAGGACAGGTTGGTGTGTTGACCTGACAGACCTAATGCAAAGTCAAACAAAGCTTCAAAATCAATGCACCAGTTATTCCCAGCAAAATTCCATGAATGCATTGAAAATCTTCTATGTCTGTAATGTGGCTGACTCTGGCTGATGGGACTCTTTGCAAAGGGAGTATAAAATGTGTCTTGTGTTGCAAAACTTTTTAATATATCTTATCATTTGTGCCTTTCAAAAACCAAAGTGACTCTGCAGAGTTGGCCTGTCTCTACAATTTGGCTGAAAGACAGCCTACGGTACCCTTCCAAGAGGTTTTTCTTAGCTGATTGATTGGGAAGCATACAGGCACAGCCCCCTTCATGGAAGGAAGAGTCATTTTCTTCAATAAGTATATGACTGTGGCTGGCAGATTAAAGGGACACTACAATGGAGTTATTTGGATTCTTAAAGTTACCCAAAAAAATAAGCAAAGAAAATTCAAATAACCCCATCAAACAGTGGTCAAATGCCATGAACAGACATTTCTCAAAAAAAGATATACAAATGGCCAATAAACATGATGCTCAACGTGCCAACAAACATGTTCAAAATGCCAACATGCAAATTAAAGCCACAATGAGATATCAACTTACCCTGCAAGAAAGGCCACTGGGGGAGGGATAGCATTAGGAGATATACCTAATGCTAAATGACGAGTTAATGGGTGCAGCACACCAACATGGCAGATGTATACATATGTAACAAACCTGCACGCTGTGCACATGTACCCTAAAACCTAAAGTATAATAATAATAATTTTTTATTAACTTAAAATATAATAATAATTATTATTTATTATTATTATTTATTATTAACTTAAAGTATAAAAATAATAATAAATTATTATTATACTTTAGGTTTTAGGGTACATGTGCACAACGTGCAGGTTTGTTATATATGTATACATCTGCCATGTTGGTGTGCTGCACCCATTAACTCGTCATTTAGCATTAGGGGACTATTAATCATGCTGCTATAAAGACACATGCACACGTGTGTTTATTGTGGCACTATTCACAATAGCAAAGACTTGGAACCAACCCAAATGTCTAACAATGATAGACTGGATTAAGAAAATGTGGCACATATACACCATGGAATACTATGCAGTCATAAAAAATAATAAAATTTTTTAAAAAATCAATAAATAAAATAAAAAGTCAAAAAACAATAAATGTTGGTGTGGATATGGTGAAAAGGGAGTGCTTGTATACTGCTGCTGGGAATGTAAATTGGTATATGGAAAAGAGTTGGAGATTTCTCAGAAAACTAAAAGTAGACCTACTATTTGATCCAGCAATCTGACTACTGAATATCTACCCAAAGGAAAAGAAGCCATTATATGAAAAGGACACCTAAATGCATGTTTATTACAGCAGAATTCACAAATGCAAGATATGGAATCAACCTAAGTGACCATCAACCAATGAGTAAATAAAGAAAATATGGTATATATACAGCATAGAATACTACTCAGCCATAAAAATGAATGAAATAATGTCTTTGTGATGGGGCTGGAAGCCATTATTTTAAGTGAAGTAACTCAGGAATGGAAAACCAAATACCATAGGTTCTCACTTATAAGTGAGAGCTAAACAATGAGTATGCAAAGGCATACAGAATGGTAAAATAGACACTGGAGACTCAGAATCTGGGAGGGTGGGAGGGATGTGGGGGATAAATAACTACATATTGGGTACAATATACACTACTCAGGTGACAGGTGCACTAAAATCTCAGACCACACCACTATACAATTCAACCATGTAGGCAAAAAATATTTGTATCCCAAAAAGCTATTGAAATAAAAAAACTATATATTTTAAAAAGTTGCTGCAACTATAATTGATGTGATGTTTACTTTTATGTGACCACTTGACTAGAAACTGGTGACAAGTTGTTTGCCTGGACACATAGACTATGTCTTGTTGGGAAGGAACTCTTTTGTTTCTTTGTTTTTGGTACAGGGTCTTGCTCTGTCACCTAGGCTGAAGAGCAGTGGTACAAAATATAGCTCACTCCAGCCTCAAACTTCTGGGCTCAAGCAATCCTCCTGCCTCAGCCTCCTGAGTAACTAGGACTACAGGTACATGACACAATGCCTGGCTATTCTCAAAAAAAATTTATAGAGATGAATCTTTCTATGTTCTTCAGGTGGGTCTCACTATGTTGTCCAGACTACAAGTCATCCTCCTGACTCAGCCTCCCAAAGTGCGGGGATTACAGGTATGAGCCACCAAACCTAGCCAAGGGAGGGGAATTTTTTTTTTTTTTTTTTGAGATGTGGTGAAAATTTACAATCAGTAGAGTTTTAGTAAAGCACATTGCCCTCCATAACATGGGTGGGCCCCATCCAGCCAGTCGAAGTTCTTAAGCATAAAGACCAATGTTTTCCAAAGAAGGAAGAATTCAGCATCCAGACTAACATAAAAATTCAGCCTGGGTTTCCAGCAGTTAGACTCAAGGCTGTGTTATACACTATTTTCCCGGTCTCCAGCCAGCCAGTCTGTTCTACACATTGTTGCCAGCCTCTGGCCCAATCAAATAAACCTTTCTCCCTCTCTGTCTCTCCTCTCTCTCTGCATATATAGATTGGTACAAAACTAATTAAAATTTTTGTCATTAAAAGTAATTTTGCACCAATTTAATACATGCATCTGTGTGTATATATGTATACCTACATATACATATATGTATATGCATATGTATATGTTAGTATATGTATATATGTGTATGTATGTACACATGTGTATATACACAGATGTGGGTGTGTGTATTATGTGTTTATATGTAGTGTGTGTGTGTGTATGTATATATATATATATATATATACCTGTATTTGTGTGTATTTAAATATATATATATATATACCTGTATTTGTGTGTATTTATATATATATATATATATCTCCTTTGTGTTACAATCAAATGATACTTAGTTATTGTTAAATGATAATTAAATTATTATTGACTATAGTCACCCTGTTGTGCTATCAGGTACTAAATCTTATTCATTTTTTCTGCTATTTTTTGTACCTGTTAATCATCCCAACTTCCCCTTCACCACCACCCCCACTACCCTTCCCAGTTTTTGGTAAGCATCATTCCACACTCTATTCCCATGAATTCCATTGTTTTAATGTTTAGCTCCTTTAATAATGTTAATTCTGCTGGGTCACTTTGTGTGTTAGTAGGGAACAGAGAGATACAGACAGAGAAAATAAACAGAGAAAGAGAGAGAGATAAGAGACAGAGATAAAGAGACAAATGGAAACAGCTGTTTTTTGTATATGAAGCATATATTTCTCATCATCTCTAGATGAAGAATTGTACATATGGTAACTTTCCAGAGTGGTTTTGTTGTGCACTGTCTTAGGTAACCTAGGACTACACATTACAATATACTCTTCAGTCTCTGTTTCAGAGCCATTGCATTACTCAGACTTTAAAGCTTTCACAGACATTGCTGCCTTTTATTCTTATAATATTTCTCTAAGGTCAAACTAGGTGATATTTTTATTACCACTATCATCACTTTCTTGTTGTCTCATTTATATATGAGAATGCTGATAGGAACAAAACCAGAATTTGGTCTTTTCACACTGCCTGCTTATCTCTTTTTATTACACTGTGCTGGTAGTATTATGAGGTTCCTATGTGCATTCAATTTTGTAGCATATTGTCTGATACATAGTATCCAGAATAAACAGCATTAATAGTAACAATTAACAGTTCACATTAAAATGCCACTCACATTTAGTTTAAAAAAGTGGATATATATAAAAATAAGAAAACCTAATTTAGTGGATTATCAATGTTCATACAGATCTCACGTGAAACTGGACAAATACATTAATCCAGCAGCTAAAAATGCAAGTTTCCATATGTGTTCTTTTCCTAGAAATGTATGTATTGTTTAAGTCATTGTGCCATTTTGCATGTATACTCTTCTTGGCAAGTTTAGAGTTACAATATGTTTAAAGACGGACATGAATCTTTGATAATTGCGTTCTCTCAACTGTAAGGCAGGTTTCTCCACAATCCCTTGAGTAACGCAAAACTACATTTTCAAGCAGAGTGGAACTAAAGTTCCCACTACCCATCACCCTCTTTATAAAGGCATTAGGCTAATACCTTAATAAGGACTCTGTAAATAGCATTAAAGAACCACTTAAGATTTTTCCTTGAGAGCGTTGAGTTCTGTGTCACTGAAACATTTTGCTAGTAATTATTTGAGGGAAATTATCAACCGAGCAGAACAGAAGTGAAATTCTTGAAGCTACAAAATGTTTTTAATTTACTCTAGAAAAGAGTCCATTCACAAACTTGGAGGTCTCTTTTGCAATCTTTCAGTGGCATTGTCCTTACTGAACAAATGTTCTGACTCATTTTAAAATTATCTTTGATACAGTGGCTGTAATATCACCCCCTCTTCAGAGTTCTTCAGAAGATCCTTTGAAACTCTTTTTGAATTTAAATATACATTTACAATGTCATGGTTGTAAGGCAGAGTGCTGCAACCCTTCTTTTTGTTTCTCAAGAGCCAGGTAATGTTTTAGAATTTTCACTCTGTATACACAATAAGCAATACAGAGAAAATTATGTAGGTATATATACAACTGGTTATTTTTTTTTTTTCAACTTTTAAGTTCAGGGATACACGTGCAGATTTCTTACATAGGAAAATGTGTGTCATGGGGGTTTGCTGTGCAGATTATTTCATCACTCAGGTATTCCCATTAGTTATTTTTCCTGATGCTCTCACTTTTCCCACCCTCCATCCTCTGATATGCCCCAGTGTGTGTTGTTCCCCTCTATATGTCCATGAGTTCTCATCATTTAGCTCCCACTTATGAGAGAGAACATGCAGCATTTGGATTTCTGTTCTTGCATTAGTTTGCAAACGATAATGGCCTCCAGCTCTATCTATATCCCTGCAAAAAACATGAGCTCATTCTTTTTTATGGCTTTATAGTTTTTCATGGTGTATATGTACCACATTTTCTTCATGCAGTCTGTAATTAATGTGCATTTAGGTTGATTCAATGTCATTACTTGTGAATAGTGCTGCAATGAATATAAGAACCATTCTTAACACACCAGTAATTAAAAAACTGTACCAAAGAGGCAAACATGGCAGCTGGTCAGATTTAGTTCACTGATAAGATTTAGTTCACTGTCCTCTGTCTGAATGTATCAAAATGGTCTAATTTATGAGTAGTGATTTTAGTAGTAATAATACTATTAAAAATAATCCAAGTAATTGAAATTTACCTGTTGACTCTTATTAATCATTTTACATTCATTACGATATTTGATTCAGGTGAGTCCCTTTGTTTCAACTGTCATTGTAAGTGCCATCCCTATTTGGAGATTTAAGGAGGGGACTAATTTGATTTAATTCCATAAGAATAGAATGATCTTTTGTCTAAGATGTTCATAAAATGCTTTTTGGGATCAGCTGGCAATGAATGATGGATCAGCAGTTCTGAGCACTGTTTTATTGACACTGCCTTCTACAAGACAGGATTTAGAGAAAAACAATAGGCAGTACATAATACCACTTAATCCTCAGAAGGATTTTAGAGGATAAAAGATGTGTAGGCAAGTTTCCAGTAGGGACTGTGGACTTTTCCCTATTTGCTGTTTTGATCCCAGACTCAGCCACATGTGTTACCTCTCCCAGCACAAATGCAATTTTCATCACAGACACTTGTCTACTGTTTGCACACTGAAATACAAACAAGCCTAAATTCATCTTGCAAAAATCATTCTTATGTCTAAAGCAATAGATATTTCTACATAAATAGATGTTTACATAGGTTGTACAGGTATGTTGTAGAATGATCTATCCACTCAACCTCATGAATTCCATAGAGAAAAATAATCGACATGGTGCCTGCTGTCATCTCAACGAGGCAGCAGAAGATGATAAATCATTACATGCTATGGCAGAATATGCGTGATTAGTTTCTTTGCAATGAAGTAGAACAAATCTGAACCCTCAGGTCAGGAAGTCCAGCTCCCTCATGATCTCACTGGTAAAGGATCATCCTGTGGTTATTAACCTCTCTTTTCCCCTTTGCTCCACACTTAAGAGTTTGAAATTGAACTAGAAGAAATCGAATAGAAAGAGTTTTAAGATTTCAGCCAGATAGAAACCCTTCAACTATTTTCTCTTTCACAACCCTTGCTTTAAGAATGTAACTGACACAGGGTGCAGTGACTCACACCACTAATCCCAACATTTTGAGAGGCTAAGGCAGGAGGATCGCTTGAGCCAAGGAATTTGAGACACACCTGGCCAACAAGGAAAAAACCCATCTATACAAAAAAAAAATTTAAAAATTAGCCAGGCATGTGGCATGCACCTGTAGTATCAGCTACTCAGGAGGCTGACATGGTGGGATCAGCTGAGCCCCCAGGTTGAGGCTACAGTGAGCCATGATCACATCACTACACTGCAGCCTGTGTAACAGAGTGTGACCCTGTCTCAAAGGGAAAAAGAGAGGATTTATCTTGGAATCTACTAGATTCGTATGACCCAGCATGTGGCTGCTTGAATACTACCACAACAACTATTCTATGGAATCGGCCTTGTAACAGTCATGTTTTGTGTTGGGGTCTATTCAAACATGCAGCACCATAAACCTCTCAAAATAAATACTTTAGATAATACTTTCTCTTTTGTTGCCCCACATTATTTTTGTACAGTGAAGATACATTTATTAGTTTAAAATTAAGGTAATTTAAAAGTTTTTTATTATGTAAAGTACACACAGCCTAAAATGTACAACTTTAACAATTTTTAAGTGTTTGCTTCAGTAGTAATTAGGAACACTCACATTGTTATGTAAGCCAATCTCCAGAATTCTTTCTTTTTTTTTAACTTTTATTTTATGTTCAGGCATACACATGTAGGTCTGTTATTTAGTTGATATGGCTTGAATCTGTGTCCCAACCCAAATCTCATCTCCAACTGTAATCACCAGTTGTGCAGGGAGAGACATGGTGGGAGGTGGTTGGATCTTGAGGGTAGTTTCCCCCATGCTGTTCTTGTGATAGTGAGGAAGTTCTCCCAAGATCTGATGGTTCAAATGTGACAGTTCCCCTGCTCTCCCTCTCCTTCCTGCCACCTTGTAAAGAAAGCTCCTACTTCCCCTTCACGTTTCATCATGATTGTAAGTTTCCTGAGGCTTTCTCAGCCATGTGGAATTGAGAGTCAATTAAACCTCTTTCCTTTATAAACTACCCAGTCTCAGGGTGTTCCTTACAGCATGCTAAAAACAAGCTGATAAAACAGAGAAACATAATTCCAAAATTTACTACAGTGGAGGCCCCAATAGACTTAATCCAAGTCATGGGATTTAGTCCAGAAAGACTTTCTGCCACCTGATCTAATGCCTCAACTCCAGGCACAATGAATAAATGAGCCTGAGAGGCTTCAAAAATTTGTTTCTTTAATTTAGTTATGTCCAAGGATAAATTATCTTCCCTACCCAGAAGGTGTCCTTTGTCCATTTCCCATGAATGATCAGTCTCATTGTAGGAATGTGGTGTGATACAGAAATCAGAAGTATTCCAATCGCACTGCATTTGCACGCGATGTTTGAGACTTACTACCCGATCTCCAAGCCAAATAACAGATTGTCTTAGATCATTAATTTGATTAGCTAATTTTTGATCGAAGCCTTGTTGAGACTCCACATTTGGTTGGAATTGGCTTGCCAATCATTAACAAAATGAGCCGTTTGAATAGATCGGTGTAATGCCAACCCAGCAGTGGTGGCCAGTGCAGTGACTGTAATTAGGTCCATGATCACAGCGATTAAAGTGAAAACAAATCTCTTAGATCTTTTAAAAATTCGTTGTAACACTTCATTAATTAAATGTACTGAGGGGGAAGATTCCCAAGGTCTGGGTAAAGTTACTGGTATCTAGATTTCTTTTTGAGCTTGAACCAATATTACACTTTTCCAGGAGTCAAAACAGAAGTTAACACAGGTGTGTAAATGACAATTAATGCATGGGACAGTTTGATTGTTCATTCAAATTTTGATATTTCCCACTAACAGCATGTAAGGAGGCTTAACACAACTCTGTATAGGAATATACAGGTTGGAGGTAAACAAAGCAGAATGTCTGAATCTACATTGATACTGAGGGAGAAGAGTGGCAGTGGCCATGCCCGATGTCCTCTGCTGTAAAGAAGCAATCTGAAGTGCCTGGGGATGCCAAAGAAGCAGAAGGGCATACCTAGGTTGAGAAGAATTATCATAAGGCCAATTGGAGTCCCATAAAGGAGGATTGGCATCACAAAGAGGAAGAGGATTCAAAGGGGATTTATCATGGTGTTCAGAATCACAGATGTGAGGGGCGGTAGTGGGGACAACACACAGAAAAGTTTCCCCTTTCTATACTCGCAGTCCAGACATGGCAATCACCATTTTCCAAAATTCTTGGTGTTCTGGGCTCAGAATGGGGAATATCATATGAGGCCTTGTGGGGGGTAATGCCCTTATGTTTCCATTTTAAGTGAAAGAATGAGCTGAACCTCCTATGCAAAGTAGGATGATGATCCTCATCCTCCCAATAAGAAATAAAATAAGTAGTCTCCAGGCATTCCCTTCCATCAGAGAGGCAATTGTTTTTTAAATAGCCCTTTGGTACCGAGTCTATTACTAAACCATATGAGTCATTTTTTAATACTATTGCATCTGAGTTAACACAGTCTTCCCAAATTAAAGTTTTAGATGGGCCCTCAAAATTTTTAGGACATGTTTTTCCTACAGGTTTATATTGAAAGTATGGGGTATCTCCTATTACTCCCCCTTTCATTTGTCTTAAGGGAGACAGGGAGAGGCCAGTGACCAAATGTCTGAATTATCTTGTAGCTCATATCTTTGGAAGATAAGCAGCCTCCACTTGAGTTTCTGGATAGACACAACCAGGTGCATGTCTGAGGCAAAGAGGAGGGTATTTATAACCCATAGTAACATTAAATGCAGTGTCTTATTCTCCTGGTTGAGTGAGGCAATGGTCATCTGTGGCTCCAGGCATCCACACACTATAGTTAGTATGGATTTCTGCAGGAGCATCCATCCAGGTGAGAGGTCGAATGAGTGGAGGAAAAGGCACATAAGCCCAGTAAGAACAATTTTATGCAGCAGGTAAATCAGTTTTAGGGGACACTAGTGAGACATAAATTACAAGGAGGAAAATTATTAAATAAAACCTATTGTAAGTGAGACCCAGTGCTGAAGGAGGAAGAGAAGAATGGAGGGATGTTATTTTCAAGCTAATAGAAATGGTGAGATTTTTAAGTTTGTAAGGAGAAAAAGAAAGGTAATTAGGAGAAGTGGGATGAGTTAGAGGGGTCTCTGTTGCTATTACGGAGGATTGAATCAGACCCATTTTGATTTGGCTTGTCAGTTTCTGAGGAGTTGGCCCAGATCTCACTAGGTATGAGGGCAGTCTCTGATGAGGATGTCTTTTTCCTGGGGTTTTCATTGTCAGTATTCACATGAAGTTTAAGTCTTCTAGTGGCACCCAGACAGGGCATTGATGATCTCCTGGTGAAACACAAGCATACCTTCTTCCCCACTTTATAATTGTTCCAGCTTCCCAGATATTGGTTTGGGAGTTTTTCCATAACACTGGCTTGCCTTCATTTAGGGAGAATTTTTTGCCTATATAATGGCATTCAGCTGCAGTCAGAGTATTGTCTTTAGCAACATTTAGAAAATTTAAAGTAAATAATGCTGAATGTAATTGGGAGTGGGGAGTGGTTAAATTATGTTTTCATTTTTCAGACATTTTGGAAATTGAGTTTTTAAAGTGTGATTGGCTCATTCCACCACAGCCTGTCCCTGAGGATTGTAAGGGATTCCAGTATTATGGGAAATTACACATTATTGCATAAATAAATCAAAAGCCTTACTAATATATCCAGGGGTGTTGCCTGTTTTTATTTGATATGGAAGACCCATAACTGCAAAGCAAGAATACTTATGTCTTTTAACATGGGCCATGATATAAGGCTGAATTGTACCCTTTTGACCATCAGGGCCAGTGTAAGGCAAGATAAATGTGCTCTGGTGAACTTCATTAGCTTTTCCAGCACCTACTAGTCTCATGTTGGAGGGATGTTTAAGCCAGGAGAAAGGCCATAAATTAGAAGAAATAATAGAAACATTATCCCTGGTATATACTAGGCCCTCAAACTTTTTTCCTCAAATGTGTATGGTGCAGGTAGGATGTTGCTCAGAAATTACATTAATCCAATAAGTGGCTTTTTCACCACTGGAGCCCATCCCAGGGCCCCATATATTATCTCCTTTGTTTAAAATGATATTAGGTAATAAAAGTAATTGAGCAATTGACTCACTGGCCAGAATGGAAACAGGAACCTTGGCAGACACTGTAAGTTTAATCTCATCAGAGGAATCAGTATTAATGAGACCAGTATGAACTGTGATACCTTTAGCAGAGGTGGATGCCCTAGCTAACACCACCCTCACCAAAACTTGAGGTAAAGGGCCAGTGACCACCATGGGGACAATTAAAGGCAAAGAATTAGGTAGTAAATTTAGAGGAATGGTACTACAGGGATCGACCGCCCCACCCCCTACTGTGGAGGTAGACGAGCATTGTACTGAGACAGAAGAAGAGGCCGGGACCCATCTGGGTTGGCCGTAGGTCAATTTGTTTGTGCTGGGGAATGAACTGGGGCCTCTTGAAGTGGAAATGCAACATTGGTCTGAGTCTGAGGTGTCCCATTTGATACTGGGGCCTGGGACTGGCCCCACTTCCTGTTTCCCTGGTTCTGTGGCAGGGGGTTTCCATCTATATCAGACTTAGAGTGACAACTACTTGCCCTGTGTTTACCTTTATGACAACGTGGGCAAACAGTAGCAGGAGCATTTGGCCATGTTTTTTGAGCTGGCTTGGCTGCTTTTAAGTTTTTAACAGTGCACTTTTTTTGAGTATAACCAAGTTGAGCACAATTATAGCAGGCTCCAAGAAACGAATCAGTTGAGCCAGTTTGATTGCTATCCTTCATGGCCCATGCCCACAGAATAGCTTTGTGGGTCTCCAATCCAATGCCTTCACAAGCTTTAATATATGCAGGCAACACCTCATGATCAGGTAAACTTCATCGTTTTGACGGAACGCATGGCCATTTTACACTCATGGTTCACATTCTCAAAAGTTGACATACGAACGACAATATCTTGAGTGCGCTCATCAGAGACAGAATTTGGAACTGCATTGTGTAATTTGGCCAAAAAATCAGGATAGAATTTATTGTGTCCCTGTTTAACAGTAGTAAAAGAAACAGGAGCTTGGCCTGGGGCGTGTAATTTATCCCAAACTCTCATACACAGCTTTGTTACTTGTTCCGTGGTGAGAGCATCAAAGCCTAATTGGGCAGTAGTGTCAGAGTAATTATTGGAGTCTGTGAACTGAGATGGAGCAATTAGAATGCCACCAGCCCAATTTAGCTGAGTCTGCAGATGAGCCTCTTCTGACCACCAGGTATGGAACTGTAAATGCTGAGATGGAGTTAGAACAGCTTTTGCCAAAAGGCCCCAGTCTAAAGGAAGCAAAATGATCTCAGTAGAAATAGTCTGTAATACCATTTTAACACATGGAGAAGTAGAATCAAACTGAGTACAAACATCCTTGAATTCTCTTAAAAAGGTAAGATTAAGCAGTGTATATGGATGCACTTGTATACCTTGAGCATTGGGAGGTTCCAGGGTGACCAGATAAGCCCACGCCTCTAATGCAGTTGTTTCTTTGTTGTGTCATAATAAGCATTGCATGGAAGTTTCAAGAACAGGCACATGAGACGGAGTCAGCATAGAAGTGACATGAAAAGTATATGTAGATAAGGGAAACTGAGGTTAAGGAGGTCAGACTGGTATGAGAGTGTGAGAAAGGGGCATTGGGGGAGCAGAAGAGGCAGGTGCATACTGGTGATTATTGTCCCAATTCTGTGCAACCAGAGTGGCAGGGGTATCCTTGTGCAAAGAAGGATACAGAGAAGCAGGTTGAGTGGATGGCAAAGTGACCAGTTGAGGCATCAAAATGACAGGAGGGTGAGGGGCTGTGGTGGACAGAAGAGGGCCTGTAGAATTGCAGGTAAATTGCAGTTTGGTCCCAGAGTCATTAGGTGGCTCTGGAGACAAATCCTGCAAAGGTTTGAAGAGGGAAGAGTTAGCATAGATATGGTCCCAGACTGTTCAAGTCAGGGCTGCAGGAGCTACAAGTATCAGCTCTTTGTGCAAAGAAATAAGATCATCAGAGTGTGATGTTAAGCCAAAGTCACCGGAGTTAGATATTGAATTCTCAATATCATCAGGTGGGGGAGGAGTAGGTAAAGGGAGAGGCTGAGCAGATAACGAAGGCCAAGTGGGAGAGAAAAGCTGAGGAAGAGGTAGAGGGTCACCAGATTCAGGAAACTGTGGTAACTGCAGGGTGTCACAGGATTAATATGTCACTAGGATGTCACGTACCAAGTCCCAATCACCCCAAACAGTGATGGGAACATAGTTTCCTGTCGGGACCAGTTCCCCAGAATTTTGCACCAACATGATCCCATAGTTCCACATCTAACATTGCCTTTTCAGGAAACAAGGACAGTGTTCTTCCACTGCCCTGAATAGAGTGACCATATTTTTCATGGGAACCTGAACTCCACCTGATTTTAACAGAAGTTTAATATACCAGAGATAAGCATAATGTTTAGATTCTGCATGACCCATAGTTACCCCAGACAATACACAGACAACTCACCAATTTTCAGGGAGCAAACAAGCATTTCTGTGGACCAGACTGATGAACGTTTCACCACACCTACCAAAGGGAATCAGGTTCCCACATGCACTTAGGAAAAAGAAAACCACATTGGTGTGCCAAATATCAGGGAATCCCACCTCCAATATTTCAATGTAGGTTCTTTCTATTTTCCATAATCAGACTGTGATGTCCACCTGAGCCACAAATCCATCAAGCTTTTATTAAGGATCTCAAAAGGGGAAGGAGTGTACAAACAGGGAGTAGGTCACATGTTTCAGGGGGCAAAAACCACAGCAAAGATCACATGCTTCTGAGGAAACAGGACAAAGGGAAAAAGGCAGAAACTCCTGATAAGGGTCTATGTTCAGCAGTGCATGTATTGTCTTGATAGACATCTTAACAGAAAGTAGAGTTTGACAGCAGAGAACTGGTGTGACCAAAAATTTACCAGGATGGAGTTTCCCAATCCTAGTAAGCCTGAGGGTACTGCAGGAGACCAAGGTGTATCTCAGTCCTTATCTCAACCACATAGGACACACATTCCCAGAGCAGCTGTTTATAGAACTTGCCCCAGGAATGCATTTCTTTCCCAGGGTCTTAATATTAATATTATTTGCTAGGAAAGGAATTTAGTGATATCTTCCCTACTTGCATGTAGGGATTGCATTTATAGGCTCTCTGCAAGAAGAAAAATATGGCTCTGTTTTGCCCAATCCCACAGGCAGTCAGGCCTTATGGTTGTCTTCCCTTGTTCTCTGAAAATCACTGTTATTCTGTTCTTTTTCAAGGTGCACTGATTTCATATTGTTCAAACACACATGTTTTACAATCAATTTGTACAGTTAACACAATTATCATAGTGGCCGTGAGGTGACATACATCCTCAGCTTACGAAGATAACAGGAGTAAGAGAATAAAATAAGACAGGTGTAAGAAATTATGAAAAAATTATTTGGGAACTGGTAAATGTCCATGAAATCTTTACAATTTACGTTTCTCTGCTACAGCTCCAGCAGGTCCCTCTGTTAGGGGTCCCTGACTTCCTGCAACAACATGGATCAAGATTTTTAGTTTATATGATCCCCATGTTTCTTGAAGCTACAACATGCAAGTAAAAAATGAACTGATCCTGAGGGAGTGTCAAAACTAGAGCTCATGGAAAAAACACATTTAAAAACCTCCTACAAAGGAATACCCTCATTACAAACTGCACACAATTCCCACTGATAAAACCCTCCTGAAGATAAGTTCACAATCAAAAATCACAATATATGTGAAGTCACAACCCAATGCTCATGAAGGCCAAAATGAAGATCAAAAGGCACAACAAAATTCCCACTGATAAAACCCTCCTGAAGATGAGTTCACAAAAATCACAATACATGTGAAGTTCCAAACCAATGCTCAGGATTGTCAAAAGGCACAAACAGCAATATAATCACAATAACATAATACATAATTAGGTTTGGATTATGAAAAGCATTTAGAATAGAAGGAGCACAAGAGATAAGAGGAAGATACTGTAAATAAACAACAGATGGATTTGAAATAAATATGAGAACTTATAGAAGTAAAAACCAAGCCATAGAACCTAAACCTCAATAGGTAAATTAAAGACCAGATTACACGTGACTAAACTGAGAAAGAAATGAATGGGGAGATGTGAAAAATCACTTAGAATGCAGCACATAAATATCAACAGATAGATTGTATCAAAGTGTGTTTGAGAGAGAAGGAGGGTACATGGAAGAGATTCAGGATACAATGACTAAAATGTGTTGGAGAATAACAGCATTCTGAGGATAAGGAATAAACAATATTCCAAAAGATAATGATGGCAATATTCCAGAATCATATGAAACAGGAATATATGAGTCATGAAAAAAGTGAACTCCAAGTAGGAGAAATAAAGGCAAGTCCACACCCCAGCATATCAAACTGAAATTCAAGAAAGGGCAAGTGAAAACCTACCAAAGCAACTAGAATAAACAAAATATGGTATACAACCAGATAATAATAGGAGCAGTACAGCTTAGAGTAGGAATATATATATATATATATATATGTATGTATATTCTCTCTCTATATATATATATGTAGATATAGATATATATATATATATAGAGAGAGAGAGAGAGAGAGATAGCAAATGTATATAGTTCTATTTATGAATACACACACATACTTCAACAAAACAATCAGTAAAAGGAAAAAATCTCCATAGAACACATTAAATGAAAAGAATAGTATTTCAATAAAGAAAAACACCTGAATGACCAATTACACATGAAAAGGCATCTTTTTTTCCTGGTCAGGGAAATTCAATTTAAAACAGCTATGAGACTCCACTAAAATTGACAAAAAGAAAAGTTACAATATCAAGAAGAGAGGAAGACAAGAAGCCAAAGGTGATCCCTTGCTCTGTTGGAGGGAGTGTGAATTGGTGAAACAACTTTGAGACACTGTCTTGAAACCTCAGGATAATTGAACATGTGTTCAGACTACCAGTCAGCTTTCTACTTGAGGGAAGCTCGAGTTATGTGTGCAGTGTCATTGACAAGAATGCCTAGAGTAACTTGCGTGGAATAATGAAAAGTTAGAAACTGCCAACATTGTAATAATCAATAAGATGAATAAACTACAGTTGTAGTTATCAGTTCACTTAATCTCAAAGTTAACTATAAATGAAGAATGACCTTCAGAATGAAACATTTACTTAAATTTGACAAATGAACCTCTATCTTTATATCTATTATCTGTCTTTATGTCTATCTATATATCTATTATCTATCTATTTATATATCTACCTGTCTACTTGTATACCTACCTATTATCTATGTATCCAATATTCCATCTATTCTATCATCTATTATTTATGTCATTTGTTGACCTATCATCTATCTACTCTATCATCTATCATGTTGCCCAAATACAGAATGAAATATTTACTTAAATTTGACAAATGAACCTCTATCTTTATATCTATTATCTATCTTTATATCTATCTATATATCCATCTATTATCTATTTATCTATCTACCTGTCTACTTGTATACCTACCTATTATCTATGTATCCAATATTCCATCTATTCTATCATCTATTATTTATGTCATTTATTGACCTATCATCTATCTACTCTATCATCTATTCTATGATCTATCATCTACCTATCTTTTCATCTATCATCTACCTGTTTATCTGTCTGTCTTCTATTTTGTATCTACCATCTATCTATATCTACTTATAAATATAGGTAAACACATAGGCATTGTAATGATAAGACAATCCAGAGCAATTACAAAACTAAATTAACTAGAGTCCACTGGGAAGGAAGGGGTGGAAAATAAAAGGGGTGTACATAGGGGATTTGAAAATATTTCTTTAGCATATAATTGTATTCTGAAAACCAACATAAAGAAGACATGAGGGGAATATGGTAATGCTATTCACATTACTCCTCCCTCCATCTCCTCCTCACACCCGCAAAGTCCCTACGCCTTATCCCAGTTGCATGGCTGCATTCCACAACATCCAAATCCTGACACTGTCTCCCTCAAAAAAATACTATTGGGACATGGAAACAACTACAGATATAATTTTCCTACTGTGAAAAGTTCTTCCTAAGTTTCAAGAATAAAAAGAAATATCCAATTCACAATTGGTTTGTTTTCCTTTCATTCATTTCACTTTTTTTTTCCTAAATGGGATATGTTTAAATACACATAAAAAAAACAAATAGGAGAGGCCATCCTATTTGAAACTATTATTTATTCATTTACTGTATTTTAGAAATAAGGCCCCCAGGAATCTTGGGCATATGTGAAAACACATATGCTTACAAACTTAGATAATGAGATTCAGTCATGGCAATTAGGTTGCATTTAAAATTCCTAGCGTCAAGTGTAAGAGTCTAAGTACTCACTTTTTGAAAGTAACACACTTTTATCTCTGTGCATTGTCTCTAGTATTCCTAAGTCAGTCTCTTTCTTTGCCATGGTTTAACTTTGTAGTCTGGTCTTTCCATTCTTTCCCCAGAGTAGGGTAATCTTAAGAGTTGGGGTGATTAACATCTCTAATAATTTGTATAGCATAATGTAGTTAAACATTTTTCTTAGGATAGTGAATGTGCAAAGAAAATGGAAGATCAACAGAGGAGAGAAACGTTGCTAGCTGTCATGGTTTCCCTTTCAGGCATTAATCATTATTGCTTGAGAAGAAAGTTAGACTTTTATTGCCAAAATATTTAACTAAATGTCACATATGTGTGTGTGCATGCGTGTGTGTGTGTAGTGTATGTGTATGTATACACACAAAACACCCACATACCCATAAGTATATATAGATATGCATACACACCTATATATATGCACACATAAATATGTATACACCTATATATGCATATAGTTCTCTCTCAGAGATATAGATAGACAGACAGATACATAGATGGATAGATAGATAGATAGACAGACAGATATAGATGTGGATAGAATAGATGGTAGATAAATAGGATAGATGGAATAGAAGATTGAGATAGATATGGATGGAATAGATACCTCGATAACATGAGATAGATAGAATAGATAGATACATATAGATCAGATAGAGAGATTAAATAGAGATAGATGTGACACACATACATGCATATATACAGATCTTTAGAGTTCATGTCAGGCAGCTTTCTGAAGATAATCTATGTATTAACTTCACAATTAAATCTTCACAACAGCCATGAGTTAGAAGATACCATTATAACAACATTGCACAAAGGACTGTTGCCCAAAGAGGCAAGTTACCCGACTTCCCCCAGCTAGCAAAAAGTGCAGGAGTGATGTGAACCCAGCCTGTGTGGTCTGTAGCTCCTTCTTCTGAACCACTATGTGCTATTGGAAGTTGCCATTTCTTTAGTTTTCCTGAAGTGCAAGGTGGCACTACAAGTGGATACCAATGTGCATAGAAATATTCACAGCAATCCTTCCTACTGAATTTATTATTCCACTCCCAAAGCCAATCATCAATATAGAAATTTAACATTCATCCCTGCCATTCTATGTATTTAACCAAATCTCTTCCATATGACAGTTGCATTTTTACTTCCAAGCCGCTGGAGGAGATGAAGGATCCTCTGTAGTTTCTCTTGCTGGCAATAAGAGTTGCAAAAGCAAACTTTTGAATGCATCTAAGTTAATCACCAAAGAGTGGCATTAGTAGTCCTGGTTCCATTTAAGTAGGTCCTGTATAGGATGTTCTTTATGTAATGAATATTTTAAGTCCTATCATTACTATTCTCATGTACATTCATCATTATCCACAAGTAATGGAAAAGCTTTTTCTGGCTCCCCAAGTACTGTGTGCTCATTTCAGAATATCTAATGCTCCTAATGCATTCCTTAATGATGACTCCAGTGTGTGATGAGGAACAGGGGTTTTGGAACTCAGAAAGCCAGCATGTCATTGCACACTCATCTTTAGTGGAGGCCCCTTGCCTAGTTTGAAATGCAATCCTGATACATACAGCTCAAAATACCTAGCCTTTCTGCTTCAGGTTATTCAAACCCAATGAAATTCTGATATCGTTTTAAAGATAACTGTTGCACATAAAAAGTCACTTCTGATTTTTGTATGAGGAAGATAATGATTGCACATAATAAACCACCTATGACTTTTTTTATTATTATACTTTAAGTTTTAGGGTACATGTGCACAATGTGCAGGTCAGTTACATATGTATACATGTTCCATGCTGGTGTGCTGCACCCATTAACACGTCATTTAGCATTAGGTATATCTACTGAGAATGATGATTTCAAATTTCATCCATGTCCCTACAAAGGACATGAACTCATCATTTTTTATGGCTGCATAGTATTCCATGGTGTATATGTGCCACATTTTCTTAATCCAGTCTATCATTGTTGGACATTTGGGTTGGTACCAAGTCTTTGCTATTGTGAGTAGTGCCGCAATAAACATACGTGTGCATGTGTCTTTATAGCAGCATGATTTATAGTCCTTTGGGTATATACCCAGTAATGAGATGCTGGGTCAAATGGTGTTTCTAGTTCTAGATCCCTGAGTAATCGCCACACTGACTTCCACAATGGTTGAACTAGTTTACAGTCCCACCAACAGTGTAAAAGTGTTCCTATTTCTCCAAATCCTCTCCAGCACCTGTTCTTTCCTGACTTTTTAATGATTTTTATTCTAACTGGTGTGAGATGGTATCTCATTGTGGTTTTGATTTGCATTTCTCTGATGGCCAGTGATGGTGTGCATTTTTTCATGTGTCTTTTGGCTGCATAAATGTCTTATTTTGAGAAGTGTCTGTTCATATCCTTTGCCTGTTTTTCGATGGGGTTGTTTGTTTTTTTCTTGTCAATTTGTTTGAGTTCATTGTAGATTCTGGATATTAGCCCTTTGTCAGATGAGTAGGTTGCAAAAATTTTCTCCCATTTTGTAGGTTGCCTGTTCACTCTGACGGTAGTTTCTTTTGCTGTGCAGAAGCTCTTTAGTTTAATTAGATCCCATTTGTCAATTTTGGCTTTTGTTGCCATTGCTTTTGGTGTTTTAGACATGAAGTCCTTGCCCATACCTATGTCCTGAATGGTAATGCCTAGGTTTTCTTCTATGGTTTTTATAGTTTTAGGTCTAACGTTTAAGTATTTGATCCATCTTGAATTAATTTTTGTATAAGGTGTAAGGAAGGGATCCAGTTTCAACTTTCTACATATGGCTAGCCAGTTTTCCCAGCACCATTTATTAAATAGGGAATCCTTTCCCCATTGCTTGTTTTTCTCAGGTTTGTCAAAGATCAGATAGTTGTAGATATGCGGCATTATTTCTGAGGGCTCTGTTGTGTTCCATTGATCTATAACTCTGTTTTGGTATCAGTACCATGCTGTTTTGGTTACTGTAGCCTTGTAGTATAATTTGAAGTCAAGTAGAGTGACGCCTCCAGCTTTGTTCTTTTGGCTTAGGATTGACTTGGTGATGCCAGCCCTTTTTTGGTTCCATATGAACTTTAAAGTATTTTTTTCCAATTCTGTGAAGAAAGTCATTGGTAGCTTGATGGGGATGGCATTGAATCTGTAAATTACCTTTGGCAGTATGATCATTTTCATGATATTGATTCTTCCTACCCATGAGCATGGAATGTTCTTCCATTTCTTTGTATCCTCTTTTATTTCATTGAGCAGTGGTGTGTAGTTCTCCTTGAAGAGGTCCTTCATGTCACTTGTGAGTTGGATTCCTAAGTATTTTATTGTCTTTGAAGCAATTGTGAATGGGAGTTCACTCATGATTTCGCTCTCTGTTTGTCTGTTATTGGTATATAAGAATGTTTGTGATTCTTGTACATTGATTTTGTATCCTGAGACTTTGCTGAAGTTGCTTATCAGCTTAAGGATATTTTGGGCTGAGACGATGGGGTTCTCTAGATATGCAATCATGTCATCTGAAAACAGGGACAATCTGACTTCCCCTTTTCCTAATTGAATACGTTTGATTTCCTTCTCCTGCCTAACTGCCCTGGCCAGAACTTCCAACACTATGTCAAACAGGAGTGGTGAGAGAGGGCATCCCTCTATTGTGCCAGTTTTCAAAGGAACTGCTTCCAGTTTTTGCCCATTCAGTATGCTATTGGCTGTGTGTTTGTCATAGATAGCTCTTAATATTTTGAGATATGTCCCATCAATACCTAATTTATTGAGAGTTTTTAGCATGAAGTGTTGTTGAATTTTGTCAAAGGCCTTTTCTGCATCTATTGAGATAATCACGTGGTTTTTGTCTTTGGTTCTGTTTATATGCTGGATTACATTTATTGATTTGTGTATATTGAACCAGCCTTGCATCCCAGGGATGGAGCCCACTTGATCATGGTGGATAAGCTTTTTGATGTGCTGCTGGATTCAGTTTGCCAGTATTTTGTTGAGGACTTTTGCATCAAGTTCATCAAGGATATTGGTCTAAAATTCCCTTTTTTTGTGGTGTCTCTGCCAGGCTTTGGTATCAGGATGATGCTGGCCTCATAAAATGAGTTAAGGAGGATTCCCTCTTTTTCTATTGATTGCAATAGTTTCAGATGGAATGGTACCAGTTGGTAGAATTGTACCTCTGGTAGAATTCGGCTGTGAATCCATCTTGTCCTGGACTCTTTTTTGTTGGTAAGCTATTGATTATTGCCACAATTTCAGAGCCTGTTATTGGTCTATTCAGAGATTCAACTTCTTCCTGGTTTAGTCTTGGGAGGGTGTATGTGTCAAGGAATTTATCCATTTCTTCTAGATTTTCTAGTTTACTTGCATAGAGGTGTTTGTAGTGTTCTCTGATGGTAGTTTGTATTTCTGTGGGATTGGTGGTGATATCCCCTTTATCATTCTTTATTGCATCTATTTGATTCTTCTCTTTTCTTCTTTATTAGTCTTGCTAGCAGTCTATCAATTTTGTTGATCGTTTCAAAAAACCAGCTCCCGGATTCATTAATTTTTTGAAGGGTTTTTTGTGTCTCTATTTCCTTCAGTTCTGCTCTGATTTTAGTTATTTCTTGCCTTCTGCTAACTTTTGAATATGTTTGCTCTTGCTTTTCTAGTTCTTTTACTTGTGATGTTAGGGTGTCAATTTTGGATCTTTCCTGCTTTCTCTTGTAGGCATTTAGTGCTATAAATTTCCCTCTATGCACTGCTTTGAATATGACCCAGAGATTCTGATATGTTGTGTCTTTGTTCTCATTGGTTTCAAAGAACATCTTTATTTCTGCCTTCATTTCATTATGTACCCAGTAGTCATTCAGGAGCAGGTTGTTCAGTTTCCATGTAGTTGAGCGGTTTTGAGTGAGTTTCTTAATCCTGAGTTGTAGTTTGATTGTACTGCAGTCTGAGAGACAGTTTGTTGTAATTTCTGTTCTTTTATTTGTGAGGAGAGCTTTACTTCCAACTACGTGGTCAATTTTGGAATAGGTGTGGTGTGGTGCTGAAAAAAATGTATATTCTGTTGATTTGGGGTGGAGAGTTCTGTAGATGTCTATTAGGTCTGCTTGGTGCAGAGGTGAGTTCAATTCCTGTGTATCTTTGTTAACTTTCTGCCTCGTTGTCTAGTGTTGACCGTGGGGTGTTAAAGTCTCCCAATATTATTGTGTGGGAGTCTAAGTCTCTTTGTAGGTCACTCAGGACTTGTTTTATGAATCTGGGTGCTCCTGTATTGGGTGCATATATATTTAGGATAGTTAGCTCTTCTTGTTGAATTGATCCCTTTACATTATGTAAAGGCCTTCTTTGTCTCTTTTGATCTTTGTTGGTTTAAAGTCTGTTTTATCAGAGACTAGGATTGCCACCCCTGCCTTTTTTTGTTTTCCATTGGCTTGGCAGATCTTCCTCCATCCCTTTATTTTGAGCCAATGTGTGTCTCTGCAAGTGAGATGGGTCTCCTGAATACAGCACACTGATGGGTCTTGAGTCTTTATCCAATTTGCCAGTCTGTGTCGTTTAATTGGAGCATGTAGTCCATTTACATTTAAAGTTAATATTTTTATGTGTGAATTTGATCCTGTCATTATGATGCTAGCTGGTTATTTTTCTCATTAGTTGATGCAGTTTCTTCCTAGTCTCAATGGTCTTTACATTTTGGCATGATTTTGCAGCTGCTGGTACCATTTGTTCCTTTCCATGTTTAGTGCTTCTTTCAGGAGCTCTTTTAGGGCAGGCCTGGTGGTGACAAAATCACTCAGCATTTGCTTGTCTGTAAAGTATTTTATTTCTCCTTCACTTATGAAGCTTAGTTTGGCTGGATATGAAATTCTGGGTTGAAAATTCTTTTCTTTAAGAATGTTGAATGTTGGCCCCCACTCTCTTCTGGCTTGTAGAGTTTCTGCCGAGAGATCCGCTGTTAGTCTGATGGGCTTCCCTTTGTGGGTAAACCAACCTTTCTCTCTGGCTGCCCTTAACATTTTTTCCTTCATTTCAACTTTGGTGAGTCTGACAATTATGTGTCTTGGAGTTGCTCTTCTCAAAGAGTATCTTTGTGGTGTTGTCTGTATTTCCCGAATCTGAATGTTAGCCTGCCTTGCTAGATTGGGGAAGTTCTCCTGGATAATATCCTTCAGAGTGTTTTCCAACTTGGTTCCATTCTCCCCATCACTTTCAGGTACACCAATAAGATGTAGATTTGGTATCTTCACATGGTCCCATATTTCTTGGAGGCTTTGTTCGTTTCTTTTTATTCTTTTTTCTCTAAACTTCCCTTCTCACTTCATTTCATTCAGTTCATCTTCCAGCACTGATACCCTTTCTTCCAGTTGACTGCATTGGCTCCTGAGGCTTCTGCATTCTTCACGTAGTTCTTGAGCCTTGGCTTTCAGCTCCATCAGCTCCTTTAAGCACTTCTCTGTATTGGTTATTCTAGTTTTACAATTGTCTAAATTTTTTTCAAAGTTTTTAACTTCTTTGCCTTTGGTTTGAATTTCCTCCTGTAGCTTGGAGTAGTTTGATAGTCTGAAGTCTTCCTGTCTCAACTCGTTAAAGTCATTCTCCATCCAGCTTTGTTCCATTGCTGGTGAGGAACTGCGTTCCTTTGGAGGAGGAGAGGCGCTCTGCTTTTTAGAGTTTCCAGTTTTTCTGCTCTGTTTTTTCCCCATCTTTGTGGTTTTATCTACTTTTGGTCATTAATGATGCAGATGTACAGATGGTTTTTGGTGTGGATGTCCTTTCTGTTTGTTAGTTTTCCTTCTAACAGACAGGACCCTCAGGTGCAGGTCTGTTGGAGTTTGCTAGAGGTCCACTCTAGACCCTGTTTGCCTGGGTATCAGCAGTGGTGGCTGCAGAACAGTGGATTTTCATGAACCGTGAATGCTGCTGTCTGATCGTTCCTCTGCGTGTTTTGTCTCAGAAGAGTACCTGGCTGTGTGAGGTGTCAGTCTGCCCCTACTGGGTGGTGCCTTCCAGTTAGGATGCTCAGGGGTCAGGAGACAGGGACCCACTTGAGGAGGCAGTCTGCCCATTCTCAGATCTCCAGCTGCATGCTGGGAGAACCACTGCTCTCTTCAAAGCTGTCAGCCATGGACATTTAAGTCTGCAGAGGTTACTGCTGTCTTTTTATTTGTCTGTGCCCTGCCCCCAGAGGTGGATCCTACAGAGGCAGGTAGGCCTCCTTGAGCTGTGGTGGTCTCCATGCTGTTCCAGCTTCCTGGCTGTTTTGTTTACCTAAGCAAGACTGGGCAATGGTGGGCACCCCTCCCCCAGCCTTGCTGCCACCTTGCAGTTTGATCTCAGACTGCTGTGCTAGCAATTAGTGAGACTCTGTGGGGATAGGACCCTCTGTGCCAGCTGCAGGATATAATCTCCTGGTGCACCATTTTTTAAGCCCATCAGAAAAGCACAGTATTAGGGTGGGAGTGACCCGATTTTCCAGGTGCCATCTGTCACCCCTTTCTTTGACTAGGAAAGGGAACTCCCTGACCCCTTGCACTTCCTGAGTGGGGTAATGCCTCACTCTGCTTCGGCTCATGCACAGTGCACTGCACCCACTGTCCCGCACCCACTGTCTGCCACTCCCTAGTGAGATGAACCCGGTACCTCAGATGAAAATGCGGAAATCACCCGTCTTCTGCGTCACTCGTGCTGGGAGCTGTAACTGGAGCTCTTCCTATTCGGCCATCTTGGCTGACCCACCTCTGATTTTTGTATGAGCAAACACAAGATCGAAAAATGAGAAGCCACTTTCAAATCATTCAGACCTTGACATATCTGAGGAGATTTAATATAAAAATAATTAGTTGCAAGTTGAAGTGAGGTCCTGCTTGTCTAAATGGGGAGTGGTAATGCAAATGAGTCTGATTTTTTTCCCAACGTGTGTGTAAAGCATTGTTAGACACAGTAAAAGCCTTGGGTTTTTACTGGGTTGGATTTCTTAGAAGTAAACCTTTACACAAGGATTTGGGTGCAAGTAATTCACTGATTAAAAAACCAGTTGCTCCCATGTCAGGTGGTCTCTGGCTTTGGGATCCTTTTGGTAGAGAGATAAGAGATAAATTTTTAGAAGAAGCAACTCATTGTCAACCAAGGATCAATTTCCAGAGCAATGGAGTGGCTGTGAACTGTTCTCCAGAGCAATGAAGCAGCTGTTAACTGTGAGTAGTCCCACTTCCAACAGTCAATGCGAATTGACCCTTTAAAGAGTATTCTCAGGGAACAGAAACAGCATCTCCATCCCTACTAATTCTTGAAAATAGACATCTCTTTAACCATCTATTTAAAATAATATCCCTCTTTATTCTGTGATGCCTAATAAAACCCACTTGGAAACTTTAGTATGTTAAAATCAGATTAGGTAATGGTTTACTATGCAAACTGTAACTGTACTTACTAAAGGTCATAGTTGCTAAATCTTTCACCTATATCCTAAGTATCAGGTAAGGGTTTGTAAATACAGTGATTTTTTTCCCTTAAGATTTATTGGTATGATTTCCAAATCTGTGGTAGAATTTGCACATGTGTTTCCTTTGCTTACAAATCCTCACACTTAGCAGGAGCTGATGCTTAGAAAAATGATTTCTCAATAAGCAGTTGAGCTGGATTTATTAGCAGGTTTTATAAATCAAGTGCATAATATATAGTTTAAACTTCAGAAACCACAGATTTATGTATCCTTGCAGTAAATCATGAGAATAAGTATCCACTAAGTCCTTATTTTAAGCTAATCTGGTCAATTGCTGGGTAAATACTTCACATCTTTTAATCCTTTTCATATCAATAACTAGAACTCATTATTTCAGTAAATATTTGTTGATTTATTTTTACCCTAAATACCCTAAAAACATTGCACAAAGGACTTTTGCCCAAATGTCTGCATTTGGAGAAGTTTGGAAACTTGGCTGTATATTAACAGTTACAAAAGATAGCTAATGCTATCAACATAAGAATGAATGAAAAATGTACAATAATAATATTGAATCCCATACTTAACGGATAAGACAGAGTTTAAATGAACTCAGCTTCCATTCTCAAAAAGGCATTATTTAATAATAATTATATGGTAATAAGTCATCATTTATAATTGTGTGGTGTTTATAATTGACTTAGCACCTTATGTGTGCTTCTTAATTTTGTTCTGATGGTAGGAAGTAGGTTGCATATACGTTAAAAAAATATTAATGAGACCAAGCCTCAGACATTCAATGAGGCTTGAATTCAACATTCAATGAGGTTGTCATTCAAAGCCAACATCACTGAGATAGCCTGTCGGTAGTCTCTTTTCTCCAGGTTTTGGCATCCAGCCCTCCTGTGACAACGATCTTAACATGTGTTAGCATGGATGTGAATGTTAATTGCATGAGGCAAATGTTCTCTATGGCCACTTTGATTTCTCTGTTCAAAGTCTGTGTGTACACAAATAATCATACTAAAGATTCAAACTGAAATTCTATTTGTTTATACCTTCCTCCATAATCATGGAAGGGGACAACGTTAAAACAAGCCCCACCTCTAGTTGACACAAACCACTTTTACAGGTTTTAATGCCACTTTTCTTTTAGTATTATGTAAATTCCCAATTGTCAGAGAATGTTGGCCAAGTTTCATTTATTCTAGAAGACACAGGCTAATGCCTATTTGCTTTACAATGGTGGAGCTTGTTCAATTGCTGTCATACAGTCATTAAAAAAAAAAAAGACATGTCAACACATCGACTTCATATTCTTTTCTTTTCTTTCTTCTTCTTTCTTTTTCTTTTTTTTTTTTTTTTTTTTTTTTTTTTTTTGAGGCAGGGTCTAACTCTGTCACCTAGGCTGTAGTGCAGTTGTGCGATCTTGGCTCACTGCAACTTTCACCTCCCAGGTTCAAGTGATTCTCCTGCCTTACCCTCCTGAATAGCTGGGATTACAGGTGTGCACCACCATGCTCAGCTAATTTTTGTATTTTTAATAGAGATAGGGTTACACGTTCTTGGCCAGACTGGTCTCAAACTCCTCACCTCTGGTGACTGACCTGCCTTGGCCTCCCAAAGTGTTGGGATTATAGGCGTGAGCCAGGGTGCCCATCTTTGATTTCATTTTCTATAATGGATTAAACACTTTGTTAATATTATTGAACACAAAAGTAACATTTTATAATTTTGATCATTGATTAATAACAATATGGAAAAGCCCCATGCAAGAGAATCATCAAAGAAAAGGTTTCTATTAGATCCTATAAATAACAAACTAGCCATTTAAAAAGAAGAAACTGGCCAGACATGGTGTATTATACCTGTAATCCCAGCACTCTGGGAAGCTGAGGTGATGGGATCATAAGATCAGGAGATCAAGAACATCCTGGCTAACATGGTGAAACCCTGTCTTTACTAAAAATACAAAAAATTAGCTGGGCGTGCTGGTAGGCACCTGTAGTCCCAGCTACTCTGGAGGCTGAGGCAGGAGAATCGCTTGAACTCAGGAGGCGGAGGCTGCAGTGAGCTGAGATCGCACCACTGTACTACAGCCTGGGTGACAGAGCAAGACTCCCTCTCAAAAAAAAAAAAAAAAAAATTCTACATACACGTACATCACTTTAAAAAATACTTCTTGGATTCCAGCTTGTGATAAAATGCTGTATTCATTGGCTTGAGCTGCCATTAAAAAAAAATCACAGACTGGACAGCTTAAACAACATAAATTTATTTTCTCATATTTCTGGGAGCTGGAAGTTAAACATCAAGGTGTAGGCAGGGCTGATTCCTCCTGAGGCCTCCCTCCGTTGCTTGTAGATGCCATCTTTTCCTTGTGTCCTCAAAGGGTCCTTCCTCTGTGTAGGTCTGTGTCCTCATGTTCTCTTCTTATAAGGGCACCATTCCTGTTGGATTAGGGCCCACTCTAGTGACCTCATGTTACCTTAATCACGTACTTAAAAACCCTATTGCCAAACACAGTCACATTCTAAAGTCCTAGGGGTTAGGGATTCAATATATAAATTGTTCAAGAAAACAATTCAGCTCACAGCTGCGCATGTACAAGTTTTCCTGATCCACCCACTGAATGAAGCTATGGAATCAGGACAGGAGTTATGGGATGGCTATTTGAGGACTCTAAAAATGAAATGGCTACTACCTACTTATGAGAATGGCCCAAATTTACAACCCTGATCAAACCAAATGTTGCTGAGGACACAGAGCAACAAGAACTCTCATTCATTGCTGGTGGGAATGCCAAACATTACAGCCACTTTGGAAGACAATTTGCACATGTCTTACAAAGCCAATCATAGTCTTATGATAATATCTAGGAATTGTGCTCCTAGGTATTTACCAAAATGAATTAAAGACTTATGTTCAAACAAAACTGCACATTAATATTTATAGCAGCTTTATACATAATTGCCAGATCTTGGAAACAACCAAGATGCCCTTCAGTAGATGAACAGAGAAGTAAACTGTGTTAAGTGCAGACAATGCAATATCACTCCTCCCTAAAAAGAAATGAGCTATCAAACCAGTAGAGATGTGGAGGAATCTTGAGTATGACTCAGTGGAACAAGACAATGTGGAAAGTCTACAGACTGACAGTCTAACTATAGGACACTCTGGAAAAGGCAGGAATTATGGGATCAGTAAACAGATCAGTGCTTGACAGGATTTTGAGGGATGGAGGGAATAGGCAGAACACAGAGGATTTTTAAGGCAGTGAAAATGCATGAGACTGTAATGGTGGATCCATGTCATTATACATTTGTCAAAACCCACACGCTGCACAACACTAATGAACCCTAATGTAAACTAATGTGAATCCTAATGTAAACTGTGAACTTTGGATGACAGTGATGTGTCCATGTAGGTTGATAAATTGTAATGTACCATCTGTTGCATGATGTTAATTGAAGGGGAAGCTATTCATACATGGGGCAGTGGGAAGATTTCCCACTTAACTTTGCAATGAAACTAAAATAACTATAAAACAGAATGCCTAGGCAGGGCACAGTGACACATGCCTGTAATCCTAGACTGTGCAAGCCCAAGGCGGACAGATCACAAGGTCAAGAGATCGAGACCATCCTAGCCAACATGGTGAAACTGCGTATCTGCTAAAACTACAAAAATTAGCTAGCTGTGGTGGTACACACCTGTAGTTCCAGCTATTCAGAGCCTGAAGCAGGAGAATTGCTTGCACTCAGGAGGTGGAGGTTGCAGTGGGCCAAGATTGTCCCACCTGCACTCCAGCCTGGCGACACAGGAAGGTTCCATCTCAAATAGTAATAATAATAATAATAATAATAATGCCTATTTGCTGAACACAGTGCCTCATGCTCATAATCCTAGCACTTTGGGATGCAGAATCATATGGATCACTTGAGGCCGGGAATCCAAGACCATGCTGGCCAACATGGTGAAACCCCGTCTCTACTAAAAACACAAAAATTAACTAGGCATGGTGGAACATGCCTGTAATCCCAGCTACTGGGGAGGCTGAGGCATAGGAATCACTTGAATCTGGGAGGCAGAGGCTGCAGTGAGCCAAGATCACATCACTGCACTCCAGACTGGGCAACAGAGGACATTCCACCTAAAAAAAAATACAATAAATTTTAAAAACCCTATTAATTATAAAACAACAACAGCAACAAAAATTAAATGCATCCCATTCAGAAATTGTAATGTGTTAAAATCAGATTAGGTAATAGCTTTTTGTAGCTAATTGTAATTGAACTTACTTAAGATTACAGTTGCTATGACACAGGAGACAGATTGAAGAAGATGACCAGAGTTCCAATTCACACCAAGTCAGCAATGAGCTCGTTATTGTTTTTCTTTTGTGATCTGAAACAGTTTGGCTCTATGTCCCCACCAAATATCATATCAAATTGAAAGCCCGGTGTTGGAGGTGGGGCCCAGTGGTAGGTGACTGGATCTCATAGGGGTGATTTCTCAAGAATGGTTTAGTATCATCCTCTCTGTGCCATTCTTATGGTACTATCTCAGTTTTCATGAGATCTGCTTGCTTAAAAGTGTGCAGCACTTTTCCGATTGCCTTGGTCCTGCTCCTGCTGTGTTAAGTCACCTGCTTCTACTTTGCCTTCTGCCATGAGTAAAAGCTCCCTGAAGCCTCCCAAGAAGCAGATGCTGCCATGCTTCCCATACAGCCTGTAGAACCATGAGCCAATTAAACCTCTTTTCTTTATAAATTACCCAGTCTCAGGTATTTATTTATAGCAGCATGAGGAAGGACTAATGCAGGGTCCCTCATCCTGAATTCAATGCACCAACAAACCAGGAACTGAGCCCATTGGCACAGGCAGAGAGGATGACAGAAGCACTTGTACTGGCTTGGGGATCAGGAAAGAGGTGTTGTACCATTCAGACAGGGTGCAGAAACTCTGATTCTTCTCTTTTACTTTTGATCTTTTCCTCTGTTTTCATCTTTGCTTTCTTTTGTACCAGCCTTTGCTTGATCCTGTAACAGGAAAGGAGTGAGAAAGAGCCCACAGGTACCTCAGTAGTTGACTACAAGCAAGGTTAGTTCCTTTCTGTTCAAAAGAGGTGTACTATTTCAACAGACAATGTAGTCATTTCTTAAAGGTTATCTGCAATGTGGAATCTAAAATCACAGCCACAAACTTTTTGTGTGTTCTTAAGGAAAATGCATTGCTCTATGTGACACTCACAATGTTTAGTTTTGTTTACTTACTTGACTTTTTTAGCATCATGCATTTGGAAAACATCAGTTGATTAATTTATGCAGATTTTTGATATGTGGAAATATTTCATTATACAGGGCCCAAAAGTCATATTTGTTAATGACATCAGCAATTTGATTTGAAAATATTTTGCTACAGGGAGTTCTCAGTAGTCAATGAAAGTTTTCCAAAAATCTGATTTTTCCTTGAAGTGAAGGGCTCACTTTATTCAATTCTGAATTACCATGGTGAGTCCATCGACATTCCTTCAAATGTTTTCACTCTTCCATGAAAACAGCAGCCACTTCAGCATGCAACTGAAGCAACGTCACACTTGCTTTTCTGAAAAACAGCCATCACACTTCAGTATGCAGCAGAAGTGCTCACAAGCAGTTTCCATTTCACCGTAGAGATTATTAACAAGACATACATAGAAGAGCTGTGTAAAATTTTACTGTTTCCTCCAAACCACTCTTAAGCGAATCATCCATTTCTCTTCGTTTCTGAGACAGCAAGATGGCTGCTCATACCTTTTGGTGTCACTGTTTTGATTTGTTTTAAGGCACCAGTAGCTTTACTCATCACTGTTTTGTCACTGAAGTGGATATGTCAGCATTCAGGAAAAGGCACATGACATGAATATGTTATGAAAATTGTTTTGACCTCTGGGTTTTGAATCCCCTCATAGGATCTTGGGGACTCCAAGGTTCTGAAAACCACACTTTGATAATTACTACTCTAGCCTACTATAAATGTTTATAATTGTGGACAATTACAGATTTGATTTTGATATGTTCTGTTAGTGCAGCTTATCCTGTTGCAACTATGAATGATTTGTGAACCACAACTACTCCCAAGTATGTTTGACCCATTGATTTCTTACTTTACTAAGAACTTTGTTTCCACCAAGGTGTGTGTTTTATAAGACAGCAAAGCAAATAATTCCATTTTCACATTAGATCAGCATTCACAACAAGCATAGAGTTGCAAGTATAATTTAAAAACTTGCAAAGCTCTAATTTTATTCCATAAACTAGCTATTTAAAAAACTTCACCATTATTAGAAGTACCTCCATTGAAATTCTATATCTGTCCTTTGATGTTATAAACAGAAAACTGATGACATTCATGTGCTTGTGAAGGTGAAGCTCTTTTGCTAGCGGAGCCAACATGCTAACAGCCATCACTTCACTTTCCGTATATGAACAAGAACATTTGGAAATAAAAAGCAGGGAAATTAGGCAGGCTATGGTGGCTCATGTCTCTAATCCCAGCACTTTGGGAGGCTGAGGCAGTCAGATCACTTGAGGTCAGGAGTTGGAGGCCAGCCTGGCTAATATGGTGTAACTCCGTCTCTAATAAAAATACAAAAATTATCCAAGCATGGTTGTACATGCCTGTAGTCCTACCTACTCAGGAGGCTGAGGCAGGAGAATGGCTTGAACCTGAGAGATGGAGATTGCAGTGAGTGGAGATCATACTACTGCACTCCAGTCTGTGTGACACAGCAAGACTGTTTTAGGAAAAAAAAATTTAAAAGAGGGAAATTAATATCTGATAGTCATTCTATCTAAATTAAAAGGAAATAACAACATGAATTACAAAGCAGCTAGGATAAGAGCATTTAGATATGTGCATTAACTGGAACATTGTTTTTCAGCATATATTTCCTGTATACCTAACCTATAATGTCCTACTGCCATGCTGAAGTTTAACCTGATGGCTTTAAATACATTTCTTGGGCAGTGGTACCAGCCATGGGTCAACTAACAAATATACCAGATGGCCAGAAGTACTGAACCTCATTGTGAACAAACAGAAGCCAACAGCACCTAGGTTTTTCTGTCCTTGCACAATTGGCTGTATCAATGAGGCCCCTACACACTGTCTTTATATAGCAGCGTTAATCACTTTGCACCAGGAAAAGTTTAGGACAAGAGGTTATTTGCTAGTATTTCAGAGGTAACCAGGGGAAGTGAGAACTCGGAAAACCATGTCTGCATTCTATATACTACTAGAGAACACCAAGCAAGCCGACTCTGCAACTTCACAGAAGAGCTCTACCTGACCTCTCTCAGCTTTCCAAAGTGCAACTATGAATAATAACATCGTTAACTATAATGCAATCCATAACCAAGGCTAAACTGAAGAGGCTTCTGAGACAACCAGCAAACACATGCACATTTTGAATGTGCAAGAAACATGTCCCTAAAACCAAGAAGTATGACTACCAAATGAAGTAAAAGGATTGCAAGAAGTCTACAATGTCATGGAATTCTCTAAATTAATGGTTAATAACATTTGGGGGAAAGGATGATAATCAGCATTTGAGTGTCTTCTTTTCTTTTCTTTCCTTTTTTTGAGACAGAATCTAGCTCTGTCACCCAGGCTGGGGTGAAGTAGTGCAATCTCATCTCACTGCAACCTCTGCCTCCTAGGTTCAAACAATTATTGTGCCTCAGCCTCCACAGTATCTGGGATTACAGGCACCCACTACCACACCCAGCTAATTTTCTTTGTATTTTTTTTAGAGATGGAGTTTTGACATGTTGGCCAGATTGGTCCCGAACTCCCGACCTCAAGTGATCTGCCTGCCTTGGCCTCCCAAAGTGCTGGGATAACAGGCATAAGCACCCAGGAGAATTTGAGAACTTGAGAATTTGCTACCATTTGAGAATTTTCTGAGTGTTATGAACAGCCTCCCTGGAAGAATGCAGCTCTCTATAAATACTATCCACCAAAATTCAGAGTCCAAAGAGATCCTGAAGTCTATAATCTCCCAATCTCTACTGTTTGGATCTCCCAAAAAAGTAATTCTTCAATGGTGGTTCTATTTCTTCTTGGGATCACTGTGGAATTTTGTGAGTTATTTTTGTGTGTGTTGTTATTATTGTTATACTAATTTATTTTTGCTATTTACATTTAGTGGACAAATGCCTGGAATGAGAAAATGTTTAAGAACATACATACATGAAACAAAACAACAAAAGAATTGTATCATTTCCCATACAATTTTGAAATATCCTTCTGGGTATTTATGTATATATAAAACCTGTCAATGATGACCTGAATCTAAATCTAGCATCTAACTCCATTTTATATGTAAACCCAAGCACTTTTTTGCACATTTGAACTTTCCAAGAAACAGCTGCCAAGTAATTAAAGGAAAAATTATAGTTTATTTATTTGGAAACTTACCAAGAGTTGTTAATAGTTTCAGAAAATTTCAACACTGCTTGTGGTATTTGAGTCCCTGGCACAAAGAATTCACCATCCCCACCCCATACTCCTAAGATTTGTCCAGGGTGCTTACAACTATCAAAAACAGCTGATTTGATGTGTACATATAAATATCTGAGCAGTTTCTTGTGTCATGCAGTGAAAATACATACATTATATTATTGCAAATTACTTTCCACTTATTTCTTCTTTGAATTGCAATTAGGAAACTTCATAGAGCTTTGGAGAATAATTATATATTATGCATGTAAACTATTTGTGCCTGATACTTAGTAAACACTACGCTCTATAAAATTAGCTGTCATTAACATCATTATTATTATGAATATAAATGTGTGAGAACAAGTGGTGTATTTTAAGTATTTGTTATATAAGTGGGAAATTTGTGTCTCTGAAAGTTTGGAAGAATTGTTCTAGGAAAAATCCAGTTTGAGAAGTTTAAGGAAAATTGTCTTTAACTGAGATGCATGGTGTTAAGATCTACCTTTAAAAGATAGGCTTGTTTTACTTCTATTGCCTTAAATGTGCCATGTTTTTGACATCATTGAAATGCTTCCTCAACCTAGAAAAGTAGTCCTAACTGTGCTTGTAATTTTAGATGATTTTAAACTTTTTCCCTTGTTCCATTCAGTACATACAGTCCATCTCCTCCATATTTACTGAGTGTTGACAGAATGGACAACCGTTTACAGAGAAGTCTTTTGCCTCCAACATTAAATGACATGTTTGCTCAAACAAAAGCAAATTCACAGAGCCTCACTGCAAACAGGCCATGGCCATGTCCCTCATGTGGTTGCTCATGAAGTCTTTGTTTACCATGTCTGCCTGTCTCACATCCCTCTGTGATTACAGACACACCTATCACCGTCTGTATTTCTGTATTTATGATCAATCATTTTTCTCTCTGTGATCTCCTAGGGACTCCAATGCAATCAACCCCACCAAAAGGGTGACATTCCAGCATTTTAGTTTTGCTGAGACTGCCTTGCTGAGAAGCAAATAAGATTTTTGATTTCTGCTGGTAAAATAAAATTGGCAACCATGAGACCTAAGAGATTCTGAGAAATGGCATGGACTTTATAATTTCTTGCAATAAAAGTCAAATCATGCATTACTTTCTTGGCTATGTTTCAGGGAGTAAGACCAGGGAATCTTGCTAAATGTGTGTGTGTGTGTGTGTGTGTGTGTGTGTGTGTGTAGCTATCTATCTATATTTATACACACGGACACACATATCTTTGAGATATTTATGTATCTTCAGGAAATAGTGACTTTCCTGAAGATATGTAAATTGCTTATATATATTTTTTACCCTTTGATAAATGCCTATTGCTCCTTCTTTCACTCTTCAAATAAATCTCCTTTAAATTTCATAATTTGCAATGTAAGATGTGCATAATACTATCTGTTTTGTAATCCTTAAAGTGCATAAATCCACTTTCTGTCAATATCAGTAATGAGTCAGCAATAAGTGCTTATCAGAAAAAGCAATTCCACACTACATCCTACCTAAGTTCTCATCTATCCCAGTCAGAAGTATTATCTTAATGAAGAGTAATTGAAGGAGAATTAGCTTACCTACCTTCTAGATTTCTAAAATATCAGGAAATTGCATAGTCTGTGTATTTGCACAATGGTTTCTATTTGTTTGATTTTGCTAGCTCCACATGAAACTCAAATTTTTCATGGTCACTAAAAGTAAAAATTAAAAGTAATGGCAAAAACCACAATTACTTTTTCACCAGCCTAATATATCATCATCACAAGTTGAAGAGTACAGCACACACGTCCTTAAAACTAGCCCTTTCATAGATTGTAAGGATATGTTATCATATGTACTATAACAAGTATATGACATTTCCCTGTTCCCTAACATTATGGCCCCAGCCTGCTTTCCCTTCAATCTTCTCTGTCACATTTTTTTCTCAAACTTGGTGTGCATCCCCTGAACTTGGGAATATCTGACTCTCTCCTGAGAATAGGAAACTGCTTTGTGGTGCAGAGAACAGGGCTGTGCCTGAAAATATACTTCCTCCTATCATCAGGGCGATGGCATGTGGATTGTAATAAGAGGAGCAGGGTGAACCCCATACATCTGCGTTGTCTTGAGAACATCTTAAAGTGATGAGTTCCCACCTGTGCAGCCTGCAAATGCAGCTTCCCCTCTCTGCTCTTGCCCTCCAAGAGCAGAAGTGGAGGTTTCAGAGTTCCCGTCCTGAAGAGCAACACATACTGCCTTTGTCCATGAGTGACAGGAAATAGCAAAGAGCCCACAAATGGGTCCAATAGAAAATGTTTCAGTCTTGACCATAAGTTAATTCCAGAAAGCAAAGAAAGAGTCATCAATTACAGTGGCATGATATCTGCTGAGGAAGACCCTACTGAGGCTCTTACCTCTCCTTCCTCATTGTAGATCCTGATATTAAAAAATAAATAAATAAGCCACCAAGCAGAGAAGAAGGAGAGAGAAAAAAAAAGAGACATCATTCCCTTCCCATATACTTAAACTGACCATTCTTCATCAAGCTATGTGCACTTGGGGAAAAGGAGAAGCTGTAAATTTATTTTGTGTTTTATTGTTGTGGTTTTGGGTTTTTTGTTGTGGTGGTTGAGATAGGGTCTTGCTGGGTCACTCAAGCCAGAGTGCAGTGGCATGATCACAGCTCAATTTCTTGGGCTCAAGCAATCCTCCCACCTCAGCCTCCCTATTAGCTGGGACTTCAGGCATGTGCCACCATGCCTGGCTATTTTTTTTTTATTTTCATTATTTATCTATTTATTTATTTATTTATTTATTTATTTATTTATTTATTTATTTTGTAGACATGTGCTATAGCTAGGTTTTCCAGGCTGATCTGTCAACTCCTGGGCTCAAGCAATCCTCTCATCTTGGTGTCTCTTACAATTTCAGCTGTGAATTTAAATCAAGATGATTTTTCTTGGCTGGGTGCATTGATTGACACCTGTAATCCCACTGCTTTGGGAGGCTGTCTCAGGGAGGATTTCTTGAGCCCAGGAGTTTGAGACCAACCTGAGAAACATAGAGAGATCCCAGCTCTGGAAAAAAAAAAAATAGCTGGGCATGGTGGTGGTGCACTTAAAGTCTCATCTACCTCGGGGGCTGACTTGAGCCCAGGAAGTCAAGGCTGCAGTGAGCTATGATCATGCCACTGCAATACAACCTGGGTGACAGAGCGAGAACCTAACTCTGAAAAAAATATATAGAAATTACATCGTGCTGTGCCTGTACTCCCAGCTATTCAGAAGGCTAATGTAGAAGGATTGCTTGAGTCAGGAAGTCGAGGCTGTAGTAAGCTATAATTGTGCCACTGCACCCCAGCCTGGGTGACAGAGTAAGACCTTATCTCTAAAAATATAAGCTAAAATAGGATGCTTTTTCTTTAACTTTTTTTTTGTCTGTAACTGGACATCTCTTATAAGTGAATGATGAACTGTATGATCAAAGCCTACAGAAAAAGCAAGATTCCTCTCATGGGGGGAGTTTCCATTAACAGTAAAAGGCAACATGAGAATGTGCTCTGATTGTATTTCAGGAAGGAAAGAACTAGCCATATGCTTGATGAATATTTATCAGGTTCTGACTAAAACCCCAGACTGTGCTAAGTACAAGGGGAAATGAGAGAAATGAGACATGGTGTATCTGCTGGATGAGCTCATTGTCTTAGAGAAAGTACAGACAGAAATCCAGGGACAGAGAGAATGTTTTGCCCCCACCTCATGCTGCATGGTAAATGATGAATCTAGTGTGAACTGAATGGTTCCTAACCCTAGCAGGCAATATCCTAATTAATTAAAGGAACAATGCTTTATTTTTCATTCTAAGAAAAAAAATTAAAGGAAAATTAGTTTACCTTTACTTGCAATAGACCATTCTAAAAGCATGTCTTGTGCAGCTATTCTAGAAAGTAGAATGAGCATTATACTAGGTACTTTGGAATGAATGGATCGTTTTTAAAAAAAATCTTGGTTATAATTAAAAGTGATTGGGAAGACAAAGTGAATGTCCCTAAAACAATAGGTAATATTGTTGCCTATTTGAATGTATTTACCTGTGACTTCCAAGCAATTACAATAAATGCTTCACAGTTTTATGAGGGTTGGAGCCAACTTGATTGGTAAAATCTTCAAAAACAAAGTAGGATTTGCAGAATAATTAGGATTTATCTCAAAATAAGGAAGAAGATAAGTTCTATAGCAGAAGACGATAAAATGAGTCAAGGCATTAAGAGTTAGAAGGGAATATTTTTAGAGACCTTGCTTAAAGCAGACTGACAAAAAGTTGAGTTTGTACAATACAGGGAGTCAACACTCATTTGTCAAAGTAGAAAAGTGAAAATTATAAGAAATCCAGAAATCCAGAAGAAATTTATATTTATAATTGAACAATGGAAAAGTATAGTAGGGTTTGGAGCAGAAAATGTCAATAAGCATTTCAGTAAGATGAAATTTATAGAAGAAATTGCCAGTTAACAGAAATAAGAGAATGTTCAGTCAATTAGGTTCATTGAGAAGCTACTGGCTTCATTTACAGAAGAGGGTGAGTGTGAGAAGTAAAGGTGGAATTAATGGAAAGGAAGACCTGTACGATTTGCACTTCCACCAACATAGCAGACTGATTATGCCCAACCAACATTCTTGCTAAAGAGGTCATCGAAGTTCTAGAAAAAGTGGAATGTTCTTTAGAAGACATATCTGATTCTAAGAAAGCAGAAGTCATTAATTGCTAGGAGGTAGAAACACAATAGGTCAGGAAACCTGGGTGTTTAGAAGATTTTAAATGTCTTTGAGGGCCTCAGTCATTATCAGGATAGAGAATAAAGAAGATACTGATCTTGTACTGAGGATGGGGTTGGAATTGAAAGCATTTTGTTCAGAAACTCAAAAGAGTATTCTGCCAGTCTGGTATTGGACTAGAAAAGATATCTGACAGCTAATACAAGAAAAAAATAGAAAAACGTACCCTTTAGACCAAAATCCAGGCTGGAAAAATGTCTCCTCTAATGAATTTGTACTTTCAGAATTGTCCCTACAAAGATTTGGGCGTTAGACCTTGCCTTAGCTGCACAATTTAAGAAGATCCAAGACAATAACTGGACTTCCGATGGTGCCACGTTGTTAACGCTCAGGACGCTTACATCTGGGAAGGTGGTTCCCCCCCTGGAAAACTGGCCATAAGGATTCTTATAGATGCACAGGTTAACAATCATGCAAACTCAAATTAAAAACCACACAAGGAAACAAGCCACCAAGAACAAGAGTTAGCTGTAGAAGCAAACAACATGTTAGACCTTCAAGGAATTTGAACTTTTGGATGCTCAATCATAGAATGTAACACCTCACATATGTAGAATTTTGGATGTAACTCAAATACATTTAGGATGTTTACAGCAACAAGCAGGAAACAGACTGAATGAACAGGACATCAAGGTAAAAAAAAAAAAAAGACAAGCAATCGTCCCTAAGACAGCGTCCCAAAGCAGTGGGATTACAGGTATCAATTGCTGCACCCAGCCAAGAAAAATCATCTTGATTTAAGTTCACAGCTGAAATTGTTGTAAAGAGACCCAAGATGGGAGGATTGCTTGAGCCCAGGAGTTGGGATACCAGCCTGGAAAACCTAGCTAGATACCATGTCTACAAATGAACAAAAAAATGCTACAAACAAAGAACAAATGAACAAATAAATGACACAAACAACTGAGCAAACAAATGAACAAACATAAGACACAACACATAGGCATTTGTGACTATGTATTAAAATTAAAACAGTGCAGATTAAATAGAAGGTAAGATGGAGCTGAAGAAAATTATTAGTGTATTATAAATTATATCTTAAATATAATACAAAAATGCAACAGAAAGAGACAAAGAATGGAACATAAGGGTGAGAAGACAATGAGAACGAAAACATGAGTTTTAGGCCAGGTGTGGTGCCTCATGGATGAAATGCTAGCACTTTGGGAGGTCAAGGAATGCTGATCGCTTGAGCCCAAGAGTTCAAGACAAGCCTGGTCAACATGGTGAGACCCTGTCTGTACAAAAAATACAAAAATTAGTTTGTCATGATGACATGTAGCTGTGGTCTCAGCTACTGGTGAGCTGAGATCATGCCACTATACTCCAGCCTGGGTGACAAAGCAGGACTCCATTTCAAAAAAAAAAAAAAAGGAAAAATATATCTGATATACATCAGATACAAATCTTAAAACCCAGAAAAGCAAGAGTGAGCTGGGAAGCATAGCTGGAAAGAGCTAATAGTTATGAAAGCTGTGACTCTCCAGATTCAGAAAGCTCATAAAATACATTCACAAAGTACATAAATTAAGAAGAAATTTATATTTAGCTGGAATGTAGGGAGCTGGCAAATTATGCAAGTCATAGAGGTGATATTCAAAACAGCCAGGGGTGGGAAAGGAGCCATTCCTTACAAAAGTCAACCATTAAGCAGGCTTCTCAACAGCAATGATTGGAAGCCAGGAAGCAGTGAATAAAGTGTCTTCAATACCCTGCAAAGGAATTATCATCAACCTAGAGTATTTACCTACAGCAAAAACAGTACATAAAGTTGTCAAGAAAAACATCCAAGACAAAGTCAATTATACACAAAGAAAAGCATTTACCTCAGAAACAAGGAAAACAACTCAGAGTGAGACTAGTGAGTGAGGAAATTGATAAATGCTATTTAATTTCCACAAATATTAAGTATAGTAAGCAAAAATAATAATGTCTAATTTGGAGAATAATCAAAAAATATAGGAGAGAAGGGGTAGGAAGAACTTAGAAGATGCAAAGGAGGTGTTTGGAATTTAATTATTCTCAATTTTATGTGATATTTCATAGGATGGCAGAAATACAGATTGCATTTAAACTCTCTGAGTATTCAAAAACTTAAGGGTAACTGATAATAGGATAAAAACAAAGTATAAGCTTTCAAACAAAGAGAGAGGCAGATGAAGTTACATAGAGCAAATTGTTTGACAATAAAAATAAATCTACAGGACAAATAGCACCGATTACAATGGGAGAAATTAAACTTTAGAATAAATGTAAATGGACTCAATACAACTGTTAAAGGTGAGAACTTGACATTTGATTTTTAAACATCTCATTATGTTTAGCTGTAAAAAGCCATCTGTTAAACATTCAGGACACATAAAATTTTGAAAGTAACAAGTGAGAAAGAGAAATGCCAGGAAAATAGTAACCAAAACCCTGTTATTCTACCAGTATTAATATTATAAGATCTCCAGGTAAAAATCTTTAGTAAAGAGGTAGCATATCAGAACATCAAAATAAAAGTTAAACTCACCAGGAAATACTTAAAAACAATCCTAGTTTATATATGGCAAATACACACCAAGGAGCAGAAATGTTCCCCAGTGAACTTTGAAAAAGAAATACAAAAGTAAGACTGTTGTACAAAGGAAAAAGGAGAAAGATCAAAAAGAGGGATATATCATTGAAGATATTGGGAACAGAGGATGTATGTCATTACAAAAGAAAAAATGGGTGTCATCACCTCAAATTGGACTATTTAAGAAAGAGGTGGCCGGGCACAGTGGCTCACGCCTGTAATCCTAGCACTTTGGGAGGCTAAGACGGGCAGATCACGAAGTCAGGAGATCAAGACCATCCTGGCCAACATGATGAAACCCTGTCTTTACTAAAAACACAAAAAATTAGCCAGGCATGTTGGCAGGTGCCTGTAGTCCCAACTACTCGGGAGGCTGAGGCCAGAGAATGGCATGAATCTGGGAGGCGGAGCTTGCAGTGAGTGGAGATAGCACCACTACACTCCAGTCTGGGTGACAGAGTGAGACTCCATCTCAAAAAAAAAAAAAAAATGCAGATTACATGATTCATTTGTGATTTTTAGTATATTCAAGATATAATTATGATCAACAAGAAAGTATTAATTAAGGCTAATATTTTGGGGGTGGCCATGATTCAAACTATCTTTGAGGAGTTCCTCATAGGCATAGAAGGTGGAATTTTGAATGTGCCCACTTGAGATATATAAATATAGGTAGGTATAGATACATTGCATTGCTTCAGATTCTCCATGAAAAAATTACTTAAGCACAGTAGGCATTTTCAAAAAAGAAATTTTGTAAGAAAAATCACAACAAGTCTAAGGATCAGGGAGCTCTCTTATTCAATAATTTTCAAATAATATATCCAGATTATCTAAAAAGTCCTAAAGCGAAACTACATAAGAGAGGCCCAGAATATAACGGTTGGGTCAAGAAAGTACCGATCCTTAATAAGCTGCCACATAAAAATGCTAAAATTACAACAGAAAAATATTTATAATTTTACATTTGCTACAGAAGACACCACCTGTTGCTTGCTGTAGAAGGTACACTTTTCACTGTCGACAAAGAGACAAAGTTCAGTTTCTCCTCTGCTTTACCTTGGTGCTAGGCTGGACAGAATAGAACGAGCATGGTTAGGAAGGAGTGGGAGTTTTTGGCACTTTGCAAGTTACCTGCCTAATGTTCATTGTGCTTTCCTTCAGCCTGAGTAGTCCTCTTGCTTTGCTATGCATTGCAATATAACTGGTTAGAATAGGACTTCATGGTCTGTCCTGCCATAAAGCTGGTTGATACTCTTTGCAACATCAGTCTAGCCAATGGGCTTTAAATGGAAACCATTGCCTTGGCTTAGACAAGTGTGTCTTGCTATGATATGAACTTGTCTGGCTTATTCCTTGTATACTCCCATTTTTCCTCCTCCCATTGTGGAATGGAGACAAAATCATTGGAGCAACAGCTGACATGTTATGACCATCATGGAGGGAGAGACAAAAGAGAGTGTCACCAAATGTGTCCCTCTTATTTCTGAATTCCTAAGCAAAAAATAGGCTCATGTCTCCTTTCAGAACTTTTATTAAATGAGAACAGGAACAGAAATTGTTTGATAATCATACTAACAATAGATAACATTTCATCAGCATAAACTGTGTCAGCTCTTTCTGGCAACATCTTCTCTTATAGCAAATTTTATGCTCACCACTTTCGGGGGAACTGCCCCCATAATCACGTAGGTTCTTTTCTATTTTCCTAAGCATCAGCTGGCTTGAGAAATAAAGGGACAGAGTACAAAAGAGTACAAAAGAGAGAAATTTTAAAGCTGGGCATCCGGGGGGAGACATCTCACGTTGGTAGGATCTGTGATGCCCCACAAGCCACAAAAACCAGCAAGTTTTTATTAGGGATTTTCAAAAGGGGAGGGAGTGTACAAATAGGTGTGGGTGACAGACATCAAGTACTTAACAGGGTAATAGGATATCACAAGGCAAGTGGAGGCTGGGCGAGATCACAGGGCCTCAGGACTGAGGCGAAATTAAAATTGCTAATGAAGATTCAGGCACCATTGCCACTGATAACATCTTATAAGGCGACAGGGTTTTGAGATTAACCGGTCTGACCAAAATTTATTAGGCGGGAATTTCCTCTTCCTAATAAGCCTGGGAGCACTATGTGAGACTGGAGTCTATCTCACCTCTGCAATCTGGACCAGAAGAGACAGGTACACCCCAGGGGGCCAGTTCAGAGACCTACCCCTTGGTGCACATTCTCTTTCTCAGGGGTTCCATGCTGAGAAAAAGAATTCAGCGATATTTCTCCCATTTGCTTTTGAAAGAGAAATATGCCTTTGTTCTGCCCGGCTCACCGGAGGTCAGAGTTTAAGGTTATCTCTCTTATTCCCTGAACAATTGCTGTTATCCTGTTCTTTTTTCAAGGTGCCCACATTTCATATTGCTCAAACACACATGCTGTACAATTTGTGCAGTTAATGCAATTATCACATAGTCCTGAGGCAACATACATCCTCTTCAGCTGACAGGATTAAGAGATTAAGGTAAAGACAAGCACAGGAAATCACAAAGGTATTGATTGGGGAAGTGATAAGTGTCCATGAAATCGTTAAAATTTATGTTTAGAGATTGCAATAAAGACAGGCATAAGAAATTACAAAAGTATTAATTTGGAGAACTAATAAATGTCTATAAAATCTTCATAATCCACCTTCTTGCTTCTGCCATGGCTTCAGCCAGTCCCTCCATTTGGGGTCCCTGACTTTCTGTAACACACCACACCCCTATGAAGTATATGTTACAATTTTTCCCATCTTACAGAGAAGGAAAAGCAGCAGCTCCTACATTAACACAGGTTGTAAGAGGCAGAGTGAGAATCTGAAGGCAAGTCTGTCTTTAAAGGCTATAGACTTATGCACTAGGCTATACTGGGCTTCAAAGCCCAGCTTCCTCTAAAGCACCTGCCCATGCTGGTGCTCTGAGAGTCACAGCAGGATGCAATTCTAAAAATTTTAATCATCTACTAGGAGTACAATCCTGGTAAAAGAACACTTAAAGCATTTTGAATCTGCTTAAAACACTGGCCTCAACAATTACCACCTGAGACATTGAGAGAATGTGTTGATGACATCAAAGAATATTGCCATCTTTGAAGAACCTTTATCAATGGGAAGGTTGAGAATATATAAGAATGGGAATACCATAAAAACTTCTTTTATGGCTTTGACCTAAAAAAAATTAAACGTAATTATCGACTCGTGAATAATCTCATGATTAGTCCTATTTATTTGTTACTGTGTTCATAATAATATAATAGACACCCACACAAAAATACACTTTTAAAAATAACTGATTTTTGATATTTGGTTCCTCTATTCTATCTCCCTGTATTCCTCTCTCCAGAGAAGCTGTTTTCCTAAATCCCGTATTTATCACTTTCTTGCTTTGTTTTGTACTAAGTCTTAACTGAAGAACTATGTATTTCTAATACATACACATTCATATAATATTTATGTTTACTGCTTAATTTCTATTTAGTTTTTTTAAACTTTATTATACCATGTTGAGTGCTTAAGCTTTTGAAGAATATGAGCATTTTTCAATAATTTCTCTCATGACCATTTATTAGATCCCACTGGACTCTACGAAACCAAGTTAGGAAACTAAAGCCAGTCCTCCACTTGTTTTTCTAAAGATAGCTATTGTAAACCCATTTGCTTACATATTGACAAGGGCTGGGTTTTTGAAAACAGCACAGCTGGGTAGCTGTAGCAAAAATCTTATGGCCTACAAAGCCAAAAATGTTTATCGTCTGCTGGTACAGAAGAAAGGCACTGACCCCTGCTCCACCATATTTTTACAAAGATAAACAATGGAGAGTCTCTGACAACAAGGAGCCCTCAACCCAGAATGATACAGATCTAAGAGTAGCATGAAATGGAAATGGAATGCAGTGGACACCATTTGCATAGCAAGGACAGAGCATGTGGACAAAAAGGAGGATGTGTCTTGCCATTCCCAGAGGAAGTTAAGAAAGTTTCAATCAAAAGATGACGCTGACTGCGGCAGGAGATAGAGAGGCCATTGGAAAGAGGTGGGAAAGTAGGGAAAGAAACAACAAAGAAGGTAAGAAGGATGTGGATATAGGAAAGGAATTGCTTTATCTTGAAAACCAGAATATCATTTGTCCTATAGGAAATACAGAAACAAATACAGAAGGACTACCATTCTTCTCTCTGCTTCTAAGAGTTTGATATTTTTAGATTCCACAGGTAAGTGAGATCAGGCACTGAGGAGTTGTTGGTGAGAGAATACAAAATTTCAGTTAGACAGAAGTAATAAATTCAAGAAACACACAGTTAATGTATGCTTGAAAACTGCCAAGAATGTAGATTCTTAAATGTTCACCCTGTTAAAGCAAACTAAATATGGCCTGAGAAGGACTCCGTACTTCTATATTTGAGACCTTGTGGATGAACTGTAACCTAGCTTAATAGCCAGAAAAAATTGAAAACCTAACTTAATAGTAAGCACCTGTAACAACAGCTGAGTGTAGCCAATCCCAGTGGCCATACTTCAACCACTTGTAAACAGCTGAATATTCAAACTGCATTCAAATCAGGCAAATGCTGAGTTGTAACTAATTTTGCAGTTTCTGTACCTCACTTCTGATTCTTCTATGTCATTTTACCTATTTGTCTGTATATTTGTTCTGACCATGAGGCACTGCTGGAGTCTCTGTGACTCTACTGTGATTCTCGGGGCTGTCTGATTGGCAAATTGTTCATTGCTCAATTAAAGTTCTTTAAATTTAATTTGGCTGAAGTTTTTCTTTTGTTAGCCCTGCCAAATAAATAAGTAGATAAATTCATTGATATGTTACTTTGATTTAACTGCTTCTCAATGTACACATATATCAAAACATCACAATGTATACTGTAAATACATATTATATATAATTTTATTTTTCAATTAGTCGTTGAATAGAAGGACCCTCTATTTACTGGCAACACCCCTTATACTGATGACATCAGTTTCCTCTACAAGGGAGTTCTAGTGGCCCACAACCTCCCATCCTGAGCAAAGAGAATCACTGAATTAAATTGTCTAGTTTACTAGATTATTATGCTGGGTACTTTGGAAATATTACTATTTGCAGAGAAGTAAATTCCTCCCTATGTTTTGAACAATAGGCTTTGCATTACTTCAAATCATTGATTCACATGGCAATTCCATTTTTCTCCCAAAAATATTTATTGATATCTCCCCCCTACCAAAACAACAACAACTGTGGTTCTATAGCATAACTTGGCATGGCCAATTAATCCAAGGAGGGTTGAGAAGTATAAAGTGATCTCAAGTTTAACAAACCTTAGTTTGCTTATACTAAGAAAATATCTGATGTGTCATACAGGAATTATTTTGGTAAAATAGATGTACTTGAAGGAGGTTGGTATGGAAGAATAAATTCTCCAGCCTCTGTCCGGGAGAGATATCTCAGAAAAGAATAATTTCTAAAAACACTGAAAAGTTACAAGGAGCTTTTATATAAACTGCCTCTTGCAAAACAGGGTAGTTGCAGCTACAAGTAAATGGTGGTGGTTTCTGTACCATCTGCATCTGTCGTATTTATTTCCCTAAAAACCCTGAGTACTTTTTTGAGGAAGCTGATGGATACATCCATGGGTACACAACTGTGAATCTGACTATCTTACACAAAGCAGGAATTCCCACACAAAATTGAACCTGAGAGATTGGTTAGGGATTTGTCCATTCAACTGTGTTTTGTAGTTGATGATTTCTACATAAAATTAAGAAAGAGATGTATTAATAAACAGGTCTTTTTTTCTTGAATACTAAATACTTGTTATTTGTCAAGGTAACAGAATCGCTGTGGTGTGTATGATATTTATTATGAATGTGCACGTATTTAAGGGTTATTGATTTTATTATAGAATACACAGGTTAGAGGCCAGGCATGGTGGGGCACACCTATAATCCCAGCACTTTGAGAGGCCATGCTGGCAGATCACTTGAGACCAGGAGTTTGAGACCAGGCTGGCCAACACGGTAAAAACTGAATCTCTAATAAAAACACAAAAATTAGCTGGGAATGGTGTTGTGCACCTGTAGTCCAACCTACTTGGTTGTCTGAGGCAGGAGAATCACTTAAACCCAGGAAGCAGTGTTGCATCGAACCAAGATTGTACCACTGCACTCCAGCAGGGGTCAAGATTTTGCCTCATAAATAAATAAATAAATAAATAAATAAATAAATAAATAAATAAATAAGAATCCCCAGGGTACAGACTATGAATATGCCTCAGAATTCAGATGTATCTAAATCCTGGTTGAGGGAGGAAAGAAGATGAGAGTAGAAAGCATCGTGAAGCTTTAGAAGTGGCAGGACCACACATTTGTGTATTTATTCATGTGCTGAGCCAGGGCCATACAGGCAGAGAACTGCATTGGCTAAAGCAGATGTTGTGAAGACAAGTACGCTCTGCAGCAGAGCTGTGCTTTTCTTATCTCATGTTATATATAGCAAACTATAAGGCTGATGAACACTTGGCAGTCTGTTCAGAAAACACCAAAACTTACTTCTAATTTGTGAAAAAATAAATATAAAATTTCAGCGATGTATTATGACAACTCTTATTCTAGTTTTACAGACAGCGGCCATTCTTGGTAGTTGTCAAAATATTGGAATGTCAAAATATTTTTAGAGTATTTCACTTGAAAAATATATATTCTGCACTTCTCATACTATGAAGTTTATGATATAATTCACTGTCATCACTATGGAGTTAGTTCTTTCTTTGATGCCACTTCAACTTCACTTACTTTTAAGTGATTCTTTCTTTCACACTTTTTCTAAAGAGTGGGTGATTATAAATCGTTCTGATTTTATTCCTTAATATATTGCTCCACATTCCTAGCTAAATCATGCGACTGTGTGCTAAGAACTTCATGCTCATCCAATTCATTCATTCTTTTACTTGAGTTTTGAATCAAAAATAGAATTTTATTAATCCAAACATTGTAATCTACCAGGTTCAGTTTTTACTAAAATGAAAGACTTTTATTGTTGATTTTTAAAGGAAAATTTTATTTATTATTTATAATTTGTTATATTTTTATATCAAAGTTTTACAACTTTGATTTCAAAGAGAGAAATCTCTTTCTTTCCTGTCTCTCTTCCCTCCTTCCCTTCTTCCCTCCCTTCCTCTCTCTCTCTTTTTTTCTCTCTCTCTCTCCCTCCCTCCCACCCTCGCTCCTTCCCTCACTCCATTCCAGATTTAGAGAGGCTTGCTCGTTTGGGGTTGCCCACTGATACTCCAAACCATCTGCCATGCCACTACAGGTCTAACAAGCTTTGAGGTTGCTGAGTATCTGGGTAATGAGGACTAACTACATAATATTTTATTAAGTGAGGATGGTTATCAAGATGAAGACTCATGAGGGAAACCTCATCACACTGGATATTAAAATATGAAACAAATTTGCTATCAAAACTGGCGTGTTGGTTCACACTTGTAATGCCAGCACTTTGGGAGACCAAGGCAGGTGGATCACTTGAGTTCAGGAGGTTGAGAGCAGCCAGGTCAACATGATGAAATCCCATCTCTACTAAATATACACAAATTAGCCAGGCATGGTGGTGCAAGCCTATAGTCCCAGCTACTAGGGAGGCTGAGGCAGGAGAACTGCTTGAACCCAGGAGCGGAGATTGTAGTGAGCCAAGATAGCCTCACTGCACTCCAGCCTGGATGACAGGGGGAGACTCTGTCTCAAAAAAGAAAAAAAAAGATAAAAAGACTATCAAATTGGCATAAGAATAAAGAAAGTAGTGAAACAATAGAAAGTAGAGAAATAGAGCCAAGGATATATAGAAATGTAGTAAAGGATGAAGTCAGACTTAATATCATTTAGGCAATAGTGGACTTAAAAAAAAATGGTATTATGACAAATATGTCCAGCCATTTAAGAAAAGATACATTTAGACCCAACCATCTTACCATACTCAAGACAGAATCCCCAATGGAACATAGATCTAAATTTTTTTAAAATAAATGAACTGCAAAAGAACTAGCAGGAAAGCTGAAATTTTTTTTCTATGACCTGATAGTAGGGAAATGGCTTTTTGTAACACAAAACTCATATCAATAAAAAAGACTGATAAATTTAAGTACATTTTAAAAAATTCTACATTGCATAAAATCCCATAAGTTAAGAAAAAAGCCAGTGACAACATGAAAATATTTGCAGGATTTATAAGTGGCTAATAGTCCCAATATATAGAAACTTGTAAAAAAGGGGGAAAGAGATTTTTTAAGAATAGGTGAAAAGCACAAACAAATAACTAGCAAAAAAAGATATTCTAATAAAACAAACACGCAACAGAAAACCAAATATGGCATGTTTTCACTTATAAGTGGGAGCTGAATGATAAGAACACATGGACACATAGAGGGGAACAACACACACTGGGGCCTTTCAGAAGGTGAGGATGGGAGGAGGGAGAGGATCAGGAAAAATAGCTAATGGGACTAGGCTAAATACTTGGGTGATCAAATAATCTGTACCAAAAACCTCCAGGACACAAGTTTACCCAACAACAATTCTGCCCTTGTACCGCTGAATATAAAACAAAAGTTAAAAGCCATCAAATTAGAAAAAAAATTGACGTTAAGCATATGAAAAAATGTTGAACTTTACTCGCAGTGTAAGGAATGCAGATGTGTACAGGGGAGGCTTCTCACGAATTTTCATTACAAAAGGTTGCTTTTTTGATAAAAAGAATCAGAAATGGTGGGAGCAGTCAGGGTCAATACTGCAGTTGACTTGTGGGTATTCCTTTGTCTTTTGGAGATTTCAGCTAATCCAAGCAGTCTTGAAACCACTGATATTCTCTTGAATTTAACTTTTATACACTTGGAAATACACAGGCCAACACACTCAATATTTGCATTGCAAAAATGCAAAAAGCTACCTTGATTTTTCATTACTGATAACATGAGTTGTTAAATTATCTCCTCTATAACTGAACATTATGAGTATTAGGTTTTTAGAGTGAAATGCTTTATCATTGTTTTTATAAACAAATGAAAACCTGATGGAGAATTCTTTGGCTTGCTGATAATATATTTCACTTTCAAGTAAAGGTAATTTAATTTTCAGTTAATCTCAGGAAAGGGACCGGCTGTCTCACATAAGTCCCTGTTGCCAATTTATATGTACTGTTGTTTCAAGTAATAATCTGACCCGAACTGCCATTAAAAAAGCACGTCTTTTACCAAATATTCTGTCTCCAAGTAACCCTTATGTCTAGCCTGATAGTTAACAAGAATTTTTGAATGCGTAAGAGCTGTCTGAAGTCTGTTTCCGTAAGAGTTAAAGAAAGAGGGAACATATATGAAAAGCAGCTCAACAGTGAAACACAGGTTTATTTTGGAGAACAAATATGAGAAGGGCTTCTGGCCGATTTCAGCCAGGAGCACTCTCTCTTACAGACTAAGAGTATTTAAAGGTTCAGGGCTAGACAGTTTATGAGAGGCTTGGAATGCTTTTGTGTATGGAGCAGAAGTTTATGGCAGAGTTGGAATATATCTGGGCAGTGGGGAGGTTATCTTGGGGCTGACATCTCTCCAGCCAGAGGGGAGGTTATCTTGGGGCTGGCATGTCTCTTGCTGGGGAGGGGTTTATCTTAGGGTTGGAACATTTCTGGTTGAAGATGTCATTTGTAGTTTACGGTCATGCTGACATTAGCCATTAGGCTGATGCCCTTTGAGTTGGATTTAGATGGTTTTGGATCAAGGGGAACTTTAAAATGGTGGTGCTTATGCAAAATGGCAATGCTCCTGCTCTGTCAGTTTCTTGCTGTAAAATATACTGTTAAAACCAACTATGAGTGTATTATCATGGGTATAATTGATAATGGATTGTTAGTAAATCATTTTTTAAATTTCCTTGCAATGAAAGTGCTTTCTTACTTTTAATTGTTCCAATCAATGCAACATAAAAAGCTTTCTGATAAATTTTCTGTTGACAATGGTTAGAGATGGATAAGTACAGTAAAATCTTCACTGGGCAAAACCTCCATGTTTTTATTTATCAAGATTCATGAGGAGGGGGCAAATATTTAGGATTTTAAACCATCAGACCCTAAAAAAGTTACAATGTAACCCTGCCTTATTTTATTATGAAAGTATTATAAATTTATATAAATTGTTAATTAATTATGAGTCCATATAGGAGTGTCCTAACATAACTTTACTGTATAAATATATCTTAATTTCTTTTAAAAATGAGTTTAAGGCTGGGCACAGTGATTTATGCCTATAATCCCAGCACTTTGGGAGGTTGAGTTGGGAGGATCACTTGAGGTCAGGAGTTCAAGACCAGCCTGGCCAACATAGTGAAACTCTGTCCCTACTAAAAATAGAGAAATCAGCCATGCATGGTGGTGTGTGTCTGTAGTCCCGGCTACTCAGAAGGTTGAGGCATGATAATTGCTTGAACCCGGGAGGCAGAGGTTGCAGTGAGCCAAGATCATGCCACTGCACTTCAGCCTGGGCAACAAAGCAAGACTCTACCTCAAAAAAAAAAAAAAAAAAAAAAAAGTAAGCATATTTACCAAGATTCATCATTTTAAAATATTCTCTGCTAAAATACAATTTCTTGCTTAACTCTTGTTCAATATATTAGATCATAACTATCAAACTATCATAAGTTAAAAAAATCTTGAAAGTGGATCGAATCAAAGTATTCTATGGTACAAGTCTAATTTTAGGCAATTTAGCTTTTTATTTTTACCTGCATCATGCTCTGCACCCATCCGCCATACACTTATATACCCATTGAGTCTATCTTGTGGCCTGTCATGTAGAGGACTCTGGATTGAAAGTAAGCTATTGGTTTCTTGTCCTGAATATTTTTCTAAGTACTCTCAACTACCTGTACCTCAACTTTAACACCTGTAAGATGAGATATGAGTTAGTCAACATCAGAGATGCCAAGTTGGATTCATCCAGTGTCAATCTACGATCAGCTACAATTGTCTACATTATATGCTTTGTTGAGAAGAAATACAGGCTTTGCTGGAAACAATACTGATTGTTTCATCTGCACAGAAGCCCCCAAAATAGGCTTGTAGTATATATTCCAAATACCTGCTCCCTGGGTCCTTCAAATGTCTAGTTAACTTTCTGTGTGTGGTATGTGTGTTTAAGTGTAGAAGCGAAGTTTTTGTGTATTTTTAGGTCTATTTCACAAGTCTCTATTATGTTTCCTTGACCTGTTTGTCTATCTTCATGGCAATATTGTGATGTCTTTAATACTATAGCTTATATATATCTTAAAATTAAGTAGTATTACACCTTCAAATTTGTTCTTCTTTTTTATTTTTTTGTAGCTATTCCAGGCTATTACAATTTACGTACAAATTATAGAATAAATTTGTCAATTTTGAGAAATAAAATTAACTGGGATTTTGACTGGGATTGTGTTGAATCTACCAATTCATGTGGGCAGAACAAATATCTTGAACACACTGGGTCTTCCTAACTGCGAGCAAAGTATATCTCCCCATTGATTAAGGTTTTCTTTAACTTCTCTCAGTAACGTTTTGTAGTTTTCAGTGTACAAGGCTTTCTTGCATGTCTTCTGTAGGAATTATCCTAAGAATTTCATATTGTTGATATGTTTGTTGTTAACATTGTTTTCTTAATTTCTATTTTCAAATGTTCATTGCTAGCATATTTATTTTTTGTCTGTTGATCTTTATCTTGAAATCTTCCTAAAGCATTTAATAATTCTAGTAGCTCTTTGATATATTCCATCAGATCTTCTGCGTGGATGAGCACGTCATCTGCAAATAAGACAGTTTTGACTCTTCCTTTCCAATATGGAGAATTTTTATTTTCCTTATTTTACCAGCTGCAATCTCTAGTAGAATGGTGAACAAGTTGTGAGAGCAGATGGACTTGTCTTGTTTCCAAATAGCAGTAGAGGGAAAGAATAATTCACCATTATGTTATTAGTTGCAGGTTTTATGTAGATGCCCTTTATCAAGTTGAGAACATTTATTCATTTTCCAATTCAGATAACAATATTAAAAATCAGGAATGTACACTGAATTTCAGCAATTATTTTTATTCAAATGTTAAGGTGATCTTGTTTAATGTTAGTATGGCATTGATTGGTTTTAATGTTAAAACCACCTTATATTTTTAGAATGATCCTTTCTGATCATGATTTAATTAACTTTTTATGTAGTTTTGCTACAATTTGCTAAAAATACACTGAGAAATGATTTCTCTATGATTATAAGGAAGATTGACCTGTTGTTTTATTTCTTTATGCTGTCTTTTGTGCAATTTTATATGACAGCACACATTCACTTTTCTTTCCCAGAATGTGCTATCATTGTAATTAATTTTAGTTTTAAATATCTTATAAACCTCATAATACATTCTTATTATTTTGTTTAGTCAATCATCTGTATAAAACACTTAAAGATAAAAATCTTATAATTTTATCAATTATCTAGCATTTATGGTGCTCTTCCTGCTTTTGCATACAATCCAGATTTCCACCTAATATCAGTCCCTCTTCCTAAAGGAATTCTTTCAACATGCATTGTACTGCATGTCTGCTGATCATGAATTCTTTCTGGTTTTAAACATTGGGAAATGTCTTTTCATCACCTTTGTTTGATTAAAGATATTTTTGCTGGGTTGTATATTATGTATACATATATGTATATTATGTATACATATATGTATATTATGTATACATATATGTATATTATGTATACATATATGTATATTATGTATACATATATGTATATTATGTATACATATATGTATATTATGTATACATATATGTATATTATGTATACATATATATTATGTATAATATATGTATATTATCAATACATATATATGTATATTATGTATACATATATATGTATATTATGTATACATATATATGTATATTATGTATACATATATATGTATATTATGTATACATATATATGTATATTATGTATACATATATATGTATATTATGTATACATATATATGTATATTATGTATACATATATATGTATATTATGTATACATATATATGTATATTATGTATACATATATATGTATATTATGTATACATATATATGTATATTATGTATACATATATATGTATATTATGTATACATATATATGTATATTATGTATACATATATATGTATATTATGTATACATATATATGTATATTATGTATACATATATATGTATATTATGTATACATATATATGTATATTATGTATACATATATATGTATATTATGTATACATATATGTATAGACTTCTATACCCAGCAAAAATATAGATAATTATTATAAGTACCTTAAGTATGTTTCTTCTCTGTCTTTTTGCTTACGTTGTTGGTGACAAGAAACCAAAGTTATTCTTATCTTTGTTCTCCTATATATAATGTGTTTTTCCCTCTGGCTGATATTTAGAGTTCGTCATTATCACTAGTTTTGAGCAATTTGATTATGATGTGTCTTGGCAAAGGTTTTGTCAGCTTTCTTGTGCTTAGAGTTGGATGAGATTCCTTAATCCATAGGCTGATAGATTTGTAAAGTTTTTCAAAAATTTCTGGCCACTATGTCAAGTATTTCTCTGCATGTGTGTCCTCTCCCCTTTCCTTTCCTTTGAGTATCCCAGTTACTCACATATTAGGATACTTGAAGTTGTCCCACAATTCACTGATGCTCTTTTCATTTTTTTTTCTTCTGTGTGTCTCATTTTAGATAGTTTCCCTTGCTACTCATTCAAATGCTATAAACTTTTGTGTGGGCATCTCTGTTTGTGAGATGGAGTCTACCTCTGTCACCCAGTGTGGAGTGCAGTAGCATAATCTCAGCTCACTGCAACTTCTTCCTCCTGGGTTCAATTGATTCTCCTCCCTCAGCCTCCCGAGTAGTTGGGACTACCTGCCTCCACACCCGGCTAAATTTTGTATTTTTAGTAGAGATGGGGTTTGACCATGTTGGCCAGGCTGGTCTCAAACTCCTGACATCAAGTAGTCTGCTTGCCTAACCTCCCAAAGTACTGAGATTACAGGCAGCTGCCACAGTGACCATCCCAAATGCTATAAGCTTTGAATTGCCAGATGTGAATTTTACTACTTTGGGGGTTGGGTTTTTTATTTCTATAAAAGTTCTTAAGTTTTATTTTGGGCTTCAGTTATGTAATTTTGAATGAGATTGATCTTGAGTCTTGCTTTTCAGGTTTGTTAGGCAGCACTTGATTAGAGTTCAGGCTGTTGCTAATCATTTTTTCCTTATTAAAGTAAGACCAACCTCAAAAGTTTATGCAATGTTTCATGTATTTAGGGATTTTTTTTTCCTTCTGGCTGGTGAAAAAGGGCATCATTTACATCCTTCTGTGAACCTTAAGCAGTGTTCTGGTTCTTTTGGATATTTACATCTTCATCCTTGCATACGTTTTTCATATCCATCCTGCTGTTGGTGAAATACTCAGCAGGCACACTCTGTAGGCCTTTTTTTTTTTTTTTTTTTTTTTTTTTTTTTTTTTGAGGGTGAGGTTCTCTGTATATCTGTCTTCTCTCCTGTAACCCTGACCTTTAAATTCTAGCTGCCTTGCTCTCTCTAAACTCTTAGGTTGATTGCTTCAAGTCATTACTTCTGTGTAAGTTCCCCTCCTCGTACCATTGCCTGGAATCTCTCTCAATGTGGAAGCTATGCAATCACCTAATCAGCTAATAAACTCACCTCATTTATTAGCTCTCTTCTGGAATCACTTATCTATTGATTGATATCAATCAACAATGGTCTTAAAAACCATTGTTTCACATATTGTCTTTGTTTCTTTCTGATGGGAAGATAATTACCTGTTTACCCCCTCTTAACCAAAAATGCTAGTTTTATATTAACTTTCTACATCTAAACTTATATAAATCCCAATGAAGAAGACATTTTTACAGTGTTTGATTTGAATATGAGAAATATGAATTTTGTATATTTGAGTTTTTTTATACCAATAATCTTGCCACCCAGCTACTTTCTCAAATGCAAAAGCACATTAACTACTGCCATCAATCCAAGTTCTCACTGGTTTATCTATAATGCAGAAACAATACGGAGCCATGGTCACGCAGCCAGACTCTTGTTTGTATCATGGTTCCAAAACTCATCTGTTGTCTTCAATTGCGCAAGTTACCAATGCTTGTCATGCTGCCATTTTCTTATGCATAATGTAGGGCTGACAATAGTACTGCATTATTGAGTCATTTTGAGGAATAAATGAGTTGGTATTTGTAAGAACCTTAAAACACTTCCTGGCATATAATAAGTATCACATGTGTTTGAAAAAAAATGACAAATCTAAAAACGAATTATAAATGATGGAGTGGAAAATGTGCAAGTATTATCTGTGATTTCAGGAACCATTATGTAGACAAATAGCTCTCTCATTCCAGTTGTAATGGTTTTATCAATAAGTTTTGCTTAAATCTTTAATAGCATTATATCACATCAGTATTTTTAAATGCATCATCCTGACAAGATTGAAATTAAATCATTACTCTCATTTTTAATTCAGAATTCTAATGATACTTGCTACTAAATACATACAGAGTATTTATCATCCCTCCAGCTACTTACTAACAAAAGAAAAGAGCTTTTTTTTCCCAGAGGAAAAACATAAACATGTACTTAAAGGGAAAATGTTAAATGGTCTGATAGAGGAATAAGGTCAGTGTCCAGAAATGAATACATCTAGTGAATTTAGGGGAAGGCATTTCTTAACATCCCCTCTTTGAAACTGGATGTGTATCAGATATTTCCCTGGAGGGTAGGACAAAGATGTGAGAATTTTCGAATGCACCAAATGAAGAACTAGGAGTAGAATTCTGATTATACAATCACTTTCTGCCTTGAAACCTTTTGCATATAAATGTTCATGTTGCCACTTTCACCATACTATAATTCCAATTTAAAAGTTACAACCTAAAATCATCCAGATGTAGCTATCTTACGGATTTAAAAGAGACATGAGTTTTAGTAAACTCTCTCTGAGGATCAGAAGTGGACACATGAGTTGGAAAAACATGGTCCTATCACAGGACATTTATTTGGTCATTTTTGTATTGTTCAGGTTCTGAAAGGTCACCTGACTCAGAGCAAGAAAATATGGGTTCAATTCAGTTTCAATTCACCCATATCAAATGGTGAGATCCTGGTCATGACAGGGGTCAAATCATAGCTCACTGATGCCTCCAAGTCCTGGGCTCAGGAGATCTTCCCACCTTAGCTTCCCAGATAGCTGGGACTATAGGTGCACAACCATGCCCAGCTAACTTCTAAAAAGTTTTGTAGAGTTGCAGTCACCCTGTGCTGCCCAGGCTGGTCTCAAACTCTTGGCCTTCAGTAACCCTCCTGCCTCAGCTAAAAATGTGCCTTTTTAACAAATACCTGGGACATCATTATCTATCTATTTGGGGACTAGAGGGCTTAGAAACTACTCTTTTCTGTTATTGTGTCCAGTTGGTTACTCACAGTCTTCTTTTTTTCTTTTTCTTTTTCTATTGTGCAAAAATTAATTAACAATTAGATATTCTCAGATCTTCCTCTTGATACAAATTACCAGTATGTACTTATGTACATTGTAGGAGGAAAAAAAGGCAAAGAGAAAAGAAATTACTTCAGTCTACAGATAAACCTTCCTTTGCTTTAGAAATACATAACTTTGTAGCTGAGCTTATGTGTGAAAGAACATCTAAGAAAATTTTAACAGAATTTGTAGCCATTTAACAAAAAACATGCTCCAGATTTGATTACATATTAATGCTAATCAATGTCATCAGCTTCAACATACTATTTTAGTGTTAAAATGTCTCATCTTTAATTAAGAAATTTAGTGTGACATAAGGTACCATGAAGGACAGTAAATTCCTGTACCTGCTGACTCCAGGGAATTCTGAACAGGGCATGGGGCCAGGATATTGCCCTGGTGATCTGTCCTGGCCAGGGCCTACCCGAATCCATTCAGCTGGATAAGTACAAACAGCCAGTCCTCATCGAAACTGATTGTCTAGAGTTTTGTTCCTTTACAGAAACAGGAGTTTTCACATAAGGGGACAGAAACCACTCATCAGATATCTAAACTCTATTAGTTTTTTACTGCCTCTGTAAAAAAGCACCATCCATTTATTTGCCAGCTTAAAACAACACAAATTTATTATCTTACAGCCTTCAGGTCAAAATTCTGACATGGTATCACTGAGTTAAAATGAAGATGTTTGTGGGATATCTTTCATTTTGAAGTCTCTGGGGAAAATTTATTCTTTGGTTTGTCCCAATATCTAGAGGGTACCCTCATTCCTTGGCTCATAGCCTCCTATCTACATTTCCATACAATGCTTCATTCTCTCTTCCTCTCCTTCCCCTTCCTTTCTCCTTTTTTTCTTCTTTTCTCTCTTCTGTTCCTTCAAGGTAACTTCAACTCCAAACACAGATAATATGCTCAACCCATTTTTATTGGATGAATAAATCAGTCAGGACTACCCAGCAAAATCCAATATGTTTCACATTTTTGGATCCAGTCATGTCTCCCAAAAGCATGCCCTTACATGGCAAATAATAAGCACATAATTCAAATCCTATGATAATGCCATGATGCATTCTTTGGGGTTTATGATTATTTAACTCCCTCTTTGGTCACGCAGAACCAACTCTGGCATCATTGTGAATTTTGTGATAGAATCATAGGCATAAAATTTCAGAACCAGAGGCAACTTTGGAGTCAGCCGGTAGAGATTTCAATCTTTGTAAAAAGAAAACACAAGGCCTCACAGTAACTGGCCTGAATGAAGATACCGCCATGGTGCAGAGAGCCCAAGGACTAAAGTTCATTCACCTGAAATGTACTCCAATATTTTTTCCATTACCTGACAGCTATTTGCCCTCTCCCCAAACTTCTACTTCTCCTATATATTCCTAAGTGCAATTTAAGAAAAAATGCTCTTACCTCTAGTGTTGATTGGAGTGGAAACTGTCACAACTTCTTGGGAAAGCATTTAGGCCTGTGCTTCAGCAACTGTGAAAATCTTCATAGCCAAAATTCTACATGCATTAAGGGGTCCATTTTCATAATTTCAAACATCACAGATTGATATGGTTTGGCTGTGTTCCCACCCAAATCTCATCCTACATTGTAGCTCCCATAATTCCTACGTGTTGTGGGAGGGACTTGGTGGGACATAACTGAATCATGGGGGAAGTTTCTCCCATATAGTTCTGTGGTAGTGGATAAGTCTCACAATATCTGATTATTTGATAAGAGAAACCCCTTCCACTTGGCTCTCATTCTCTCTTCTTGCCTGCCAATATGTAAGACATCCCTTGCTCGTCTACCATGATTGTGAGGCCTCCCCAACCATGCGGAACTGTGAGTCAATTAAACCTTTCCTTTATAAATTACCCAGTCTTGGCTATGTCTTTATTAACAGTGTAAGAACAGACTAATACAGTTCATCTGCTAATACAGTTCATTTAGGAGATGAACTGTCTGTTCATCTCCTAAACACACCTGATATCATAGACATGCATAACCAGGGCACTGTGACATCATCGTGGCCTGGGGCTTGTACCAGTTGGGAGGTCAGAGATGCATCCAAGCCTTGGCCCATCCCCAGCCCAGAGGAAAGTTAAGGAAGGACAGATGCCAGCTCACCTTACCTGTGATATGTTAGAGGAAATTATAATTAAGATACAAGAAGTATCTCCCACCCCATTCCTACAACTGCTAGTTGATGTTGGAGCTCAAATGGGGGCACAGGAATGGAGAGATATTACTACAGACAGCTATTTATGGGTGAGGATGGGAAACAGAACTTGAAACAGACAGTTTGACTCAACTCCTGGGTCAATTTTGATCTCAAATGAGGCCACCCCCTTGTGCATCTTTGTGGGCAGTGGGGAAAGAGCAGGGAGATGGAATGAAGGGGCTGAAACTGGAAAGCTCTTTAACTCTAGAAAACAGACTCATTATGGTGACGTTCCTTCTCCTCACAAAGTTCATCTCTGCATAAGTGTTTCATACATTTGTCATAATTAATTAACACAAACTGTTACACTATCATTAACCAATGTCTGTATATTATTTAGAGTTCCTTCCTTTATGCATAACATTCTTTTTCTGTTCCAGGGTCTCTTTCAGGGTACCCTACATCTTTAATCATCTTGTCATCTTAGGTTACTTTCAACTGTGGCAGTGAGAGGTGACAGCGTGCTGGCAGTCCTCAGAGCCCTCGCTTGCTCTCGGCACCTCCCCTGCCTGGGCTCCCACTTTGGTGGCATTTGAGGAGCCCTTCAGTCCCCCACTGCACTGTGGGAGCCCCTTTCTGGGCTGGCCAAGGCCGGAGCCCACTCCCTCAGCTTGCAGGGAGGTGTGGAGGGAGAGACAGGAGCGGGAACCGGGGCTGCGTGCGGCGCTTGTGAGCCAGCTGGAGTTCCGGGTGGGCGTGGGCTTGGTGGGCCCTGCACTCGGAGCAGCCAGCCAGCCCTGCTGGCCCCGGGCAATGGGGGACTTAGCACCGAGGCCAGTGGCTGCGGAGGGTGTACTGGGTCCCCCAGAAGTGCCGGCCCACCTGCGCTGAGCTAGATTTCTCGCCGGGCCTTGGCTGCCTTCCCACTGGGCAGGTCTCGGGACCTGCAGCCCGCCATGCCTGAGCCTCCCACCCCCTCCGTGGACTCCTGTGCGGCCGGAGCATCCCCGACGAGCGCCACCCCCTGCTCCACGGTGCCCACTCCCATCGACCACCCAAGGGCTGAGCAATGCGAGCGCACGGCGCAGGACTGGCAGGCAGCTCCACCTGCAGCCCCGGTGCGGGATCCACTAGGTGAAGCTAGCTGGGCTCCTGAGTCTGATGGGGATGTGGAGAGCCTTTATATCTAGCTCAGGGATTGTAAATACACCAATCAGCACCCTGTGTTTAGCTCAAGGTTTGTGAGTGCACCAATCGACACTCTGTATCTAGCTGCTCTGGTGAGGACGTGGAGAACCTTTATGTCTAGCTCAAGGGTTGTAAATACACCAATCGGCACTCTGTATCTAGCTCAAGGTTTGTAAACACACCAATCAGCACCCTGTGTTTAGCTCAAGGTTTGTGAGTGCACCAATTGACACTCTGTATCTAGCTGCTCTGGTGGGGCCTTGGAGAACCTGTGTGTGGAAACTCTGTATCTAACTAATCTGATGGGGACGTGGAGAACCTTTGTATCTCGCTCAGGGATTGTAAACACGCCAATCAGCACCCTGACAAAACAGGCCACTGGGCTCTACCAATCAGCAGGATGTGGATGGGGCCAGATAAGAGAATAAAAGCAGGCTGCCCGAGCCAGCATTGGCAACTCGCTCCGGTCCTCTTCCACACTGTGGAAGCTTAGTTTTTTCGCTCTTTGCAATAAATCTTGCTACTGCTCACTCTTTGGGTCCACGCTGCTTTTGTGAGCTGTAACACTCACCGTGAAGAAGATCTGCAGCTTCACTCCTGAGCCCAGCGAGACCACGAGCCCACCGGGAGAAACGAACAACTCCAGACGCACTGCCTTAAGAGCTGTAACACTCACCGCCAAGGTCTGCAGCTTCACTCCTGAGCCAGCGAGACCACGAAGCGCCACTAGAAGGAAGAAACTCCAAACACATCTGAACATCAAAAGGGACAGACTCCAGACGCGCCACCTTAAGAGCTGTAACATTCACCGCGAGGGTCCACGGCTTCATTCTTGAAGTCAGTGAGACCAAGAACCCACCAATTCCGGACACAGCAGTTTCTCAGACTTTCCTTGTTTTAGACGATGTTTATGGCTTTGAAGAGTAAAGCCTAAGGTGTTTTTTTTTTTTGTAGAATGACAGTTAATTGCAATTTTTCTGATGGATTTCTCATGTTTAGTCTAGGGTTATAGGTTTTTGAAAGAAAGACTGAGGTAAAGTACCGTATTAATCACATCCTAGCAAGGGAGCATCCCACCAACATCACATGTTTCTGTTGATCTTGACGGTGATCACCCAGTGGAGGGAGTATTTGTCAGGTTTCTCCACTACAGTTACCACTTGTTGTCATGTAAAAATATATTTAATACATACAGACATGTGCAAAGAAAGAATTAAATTGCCTGTAATTGCACCACTGTAATCTATTGGGCATACATCTTTATAGATATATTTGTACCTGTATCTATATCCGTATCTGTGTATCTAGAGACAGGTTTACATATACAAAGTCATTTTGACTTGTTGTATTAATTCATGTATTACACCAGTGGCCTCGTCTGTCATTAGTTATCCTGGAACAATATCATGAAATAGCTGCATTGAGTTTCAACTCCTTTTAGTTTTACCCCAATTCTCCATTTGGGGCATTCATTTTCTGTCCATCTCTTCACTGTGAATAAACAAACTTGGAAAAACATACAATTATATCATTCCACACATAGGTTAGTGACTGTATAACTTATATTTCTGGGAATGGAATTGCCAAGTCAAAGGGTATTCATTGACCATTATTACAAGGTGAAAAAATAACGTGTTGGTAACACTATGGAGAAGAAGGAACGCCTATACACGTTGTTGGGAATGTAAATTAGTTTAGCTACTGTGGAAAGCAGTTTAGAGATTTCTCCAATAACTTAAATAGAATGACCATTCATCGCAGCAATCCCATTACTGGGTATATACCCAAAGGAAAGCAAATAATTCTGTCAAAAAGACACATAAACTGTTATGTTCATCATATCAGAATTCACAATAGCAATGACATGAAATCAACCTAAAAACCCATCAGTGGTGGACTGGATAAAGAAAAGGTGGTACATATGCACCTTATGTATACTACACAGACACAAAAATAATAAAATCATGTTACTTGCAGCAACACGGATTCAGCCTACGTGAATCACATGGATTCAATCCTGAGTGAGTTAATGCAGAAACAGACAACCAAATACCCAAATACTTCATGTTCTCACTTATAAGTGGCAGCTAAACATCAGTACTCATGGACTTAAAAATGGAAACAGTAGACACTGGAGACTAGTAGAATGGGGAGAAAGAGAGGGTGGCAAAGTTTAGAAAAGTACCTGTTGGGTGCTATGCTCACTACTTGGTTGACGGGATCACCTGTGCCACAAACCCCAGTGTCGCACAATATACTCAGGTAAAAACCTGCACACCTACTCCCTGAATCTAAATTTTAAAAAACTAAAATTAAAATTAAAAACCAAAGTCTATTTGTATGTGTAAAGCCTTTCCTGTATGTTGCTGTATTTTTTTCAGAAACTTATAGCATTTTATCTCCCACCAGAAAACATGGATTGTCATTTACTTCCCTCGAATATCACTAATATTTAACATTTTCCATTGGAGTTGGAAAACATTTTCACTTTTATTAAGAGCACAATGACGAGGCCAACAGGGTTACTGATGTCCAGTTCCTAAGTTTACTCTCTGCTCTGCATCTCTCCTGTACCTTTCTTTAATAGCTTCTCTATCAATACCATGAGCTCCAGTCCCTGCAGAATGCAGTGGTCTCTTGAATGAATGCTTCATGACCTTTTGTTCTTCCCAGCATTTGCAAGTACTGTGCCCTTGGTCTGGCATGTTCTTATCCAACCTTTGCTACTTACCCTTTTCTTACTCCAGTTTCTTGATGCAGTTTGGATTTTGCTTTCTTGTCTTGGCTGTTTCATCTTATGCATCAACATTCCTAGGATTACGGTGCCTTCCTGTTTTGTCAAAGACCAGTTTTGCGATGATGCTGTGAAGGTATTATGTAGGTATGATTAACATGTACAATTAATATGTTTTGAAAAAGCAGAATGCCCTCTGTGATGTATGAGTGTCTTAGTCCACTTGAACTGCTATTACACAAAATACCATAGACTAGGAGATTTATACCATAGACTAGGAAATTTTACTCATAGTTCTAGAGGCTGGGAGCCCAAGATCAAGGTGTGGCAGATTCCGTGTCTGGCGAGGGCTCTCCTTGGTTCATGGATGGGAACTTCTTGCTGTGTCCATACATGGTGAAAGGAGTGAGGAAGCTCTTTGTGGTTTCTTTCATAAAAGCACTAATCCCATTCCTGTGGGCTCTACCCTCATCACTTCATCACCTCCAAAGACCTCAACTCCTAACATCATCACCTGGGGAATTAAAATTTAGAAGTATGGATTTTGTAGGGAACATGCATGTTAATTCTTAAACAGAGGACTTAATGCAACATTAAGGGCTTTAAAAGTAAAAACTGAGGATACACCAAGAAGGACTTCTGCCTCCAGCCTGCAACATAGAAGTCCTACCTACATTTCAAGCTTTCAGACTTAAGACTGCAATACCATCACTTACCTGAAACTCCAATCTGTAATCCTACAGATGTCCAAAGTGCTAATCCCCATAATGACATCAGCCTATTCCTAAAACCAATCTCTCTCCTTCAGTGAATGTGAATGTGTGTGTGTATATATATATGTTCTGTTTCTCTGATTAGCCCTGATTAACATGACTAATATACCTTATAAACTGTAAACTTTCTGTAATATCACCCTAGCATTTGATTTAGGCACAGCAAAAAAGCAAAGAATAAAAAGAATTGCCAACTTCACCATTTTTCTTGACCGGCTCAACCTGCAGATCAGAATGACAGAGGGCAATTCTGGGGTCACTCATCATGTATTTTAATGATTTTTTCAAAGAAAATTTGTTCTTAGGGCAGGTTTAGTGGCTCATACCTGTAATCCGAGTACTTTAGGAGGCCAAGATGGGAGAATAACTTGAGGCCAGGGGTTTGAGACTAGCCTGAGCAGCACAGTGAAACCCCATCTCTTCAAAACATGCAAAAAGTGAGCAGGGCATGGTGGTACATGCCTGTAGTCTCAGCTACTCAATAGGCTGTGGTGGGAGGATCACTTGAACATGGGAAGTTGAAGCTGCAGTGATTTGAGATTGTGTCACTTCACTCCAGCCTAAGCAACAAAGTGAGATTCTGTCGCAGGAAGGGAGGAAGGAAGGAAAGGAGGGAGGGAGGGAGGGAAGGAGGGAGGGGAAGGGAGGGAGGGGAAGGAAGGAAGGAGGGAAGGAAGGAAAGAAGGAAGGAAGGGAGGGAGGGAGGAAGGAAAGAAGGAAGGAAGGAAGGAGGAAATCACCCCCTGTAAGCAAGTGGGATTTGCACTGGGAGATTATAAAATATGTAATAACAAATATTTAGAGTGCACAATGTGCCTACGATTTCACTGGAAACAATCAGCTTATTAGCTGTCTTGAGTGCTTCTTTAAATTGTACTACTGGCTCCCCAAGTGCTGCCTAAATTATCCAGTTATTTCAATTGTGCCTGAAAAGAATTTGCCCTGTGTTCATGGACAAGGAGCAGAAGCTCTTCTATTGGTATCACAGGAGATACATGGGCCAATGTGTTTGACAGCTTGCTGCAAATCATACTTATAGAATTGTCAGTATGCTTGCAGAGCAATTACCTATCTTCCCATAAAACAAACCTATGTCATTATATTCATGATACACGTACTGGTGCCACAAAAAAATATTTCCTAGGCCTAACTGTGAAAAATCCCAGCTGGCTTCAGTGTTTCACCCTGTCATTTCAGAAGTTTGTGAAGCCAAGGCAGGAAAATCACTGTAGTCTGGGAATTTAAGGCCAGCCTGTGCAACATAGTGTGACCCTCATCTCTGCAAAAAATGTAAAAAAAAAAAATAGCTGGGCATGGTCTCCTTGCCTATTGTTCTAGCTACAGGCTGAGTCAGGAGGATTGCTTGAAGCTGTGAGGTCAAGGCTGCAGTGAGCCCTGACTACATTACAGCCTGGGCAAAAGAGCAAGACCCCGTCACCAAAAAAAAAAAAAAAAAAAAAAAAGGAAGAAGAAGAAAAAGGAAAAGAAAAAGAAGAAGGAGAAGGAGAGGAGAAAAGAAAGAGAAATATCCCTTAACATAGATGAATAGCAACTGGTCTTTTAAACTCTTTTCCTTGACTAGACCATTTTTACTTTGCAGGTCCTGTTAACTCATAAAATCTCATCTTTACAAGGAAAAGTCTCCCTTGGGTATTTTTTTTTTTTTTTATGTTTTAGAATTCTTTCATATGGTGTTGACATCTTAAAACTCAATGCACAAGACGATGTGTTGAATTGTCACCAATGTAGAAATAATGGTTAGCTCTTTAAATATTTTGAAATTAATTGAATTATGGAATGTTAGAGATTGCATTGACCGTTGACAAGACAGCATCCCATCCTGAAGACTGACATATCTTTGCCTTAAATATATATTTAGAAAAGTTTTGAATTGTTGTCTACACATCAATTAACTCACCGCTACTTAAGCACCCACTGGAAAAAATAAATGAACATGAGTTAGTGCCAACAGCCCATAATCATGTTTTAAATATAGCTTTTATTTTGCATCCTAATTTCTTGTGATAGTTGAATGTTCTTTTAATTACCTGTGATTTAATTTTTTTAATGATTTAACCTTGCCCATTTGTACTCCCTGTGCTGAAAAGTATACGTGGCATGAGATTGACAGACCATTCTGCAAACATTACATCAAGTAGAGAGAGTTTTGAGTGAACAGCAGGAATCTGAGAACCGAATGAGGCAGGTCAATTTTTAGCACAAGCTTTGCAAGCAAACAGCTATGTTCCTATCCATACATTATGTCTCTGAAACTCAGTCTCCTCATTCCCCAATGCATAGGCATTTTACCTGTCTCAAAATTGATTTAAATGAGTCAATGATTATTAGAGTGTCTCAAAAATGGAAAAGTGCTTTGCAGTTGTAAGGTAGCATGACTCTTTTTAAAAGGAAACTGATAAGTTAAGCTATTCAAGGTAATTTTTAATTACTATTTTCTTAATATATTTTCAATAAATTCTAATATTAGCATTCATTTGGTTCATAGCACTGTAACTAAAATTTGTATTTTAATATCATAGAGTAAACCTAATGTCCGTTTCTAATTTTTTGGTTGTTGTTTGTTTTGGGAAAAGCATTAACATTGAATTTGAATTTTGGTAAATGTTAAATTCTATGAATGTTATTTAGAAATACATAATAATCAACATAAGTTTAAGATTATTTATTGAATAGTAGCACACTACAGTTGAATGGAAATATACTTGTCAAATTTTGAGCACACACCATGAAATAGATTTTATTTCTCTTTCCACATGTACAAGAAACCAACAAAATTCTCTGCAGGACAAATATAGAGAAAACAAGAGCTAGCATTATACATAATGGTGAAAGGCTGGATGCTTTTCCCCTAATATCAGAAAAGGTGAGAAGATTTCTGCTCTCACCACTTCTATTAAACATTATACTGGAGGTTCTAGCCAAGGTAATTATGTCAGACAAAAAAAGGAATAAAATAAAAGGCATGTATACTGGCAAGGAAGAAATAAGACAATATCTATTTGCAGACGTCATGATCTCATAAAAATAAAACTCTAAAGATACAAGATCAATATTTAGAAAGTCAATTGAATTTCTATATGCTTCCAATGGAGAATCCAAACAAAAAATTACGAAAAATAATTCAATGTACAAAGCAGCAAAAAATAAAATACTTAGGAGTAAATTACAGAAAGTAGTATAGTGTAATACTTAGACACTGAAAACTACAAAACTTTGCTCGAAGTAGTTAAAGAAAACCTACATAAGTGGAAAGGCATCTTGTGTTCTAGGTTTGGAAGACCTGATATTGCTAAGAAGATGGGACCTGACAAGGTGGTCTCTTGAGTCACCACAATCCCCAGAAAAATCCCAATGGACTATTTCAGAGGTAGAAAAGTTGATCTGAAAATTCGCAATGGAATCGCAATGCATTCTGAATAGCCAAATCATTCTTGAAAAAGAAGACCAAAGTTGAAGAACTGACATGTTCATTAATTGCCAGGTGGATAAACAAAATGTGATACAGCCAGGCAATGGAATAGCTAACCATAGAAAGGAATGAAGTACTCGTACATGCTGCAACATCGATGTGCCTTGAAAACATTATGCTAAGTGAAATAAGCCAGAAACAATACCAGTCTTGTTTGATTCTATTTATGTAAATGTCCAGAACAGGCAAATCTATAGAGATCATAAATATATTAGTGTTTGCCTGAGGCTGGGGTTGTAGTGGGATAGGGCGTTAGAATGCAGAATAACAGCCGACAAATACAGCATTTATTTTGGGGATGATGGAAATATTCTAAAATAGTTTGTGATTATGGTTATTATTTTACAATGCCAAAACCCATTGAATTTTACACCTTATATGGGTAAATCATATCTGAATAAAACTGTTAGCAAAAGAAAAATACAAACCAAAAAAAAAAATCTGTAAGTGAGAGAGTTCTGTAGCTTGAACTACTTTTTATAATTGAGTCAGCTCTTTTCACAATGTTGATTTTTCTCCCTTGATATCCCACAGTTTATTTTCTATTAAAGGAAGGATGAGTTCTGGGACTTTTGGTGAGTCTTACTTCGCTAGGATACAGGCATCAATTCCTCTGTCCTGCATGTGGGGAAAAAATCTGGGTTTGAAAGTATGGAATTCTGATTAACATAATCGATTGACAACCTGATGTTTCTGCTATTGGAAAGGAGTCCCGATCCAGACCCCAAGAGCGGGTTTGTGGCTCTTATGAAAAAGAGAGCTCAGGGCGAGTCCACAGTGCAAAGCAAAAGCAAGTTTCTTAAGAAAATAAAGTGGTAAAAGGATAGCTACTCCTCAGACAGTCTGGTGTTCCCGGAATGCACCCATCCTAGGTACAACTCTTGTTTATATATAGGTTAAAAAAAAAAAAAAATCATAGGAAGATGTGCTCCACTACAAAGATTTGTGATAAAGGATGAATTTTCCTTATTATATTTTGTAAGAATTGATATTATTATCTTTAAAGCAAAATTAGGAATACTTTTCTTCTCAAGATAATGGGATATCCAGGATATTCCTGAATCTGGGTCCATTTAGAAAACGTTGTTAATCTATTTTTCACTTAACCTTAAACATCTAGAGGCTAGGAATACCTAACCTTCTTGGAATGCAGTGCAGCAAGTTCCAGCTTCATTTTTACTAGCCATCTCTCAACATGGAGCTGCTCTGGTATGTGTGTCTCTAATATTTCTAGAGTAATTACCTAGAACAGAACATACAATGTCCAGGACTTTTGTTGATACTATGTATATGTAACTAAATTTGATAATATATGTAGTAACTATAGTATTTCCTAACAGATTATTACTTAGATGTGGGGAATATATTGAATGTGTGTGTTAAATTCATAACCAACAATGTTACTTTACTGACTTAACATCTCCATTCTTCCTTTCTGGTTGATTCTTTTAAGCTTTATTTACAAAATTATCCCTTCCTCCAATATAATAACTCTACTTTCTCCTTTATATTGGCACAGTATATTCCATTCCTTTCTCCCTCATATTGAATTTGATAGTAATTCTAAACTAACACTAGTGATTAATGTTGTAGGTCCTCATGAAAGCAACTAAAGAAAATGTGGTCTCTTAAAGTCTCTAAGAAGAAAAGAAAACAAAGAGATTTAACTGAAACTGCCATTGCCAAATAATAGCTGAGACAGTGAATGAGGTCTGACCTAACAAACTCCATGTTACTTCTAACCTCCAAGCTGTCCTTATCCACTTCTGGGCAGAGGCTGAACTAACTTTGGTAGGAACTTATTTTATTGGTTATAGTTTGAAGCAAAGACAGTAACAGCCCTTTCCCAAAACAAACCCCCTTCTTGCCTAAGCACTAGACTGCCTCTGTGGGACTAACAAATTAGTCAAAATATTAAAAATCATGGTTTAGGAGTCACATGCAGGTAGAGGCTGCAAGATTCACAACCTCCCCAAATTCCTTCTAGGGTTAACATGACTTATAAAACCTAAGATTGGAGCTTGAGAGAGCTTGAGATATTTCACAGTCCCTGCACCCAGTGGATCAGCTGGCACCACCTAGATCCATAAACTGGCTCATTCAATCTTGTGGCCCCCACCCAGGAACTGACTCAGCAGAAAAGAACAGTTTTTACTTCCTATTGAGAGAGGAGAAAGGAAAGAACCTGGTCAGGTAGGCAGTTAGGGTGGGTCCTCAGTTGAATTCTTTTAAACAAAAGAACAGCCTGCAGCCACAGATAAGGGAACTTGCAAGATGGTAGTGGGGCATGCCTAAGACATGCCTATAGCTTCACAGATAAGAAGGCCTACCCAGGTAATTTGCCAACACATGCCTGCAATGGAAAATTCCATCCACTAACAGATGCACAGTATGGGGAACAAAGCAATAAGGGCCCACGTGCAAATTAGGAGGATGGGCGGAGCTACCAGAAGTTTGCACATTTAAGCCCCACATTTTGAGGGAGTCTGATTTAAGTAATATATAATAATAAAACTCTGGTCTACTGCACAGCCAGCTCTCCATGAGTTACTCATTCTCTGTTGCAATTCCCGTGTTTTGATAAATCCCCTCTGCCTAGGCAGCAGGCAAGAACCCATTGAATGATTACAAAACAACAAGCAAACTGGTAAAAACTACTGAAAGAAATGAAAGAATGGAGACTGGTAGTTCTGTCCAAGAAAGAATTTTGACACTGCAGTGCTCTTCAAGGATGTTACAAGTGGACCACCAGTGTGAGATGAGCAAACTCAAGCTTTTCACGTCCCTGATTGCCGTTCAGGGAATTCCACCTGCAGCTGGTGAACAGCAGTAGGGCAGCATTTTCTAGGTTCACCCAGCACCTAGATAGCCTATGTGGTGGTGTTTTCTGAACCCAGAACAAAAGTGCACAACAATGATGTTCACCTTGATTACTCAGTGAAGGTGGTGTTTGTCATACCTATCCAAAGCAAAATTACGCATTTGCCTTTAGTCAGGGTTCTCCAGAGGAACAGAACTAACAAGATAAATGTGTATATAAGGGGGAGTTTATTAAGGAGTATTGACTCACATGACAGAAGGTGAGGTCACACAATAGACTGTCTGTAAGCTAATGCACAAGGAAGCCAGCCTGAATCCCAAAATCTCAAAAGTAGAGAAGCTGAGAGTGTAGTCTTCAGTCTGTGGTTGAAGGTCTGAGTCCAAAAGCTGAAGAACGTGGAATCTGATGTTTGAGGGCAGGAAGCATACAGCACAGGATAAAGATGTAGACTGGAAGTCTAAGCCAGGCTAGTCCTTCCATGTTTTTATTAGGGTTCTCTAGAGGGACAGAACAAATGGAATATATGTATATATAAGGGGGAGTTTATTAAGTATTTATATTAATATATAATTAATATAGTTATATATTAATAGCATATATTAATTAATAATATATATAAATGGGAATTTATGAAGTATTAACTCACAGGATCACAAGGTCCCACAACAGCCCATCTGCAGGTTGACAGCCTGCAGGCAAGGAGAACCAGTCTGAGTTCCAAAACTGAAGAACGTGGAATTCGATGTTCAAGGATAGGAAGCATCCAGCACTGGAGGAAGATGTAGGCTGGGAGGCTAGGCCAGTATCCGTTTTTCACATTTGTCTGTCTGTTTATATTCTAGCCATGCTGGTAGCTGATTAGATTGTGCCCACCCAGATTAAGTGTTCATCTGCCTTTCCCAGCCCACTGACTCAAATATTAATCTCCTTTGTCAACACTCTTACAGACACTCACGAACAATACTTTGTATCCCTCTATCCAATCAAGTTGCCACTTCAATATGAGCTTGTTGTTTCTCATTTCACTTAATGATTTATAATCCATTAGTATCATTGGTCATTTTGATACTCAAGCTGTCTCCAAAATGGCCAGTGGTAGCTTCTCCAAATTGGCTTCTGTGTCTTTTTCTATAATTTCATGACTCTTTGAATATTTTTTATACGTTATATTCCTGATTAGTATCTTACACTGCTCCTGACTCAGCCTGGGATTCTGCAATTTTTCCAAGGAGCCCTGGAATCTATAAATGAAGAATGATGTATAGAAGCCAAACTCTGGATCCACAACATGCTCATTAACATTGGAGTGTCCTCATGCCCAGAGCCTCTCAGTGAACAAAATAGGCACACATATACATGGTGGGGGCTATGGCTTTTCATCCCCAAAATATTTGCTGAAAATCACTGACATGAGGCAGATTGATTAAGAGGAGAAAAGGCATACCAATTTATTTAATGCATATACACTGGAGCCTTCAGATTAAAGACCCAAATTCTCAATCAGATCGAAAAGCTTATATGCCACCCTGGGTTAGAGAAAGGATCAGGACTTGGATCCTGGTAAAGCAGGTGATGGGATGGGGAGAAGAATAATTCTATTGAGGGAGAATAATTTCTATTCTAGGGAGAAAATAATTTCTAGGGAGAATGACAGAAGGGGATCAGAGATTAACTTCTGAAGAGTTCTCTTTGGAGTTAAAATGATCCTAGGAAGACACTCATTATAGTCGTAAAAAGGTCTGCTCAGTTGTGGGGTCACATTTTGGTCTTTTCTGAAGCAGACAATGAGATAGCAGAGGGAGGAAGAAAAAACAGTGGTTCTCCTTTAGGGGCCTGGATATTTGGCAGATAAGGAAACTTTGGCTTCTCTGGGTGAGAAGTTCAGGGGAGGATATCAGAGATACCTTGAGGCTTCTTTAGTTAGCACATCAAAATGCAGTATTTGGGAGTATTGGGTTCTGAACCCCAGCAACATGTACCTATATTTGTTTTCTTTATCTCTCAAAAAGTCTGTTTTAAAGACTATTACTTGGTGCTGATACCTCCAATTCTATATCCATACCCACTGTGTTTGTTTCACCTTTCTATGTTCTTAATTGTAATTTGCCTATCTAGCAGAAATTTGACTCCCATTATTCTTAACATTTGTGCTTATTTTTATTTGCCCTTCCCCTCTATATGTATCCAATCCTCCAAATCAGCTGTCATGTCTTTCTCCCGAGACAGATGTTCACTCCTGTATGTATGTATTTATTTTTATTTTTGAGAAAGAGTCTTGGTTTGTCACCCAGGCTGGAGTGCAGTGGCATGACGTCAACTCACTGCAACCTCTGTCTCCTAGGTTCAAGGAATATTCATTCCTCAGCATCAACAGTAGCTGGAATTACAGGCAGGCACCACCACACCTGGCTAATTTTTTCCTACTTTTAGTAGAGATCAGGTTTTGCCATGTTGGCCAGGCTGGTCTTGAACTTTTAACCTCAAGTGGTCCTTCCACCTTGGCCTCTCAAAGTGCTGGAATTACAGGCATCAGTCACCATGCCCTGCCCGCTTCCCCATATTTAAACATCACCACCTCACACCACACAGTCTTCCTGTGTGGTCACCGTCCTCACACTGACTCTGACCTCTTTCTCTGGACTACTGGGGCTCTTTCCCCTCTCCAGTGTTGACACCTGTCTTTCTCAACCCCATGCTGTAGATTCAGGACTAAATTTGTCAGAGGCATTTGAACAAGCTTGACCCCATCTTGACCACAGGCTCCTACCTCCATGCCCTGGGCATTTTTTTTCTTAAGAGATGGGATTTCACTATGTTCCCAAAGTTCATCTGCAACTCCTGGCTTTGAGTGATCCTTCTGCCTCAACCTCCCAAAACACTGGGGTTACAGGTGTAAGCCATCGCACCTGGTTCCAATTTTCTATTATGGCCATGGTTTGAAAGTGTTCCTAAAATCCATGTATTGGAAACCTATTCTCCAATGCAATCATGTTGAGAGGTGGGGCTTAGGAGAATTGCCTAAGGGTCCTGAGGCCTCCAACCTCATGAATGGATCAATGCTACTTATAAAAGGGCTTGCAGACAGGAGTTCAATCTCTTCTCTCTGACATTCTTTCCTTCCATCACAAGATGATGCATCATGAAGACCCTCAATAGATGAGGGTCTCTCAATCTTTGACTTCCCAGCCTCCAAGACTGTAAGAAAGAAATCTCTATTCTTGATAAATTACCTCATCTGTGGTACACTGTTACAGCGCCACATAACAAATTAAGGCAATGAATGAGAATGGAAATGTTTTTCATCCCCAGCCACAGTTTTCAATATTTCACTTGTTTATGGTTTAATTAAAGAAAGGAATGCAGAATAAGCAAGTCTTTATTCAAACTTCATTGGTCAGAAATGACAAATAAATGCTATTTGGATAATGTAAAAATAAGTGGTACATATACACCATGGAATACTATCCAGCCATTAAAAGAAGTGAGATGACGTCCTTTGCAGGGACATGAATGGAACTGGAAGCTATTATCCTCAGCACGCTAACACAGGAAGAGATAACCAAACACAGCCATGTTCTCACTCGTAAGTAGGAGCTGAACAATGAGAACACAAGGACACAGGGAGAAGAACATCACACACTGGGGCCTGTTGGTTGGACCTGGGGAGGAAGACCATAAGGATAAATAGCTTATGCATGTGGGGCTGCATACCCAGGTGATTGGATAATAGATGCAGCAAACCAAAATGGCATGCATTTAACCTATGTAACTAACCTGAACATTCTGCACATGTATCGTGGAACTTAAAATAAAAGTAAATTAAATTTTTTAAATGTACAAAAAAATTTATTTTGAATACAACCAAGCACCCACTAAAAATGGCACCAAAAGAAGGACAGGTTCTCAGCACAAGCCATGATGCTAGTTGCTAACACCCACTCCTCTACTGGGAAAAAAAAAACACAGATTTCAGTGATAAGAAAGATAACTCAAATGACCTTGTCCATTTCATTGCCAATGCAGTTTCCAATGAATGTTCCTTGAAATCAGCATCATCTAGATAGTGTCAAATATGTACACATACAAAATAAAAAGAATGTAAATCATGACAGTGATCATATTTACTGGATACTCCAAAACATGCTGGGAGCTACTCTCTACAAGTGGAAAAGATGAATGGACATTGTGCTCCAACATTGATTTACATAGATCCTTTGGTATCTTTCAATAAATATTTCCTTTTCCACACAATAAAGGGATCACATGTAACCAGTCAATTTTATCTGTAAATCTTTCTAGGGATCAGAGAAAACCATAAAGTACTAAAATTTTCAGTGCTTTCTAAAGTAAATTTGAGATTCTGAGATAACAGACATTGCCAGTAAGTAAGTCAATACTGCTTAAAACATAGCAGGGAAACTGCCTTTGCAAAATTATGACTGAGACACTAAAACAGATGTAATTTAACTGACTCCATCTTGCTTCTAACTCCCATGCTGTTCTTGTTCATTCCTGGGTATAGGCTGAACTAACTTTGGGAGAAATTATTTTATAGTTTCTTATTTAAGACAAAGACAATAACAGCCTTTTCCCAGAGCAGACCTTCTTCTTGCCTGGGAACTAGATTGCCTTTGTAGGACTAACATTAGCCACAAGATTAGAAATTATGGTTTAGGACTCATACAGTTAGAGGCTACAATATTCTGACCCTCTCAAACTGCTCTTAAGAACAGTGCTTGAAATATTTTGCAGAACCTGGATTTGATGGATAAGCTGGCACTACACAGATCAATAACTGGCCCAACTGACCTTGTGGACCCTGAACAGGAACTGACTCAGCACAAGAAGACAGCTTCAACTCCCTATGATTTAATTCCTGACCAATCCCTTCCCCACTCACTGGCGTCCCCCCACTCACCAACTTGTCCTTAAAAACTCTGCTGCCTGAATTATTGGGGAGACTGATTGAGTAATGATAAAACTCCAGCCTCCCACATAGCTGGCTCTGTGTGAATTACTCTTTCTCTATTTCAATTCCCCTGTCTTGATAAATTGGCTCTGTCTATGCAGAGGGCAAGGTGAACCCATTGGGTGGTTACAAGACCTGGTAAAAAGTCAAGAATAAAATGAAGAAAGATGACGTCAAGTACTAAAAGTTTGTGTCTTCCGTACTGCCCCAAATTTATATGGTGAAGCCTTAATTGCTATTACAATGGTATCAGAGAAGGAGCCTTTGAGGGGTAAGTAAGCCATGAGTACAGAGTTTTCATCATGGGATTAGTGGCCTTATAAGAAGCAAGAAGAGAGAGATGATGAATCTCAGTCCACCATGTAAGGATACAGCAAGAAGACACCTGTCTGCAGGCTAGGAAGAGAGCCTTCACCACCCAGTGGATTTGCTGGTGCCCTGACCTTAGACTTCCCAGCCTCCAAGCAGTGTGAGAAATGAATTTCTGCTGTTTAAGCCACCCAGTACTCTGCTGTATCAGGCCGATCTAAGTCAAATGAAAAACAGGGGAGAAAAAGACACAGACCACACAGACCAGACCTGGGCTGACACCACAGGGACAGCATTTCTACCGTGAGACATTAGGAATCCTCAGATTCACTTCCATGGCTGTTGACAGTTTTGTCTCCCGTCTAGTTGACCATGGGTGCAATGCTGTGGGTTTCTATTCTAGTTGTTTGTGGCATAAAAGTCATTTACTAGAAAGTTTATCATCTACTTCATGGGAATTTAGCTAAAAGTTTCATGGCAGAGTAGAATACTAGAATGTGTCTCACTTTGCACAGCATAGTTCTCAGACATGGTGCAACTGTTGGAAGGAACGTGGGCAGTGTGGCACACAGAACAGCAAGCTGTTGGAAGGAATATTATCCTCTCTAATTAAAGAAGTAAGGGAGAGGAGAATTTCATCTACCTTACAAGAGCCTTGCCTTCCATTTGCATGATATGTTGTCGAAATTGAGTATAAGCCCTCAGACCAGTAGCAATTTGCAGGTACATAGAGCTTGGAAAAGGAAAAGAAAGAAGCCCATTTCTCAAAATCAAGGGAGATTCTTAAGGGCTCTCAAAAGAGGGCAGCTCCATCTCTCAATATAGGGGGAAATTCTGAGGTTCCAAACTTAGTAAACACATTTTAGGCATATTTCAAAGAAATCAGAATCCAGGTACAACTTCCCAGGAGCTGGGTGACTTCTCTGTTGTTTTTTTATTTGCAATGTAGGTGTACTTATATCTATTTTACAAGGTACTTGTGAGGATTGCAATAGAGCGTACATGAAAAACTTCTGATACATTTTAGTGGCTCAGAAAGTAGTCATGCTTCTTCCTCTGGCATGCTGAAACTTGGTTCAGAAACGTTGATTTGTTTCAACACTATTCTTAGAAGTGGCATAACATAATTTTGAAATACTAAGTGGATTTTGAAACAAAACATTCCAGTGACACGGCCATAACTTTGTAGATATTCGGCAAACATCAGGCTTTATAGATCTTACCTCATTCCACATTTTACCTCACTCAAAGAGGTTCTTATTCAATAGTTAATGGATTGAAGAGATATGTTGAATCATTATTCTTTAAAATGCACTGAGATAATGTTCTGGGCACTGAAAGAAGGCTGGTGAACAAGATGTAGTTTTCTACCTTAACATAGCTTAAAATAGACTAGAGAATTACGTTATGTGAAGAGTAATCAGAAATACTTAGGGGAACACCTAACATGGTGGTCTGGGAACAACCCTTAGAACAATAGGGATGGTCTTCTGAGAGATACGTATACATAGAAAAGGAATAGATGAGGATGGACATGGGGGATCTGGGGAGAGGGAAGCATAACCCAGGAAGCCAATATCCCATTGCCACAGGCTGAGAAAAAAAGGATCCTAATGTACTTTTAGAACTAGGTGGTTAATCCCTGCTAAAAACCCAAGTAAAAAGCAAATAGCCACAAGAGGTGAAGCTAGAGAGATAAGTAGTAGAATGAGTTAGGGTTGGGGTAGTAGAACAGCAAAGATTTAGACACAAATCCAAAACATTAGACAAAGGTTGCAATTCCTACAGACCCACAGGGAAGCATTCTTCATGGATTCATTTCAGTGACACAAAGAAAAACCCTTTGAAAATTATTGCTTTCTTATTAAATATAGAATTTATTGGCCTCTGTTGGAAAAAAATAGGCATGGAAGGAATTGGCTGAGATGAGTAAGTAACAGGCTCGAGTAGAGAAAGCATTTGGATTTTCGAACTGTTATCACAAGAAAAAAGAAGACCTGATTTGAACTCTTCGTAAGGAAAAGTAAAACCTGGAGAGATCAATGCAGCAATATGCAAGACGATTGAAGACTGCAGATACCAAGGCGAAGAAAATGCATGGAGCTGTTTTTTAAAGATAAGATAATGTATTACATTTCTTGATGCTACAGTTCCCCTGGAGAATATCACTGTAAGCTACAAAGTGTAGCTGTGGACCAAGGAAATGAAGACCAGTGAAGGAGGGAAGTAAATATTGAGGACATCAGAGAAAAAATTTTCCTAAGCTGAGAAAATAATTGAGTTTGGTGACTAAGAGTGCTTGCCAAGAATGTCGTAGAAACAGGAAACAATCATATACATGCATTAAAGCAGGAAATATAAGTGACCTAAAAAATGGAAGGAAAAAAATAGCTTATCCTTGGGGGTTTTCCACTAAAAAAATGCCATAAGATGATTTAAAAATTATACAGAGCTTTTAAGGAAAATGGTTGTGGGGCATCATTTGTAGGCATAGTTCATTTCGTCTCTGAAGGAAATGCAAAGTCAATCATAGAGGGAAAGGGTCAATAATTTAAATGTGTATTGTGGGTACATGTTTGAATATGTCACATTACATCAACTGAATGGATTCTTTATATATATATATATATATATAAATTGTGCAAACATGTAGAAATTTAGGAAATACAATGTACCATATTAAGTATTAACCAGTAAAATATAATTTGATATGAATATGATAGCAATGCACAAAATATACCTGAAAAAATTAGGTTGAAATATAGCCACATGTTACTAGTAACTGTCTCTGGGGAAACTTACTATGATGCTTTTATTTTTTCCCCTCTTCAGTATGTGAAATGTAAACTTTTGGCCAGTTGTGGTGGCTGTCCCATATAATCACAACAGTTTGAGGCCAGGGTGGGTAGAAGGCTTGAGCTCAGGAGTTTGAGACTAGGTAGGGTAACAGTTGGAGATTTCTTTCTGGAAAAAAAAAAAAAATTAGCCAGGTGTGGTAGTGTGCACCTGTAGTCCCAGCTACTTGGGAGGCTGAGGTAGGAGGATCACTTGGCCCCAGGAGGCAGAGGTTGCAGTAAGCTGAGATTGAGCCACTGTACTCCAACCTGGAGAACAGAGCCAGACCCAGTCTCAAAGAAAAAGTGACGTTTTCTAGAGTTAACCTGCATTAATTTTGTAAAGAAAAACAAAACTTTAAAAAATAAAATCATGTATTTTCAAGGTATTCATGAGCTAGCATGAAATCTGGACGTGATCACCAGGCTGGCACCGTCACAACCCCACAGGAGCTGATCCCTTTGTTTGCGTTTCTACTTTCCAGCCTCTACATGTGTCTTAACCTTTCTGCGTGGCATCACAGTCTTCCATTTTTCCCCCTATCTCTTCCCTTTCTATTTACCTCATAGCTTCTGCTGCTACCTCTGAAATTTGGGCTTCCTTAGTGTGTTGAATAGCATGACCTCTAAGGTTTCTGATTTTTCTTCCTCATTCTGTTTCCACATTTGAACTCAGTTCTCATTTTTCAACACCTCACTTTCTCAGTGTGTTTTCTAGTTGATATTTCTAGAAGGAGCCTACCCCTAGTCTGTGTCATCTCTTCATACTAGACCACACCTTATGTGTCTGGCCTCATTCTTCCTCTTAGGTCAGATTTCCCTCCCCTTGGTCCCATACACAGCATTCAGGGAATAAAAACAAGAACTATCCATAGTAGATCCTTCAACATGGGGTGTGGCCAGGGCAAGGAGTATGGCATGGCAGTCCTCCTCATGATTGAAAATCCATACATAAAACCATTGGCCCTGCTAATAACAGACATTTAGCTAATTGCTGTTACTCAACGCAAATCGTGGTTTCACTGTTTAAGCCATTGATCTGTAGAGGATGAAAATGAATCTTTGCCTCTATTGACATCTAATTCTCATCTCCCTTCTTGTTTTCCCTTGAAATAATGGGATGGCTTTAAGAAACCTATGTTCATTAGATACATAGGTTACTGGAAATGTTTATAATGGTACTCTTGATTGAGTAATGTACCATGTACCTGACACCCATTTAGTTATAGGAACAACCTTAGGAGGCTAGTATTATTATTACTGTGTTATATATAATGGAAGCTGAGCTTAGAAAAGTGACATGACTTACCCAGGGCCATATGGCTTACAAGTGGCTGTGTCATGGCTGGAACTCAGGCTTGGTGGCTTGTAAAGCATGACCTGCCCCTGCCTGCACCATCAGAATACACTATGGGACTGGAACAGTGTCTCATCCCTGTAATCCCAGAGCTTTGAAAGGCCAAGGTGGGAAAATTGCATAAGGCCAGGAGTTACAGAACAGCTTGGGAAATGTAGTGAGATCTCCATCTCTATAAAACATAAAAATAAAAAATTAGCTAGTCATGGTGGCAGGTACCTGTCTGTAGTTCTAGCTACTATGAAGGATGAGGTGGGAGGATCATTTGAGCCCAGGAGTTGGAGGTTGTGGTGAGCTATGATCACAGCACTGCACTCCAACCTGGGGAAAGGATAAGACTCTGTCTCAAAAAATAAATAATAACACAAAAGAATGCATTGTAGAGCATATATGCATATAGATGAACATATATGCATTGATGTGAGAGATAAACACAAATTAGACACTTCTAATTTTTCTGGGGAGTTCTGATCACAAAAAATGAATTTGCTAATGCCTTTCCTAGAGAAAAAAGATGTATAATTTGAATCTAGCACACAGATAAAGAGACAATAGAGCCTTATCATGAGTTTCAAGTATGGGATGAGTGGTAGTTGTCAACTGGCATTTGTATAGGTACAGATTCCTTTCCATCTCTTTGCACACTTTGTCTGTGCTCATAAAAGTGGAGTTCGTATTATAAGTACATGTCTCTGGCTTTTCATCTTCATTTCATCTTCACTCCTCCAAATGCCCTACATATCTACACATGCCTTATTATGCCAATGATGAAACAAAACCAAGATGTAACTGGAAGCCATGATCACTTGAAAAACAAGTACTTCAGCTTCAGTCATTGAAGACAATGTTCATCAACAACTTGACAGGGCACATATGGGTGGGTATAGCTATACTGAAAGCAATTGAGTTTCCCAAGTTTAAGAGGTACACCTAGGAATTTGAGATTATGCCTTATGTGCACATAAACTGCTAAGGAAAGAAATCAAAGACAATTATGCAAATAATTTGAAAGAAACATAAAAGTTTCTCCCAGAAATTGTAACTTCACTTTTTGACAGTGGCATGTTTTATCTCTAATTAAAGACAAGAAACACGGTGGCATTTTATTCTACAAGTGGCCTGGATTCATTTTAAAATGTGTTCTTTAATAGGAAGTGAAAAGTTATGTAATCTCAAAGAGCAGGAGGATGCAAAAAATTTATCTTGAGTTCTAATAACTTGTCTACCACTCACAAAGGTGCAACCCTGAAGAGGCTTAATAAGCATTAGGAGTCCTATTTTCTCTGTAATTGTAGCAGAAGAATAACATTGCTTTTGGTATTGCTAACATGCCTGCTTGCCAAAAAAAATGGATTGAAGATTGTTTATATAAATAAACCCAATATAAACGTAGCTATACTTCATAAATCGAAAGACAACTATTTCACTGTAGAAGAAGGCAGGCTGTGCTGCACATTGAAACTTTTCTAACGTTGTTTTGTTTTCTCCCACAACTAAGATATTCTTGCTGGTGCAAATCCCTGGAAAACTGTCAAGTATCTTGCAAATGTAGGCATTATTACCATTCCACTTCACTTAGATTATTTCTATTTGTTTTTTGTATTTCTTAGAGTACAACTAATTTTATATATATAAAAATATATAAATTATTTTTGTTCCTGAAAGTGTACAGTGAGAATATTCCAGTGCAATTAATGTCTGCCCCGAAGCATTAGCAATTATTAAAAAAAAATTCTGTGTCAAGAGGTTACTGCCTATTCCACTGCCTGCAGCTGTGTCCCTGTGGGATTTTTCATACTGCTCCATTCTCTCTGCACTACTTCAGTCCTTATATGATCACAGCTCACCCTCCTTTATTCCCGAAAACACCTCCACAACAAAGCTGCTATTTGGAACCAGCCTTAGCATCAAAATATGCAATAACCTCTTTCCTCCCACATCGCTTTGGGGTGTAGTAAAGTGAAGGGAATGTTACTCTCACCTTTACAGAGAGAGAGATATAGAGAGCCTACAAACTTGTGACTTGCCTTAAACCCTCTGAAAAGGACAAGGCCTTCCAAGGAGAAATGCGATATGTGACTGAGGGGAGAAGGCCAGCCTTTACAACAGCAAATTCAACAATATCAGCTAAATTATGTTAAACAATTTTTATAGGTCCAATGTTCATGACCATATCAACCTGAAATAGCTGCAAGTCCCTCTAGGGAAAATTTTTGAAAGACTTTGAAATGGAATTGATGTCCTAACCATCTCATCCATCTGGCTTATTTCTGCCTCCATTGACCTTGATCAGGCTATTTACAACACTCTAAGTTATAGAACCTTGATAGCAAAGCAAATAATTTCTGTCCAAAGTGACACAAACGACATATGATGGGATGCCACTGTTTTTCACCATGTAAATTTTGCCAGTGTGACATTTTTTGGATGTGTCAACTTGGCCACATTATGCAACAGGAAACAAATACTAGCAGCTGGTCATTTATGCAATCATTTATAGATTCATTTTAGCTTTCTTTATTGGGCCAAAAATATACAAACTAATTGCCTATTTTATCAATTCCCTCATTAACTAATAAGTGAAATAAGATATTTAGCACATACTTACTTTACACCTTCACAGGAGTCTGGAATTTGTCTTTTTAAAAATTTTAATATCCCTAGGATCCCAGACACAAAGGAAGTTTTCACCTACTCCTGGTCTCTCAACATACCTCTTTATGTTCTCATGAGAAAGCTTGGAATCAGGTCAGGAGATACTAGAGAGCTCAGCTCAATGATGCAGGCATGCCATGCATGTTTACTCACCCCTAGAATCACAAGCCCTCTGGGAGGCAGAAGTGGAAGGATCACTTCAGCCGGGAGTTCAAAACCAGCTTGAGCAGCGCAAGACCCTGTATTTCCAGCTACTTGGGAGGCTGAGGTTGGAAGATTGCTTGAACCTAGGAGTTCGAGGCTACAGTGAACTCTGATTATGCTGGTGCCCACTGCACTCCAGGCAGGCAACAGAGTGAGACTCTGTCTCTTAAAAAAAAAAAAAAAAAAGGCCAGGTACAGTGGTCTTCGGGAGGCTGTACTTCAGGAGGCTGAGGGGGGCAGATCACGAAGTCAAGAGAATGAGACCACCGTGGCCAACTGGGTGAAAACTTGTCTCTATGAAAAATACAAAAATTAGCCAGGTGTGGCAGCATGCACCTGTAGTCCCAACTCCTCAGGATGCTGAGATAGGAGAATCTTTTGAATCCAGGAGATGGAGGTTGCAGTGAGCCGAGATCATGCCACTGCACTCCAGCCTGGGTGACAGAGCTAGACAACATCAAAAAAAGAAAAAAAGAAAAGGTGCAAGCCCGAAAGTGACCCCCATTTCACTGTCAATAAAAAGTGCAGTCATTTCACTAATTAAAAAAAAACACAAAGTCCCACCAGGATAATTAATATTGAGGGTCAACTTCATTGGATTGAAGGATGTAAAGTATTGATACTGGGTGTGTCTGCGAAGGTGTCATCAAAGGAGATGAGCATTTGAGTCAGTGGACTGGGAGAGGCAGACTCAACCTCAATCTGAGTGGACACAATCTAATCAGCTGCCAGCATGACCAGAATAAAAAGCAGACAGGAGAATGGGAAAGAGTCGACTGTCTGAGTCTTCCTGCCTGTAATCTTACTCCCATGGTAGATGCTTCCTGCCCTTGAGCATCAGACTCCAAGTTTTTCAGCTTTTGGACTCTTGGACTTACTCTAGTGGTTTTCCAGGGGCTCTCCGGCCTTCAGCCACAGACTGAAGGCTGCACTGTTGGTTTCCACACTTTTGAGGTTTAGGGACTTGGCTCCTCAGCTTGCAGATGACCTATTGTCAGACCTCATCTTGTGATCGTTTGAGTCAGTTATCCTAATAAACTCCCCTTCATAAATTCATCTATCCTATTAGTTCTGTTTCTCTAGGGACCCCTGACTAATATACCCACAAATACCTGACTTCTTCAATCATTGGAAGCAAAGACTTAAATCACTGAAAAGAGATGCAGCAAATGATATCAACCCCATAGTCCAGGCAAAGACCCTTCCTTCATAGCCAGAGCAAGGATAGAAGAAAAATCCTCTAATTTTAGAAAAGGAACAGAGAACTCATCTGGCCCCAGGATCTTATCCTAATATCAAGCAGTGCTCTGCTACCACTAGGGAAAAGAGCATGAATTGCCTCCCACCATAGCCAACCATAGATTCCTCCCTGAGTTTGGCTGTTGTGGAAGGGAGAAAGTCTCATTTCCCATCCTTGAGAACAGAGGACTAGCCTCAATCAAAGGCTGGATTAGGAAAAGAGAACCTACTCTTTCATGCCATCTCCATCACCAGCGGAGCAGAAACTATGAAGCAACAGGAATGAGCTGCTAGGGAAGGTGGGAGAGCACAAAGGGATGCCTACCCTGTAAGATGCAGTGGGCAGAGAAACCAAAAGCTGAGGGGAGAACAGAAACAATGAGAAAACCATGCCTGGTTTTTAATGCTTGCCTGATGCCATCTGAAAATTAACTAATTAATTAGATATATAAAAATTTTATATAAATATATATTAGAGATAGATTAGATAGAGAGATGATAGATAGATAGATAGATAGATAGATAGATAGATAGATAGATAGACAGACAGACAGACAGAGTCTGATTCTGTTGCCTAAGCTGGAGTGCAGTTGTTGGGATCATAGATCACTATAGCCTCGAACTCCTGGGCTCAAGGAATCCTCCTACCTCAGCCTTGTGAGTAGTTAAGCTACAAGCCCAAGCCACCATGCCCAGCTAACTTTTTATTTTTACTTTTGCAGTAAAGTAAATGTGGTCTTGCTCTGTTGACCAGGCTAATACTATTTTTGAAAGAGAGGCTCAGCATTCTCATTATGTACTGAGCCAGGGGCAAGACGGAGTTGATGCTCGTTTTCTGCTACTTTGCATGTGAATGCCAACATTCAACCCATTTGAACAGAAATTCCCATAATGTGTTTTCAGAAACCCTTAGTAACCAAAAGACCCTTTCAAGGAGTCGTTAGGGTCCAAACCATTTTCTTAATACCCCCAGACAGTGTTGTTTTTTTCCAACCCCCTTCCTCATTCCCTCCTGAGTTAATAGTAAAGTTTTCCAGAGGCTACATGACATGCAGTATTACAGCAGATTGAATGCAGAAGCAGAAAAGAAAATCTGTCTGTCTTTGATTAAGCCCACTAAAAAGATTAGTGCAAAACCATATGGTCTTACTCCCTGGTTTTTAAAAATTGTTATTTTTAATAAAAATGTTTCCGTATTAACCATGCAAAGAGATTATTATATATAAATCTAATAAAATCATAATACCTCACATTTTTACATTTTTGTTTCTACTTTAATAAATATAACCTACATTACAAATGTTATTTGAGATCCTCAGTAATTTGTAAGAGGGTAACATGGCCTTAAAACCAAATATTTGGAAGAGTGCTGAGTCAAAGCAGATAGCCTGCTAAACTGCTCCTACAACATACATTTGACAAAGGTTAAAACACTTTTTCCCGGAGCTGATATGTGTTGACTTGAGAATCTATGCATGAACCTTGACTTGACCTTGAGGGAGACCTCTGCCCTTCTTTGCTGAGGATACTCCATCATTTTAAAATTTTAAAGACCTAAATGACATGTTACAGAGATTTCAGAATATTTAACTGCTTCTCTTCCATGGTGACTGAAGATGACAATAACATATTAAGAGAAGGTGGGGAAAGATGACAATAATATAAGAGAAGGTATGATTGAAAGGAAATGATATATACTAGGAAAAATGGAACACAATTTTATATGTGCATAAATGTACATGTTTTGTGGTCTAGTAAAATAATTACAGGTGTGGAATTGATAAGCTATAGGAAAATTCTGTTTTCACTGAGTTTTAGTGAGTAGGATGCATGCTAGTTTTTGTACCAAATAACTCTGCATCTCACTACAACAAATGTTTCCTTCTCTATACAGAGATGTCCCTGGTCAAATGGTCCTGGGTGGCTTTTCTCTACAGCAGGTATTTTAATGTGTACACGATTCATCAGGTGGTACAGAATCATCAGATTCTGATTCAGCAGCTCTAGGATGAGATTGGGACTCTGCATTTTAATGTTTTATTTTTTTATTTGTGCATATTTATGGGGTACCTAAGAAATTTTATTACAGGTATATAACACATAGGCATCACGTCAGATATTCAGGGTGTTCATCATTCTGCTGCACTACATTTTTGCTGAGTACAGTTACCCTACTCTGTTGCCAAGCTTCAAATTTATTCCTTCTATCTTACTGTCTATATGTTCTATTTAACCCATGTCTCTTCATCCCCTCTCCTCTCATGCATCCATCTCAGTCTCTGTATCTGCTTTTCCACTCTCTTCTACCATGGGTTCAAATTTTTTAGCTCCTGCATGTAAGTGAAAACATTCATTATTTGTCTTTTTTCGCCTGGCTTATTTCACCTAATAATGACTTCCAGGTAAACCTATGTTGCTGCCAAGAGACACAATTTCATTCTGTTTTATGGCTCAATAGTATTCCATTGTGTCTATTTTCTTTATCTATTAATCTGTTTGTGAACACTTAGGTTGATTCCATATGTTTGAGCCTCTGCTTCCCAGGCTCAAATGATTCTCCTTCTCCAGCCTCACAAATAGCTGAGACTACAGGTGCAGGCCACCTTGCCTGGATAATTTTTTGTATTTGTGATAGAGACAGTGTTTTACGAGTTGGCCAGGATGACCTTGAACTCCTGACCTCAGTGATCTGCCCACCTTGGCTTCCCAAAGTGCTGGTATCACACATATGAGCCACTGCTCCTGGTCTTTTATTTTTCATTTTTAAATGAAAGCCATTTTGACTTAGGTAAGTTTAGATGAAAAAAATGCTTAGTATCACTAATCATCATAGAGACTGCATTTTTATGAGCCCTGAGATGATGCTTCATGCTACTGGCTCCTGGACCAGGCTTTGGTGAGACTATGAGCCCAAAGGCATGGGGCTCTGGTCAAAGTGTCCTTTCCCCCTGTGTCCACAGGAAGAAGAACTGAGGTTGGTAAATACCTATCCAGTTTCTGCCATACATAAATATTTAGCTATTACTATGCATATATTTAGGATATTTTGTTTCAGTTTAGATGTGTTAGTGCATTTAGCTTTTAAATGACCTTTTTCCTAATTTGTAAATGTTTTATATTTCCCATGTTGGTAGTTCAAGGAAAATAGAGTAAAATGTTACTATGCTTATGTTACATCAGCCTGGCAGGAAGTCCCTCCAAGTCCATAAAATTTTCTAATTTTCAACTATGTAGGAAAAAATATATATGGTAGTCCATTTCTAAGAGAAAGTGCCTTGAATAGGCTTGGGCCCGCAAACTATGGAAGAACAGGATACACTACGCCCCTGCTTTAATAGCGGGCGCCTTTTGGTTGGGGATCCCCTTAGTAACCCTCACCCAAACCAAGGATTTTAGTCTAGAATGAAAGTTTACTGGCCTGCAAAATAGCTCACTTTATCTATACTTATCAGCTTGCCTGACTATCTGGGTCATAATTCAACTACGTGAGGAGCCCAGAACTGACCATGACTGCAATGCATTATGGGCTGCACCAAAATGCAGCCAAACAATGCTAAAGAAAACACACCTAAAAGCCCCAAGCCAACAACCAATAGGCAATGTCTGGGAAGTTTGTGACCCCATGGTACTCAGCCTATGAGGAACCGGAGGAGGGACTTGAGTACTAAGGGATAAATTGCTTGTTGTAAATGTACGGACTGTGGCTGCCTACCAGATACCTGATCCTGCAAGGGGGTCATTAAAAGTCTCACTTCCACTGTTCTTGTCTCTGAGTCCATTTCCTGGGTTTGGATGGGTGAGTGTATTTCTCACAACCATGGCCAGAAAAATTTTTCTAGAAAGTCCATGTTTCATCCCAGTGTGAAGAACTAGGTACTTAGGTGCATAGGATGCAAAAGAAATAAGCCCAGTGAATTTGAATGGCCACATGAAAAAAGTGTCTTAATCCATTTTGTATGACTGCCTAAACATGATTATATTTTCTAAAATGTAAAAATTAAATATGGATGGTCTCAAAAGAAAGTAGCTTACATCTAAATTTATTTAAATAAATTTTAAGGAATTTACATTGTATTTTCCTATGAAGGCAACAAAGCATTTGATTAAAATTTTGTCTATCTTGCTATCTGCTATTTTATGCAATTACTATCCCCTTGGATAGTTCCCTTTTATTATTCCTTAAAGGAAAACTGCAAAGATAATACATGGATAAAGCTGAATAACTAGGCAGTTTTACAACTCTTGCACTTTGACAAAATTTTGAGTCAGAAACAAAAGTTGAGTTTTGAGAGAAAAATGTTAAATTGTACACCCAGTGCTGATCACTACTTGGGAGGATATATAGAAAAACACATTCTTTTGGTAAATGGAAGGTTTCTGAATTGTTGACCCCATCACAGATTCCTATACTTCTTTGATACATTTATCATAATATAGAAACCACACGGTCCTCAATGGCTGACCAGAGTATACTATTTCTGCATCTACATGAGGTTATTATGGAATGTGGTCTAAATCAAATGGGAAGAGAAGTCATACCACACAGGAGAATTCAATAGCCACTAACCTTGGCATCAATCTCCATATCGCATGAAGACACTGTTTCTGGAGCAAAGACTGAATTTCTGTAGAAACTCAGCCTTGTGGGAGAAAGTGCATAGGCACTGAAAAGGCAAAATATACTTCTTATATTCTGAGATATATAGATAAATAGACACAGGAATATCATTTAAAAGTCCATAGAACTGTCCAGGCACAGTGTCTCATGCCTGTAATCCTAACACTTTGGGAGGACAAGGTGGGTGCATCACAAGGTCAGGAGTTCAAGACAAGCCTGGCCAAAATAGTGAAACCCCATCTCTACTAAACATACAGAAAATGAGCCGGGTGTGGTGGTGAGCACCTGTAATCCTAGTTATTCAGTAGCCCCAGGCAGGAGAATCACTTGAACCCAGGAGGCGGAGGTTGCAGTGTGTCGAGATCACATCATTGCACTCCAGCCTTGGCAATAGGGTGAGACTTTAACCTAAAAAAAAAAAAAAAATTCTATAGAACTATAGCAGACCCATTTTCCCTTCTTGTAGAAGTGTTCTCTTAAGGAACCTAACGATGCAATTGTGAAGGGGGCGGGTGTTTTACGGAACGTTTATGAAAAGGCAAATGTCAAACTAATTTAACAAAAAATAAACTTAAAAACCAGGCACAGTGCATACACTGGTCGTCCCAGCACTTTGGGAAGCCAAGAGAGGTAGATTGCTTGAGCCCAAGAGTTTGAGACCAGACTGGGCAACATAGCAAAACTCTTGCTCTCAAAAAAAATTTTTTTTTTAAATAAGCCAGGTATTTTGGCATGTTCCTGTGGTCCCTGTTACTCTACAAGCTGAGGCAAGAGAATCGCTTCAGCTCGGGAGGTCAAGGCTGCAATAAGCTATGATCACAGCACTGTACTCTAGCCTGGGCAACAGAGAAATACTCTGCCTCTAAAAAAGAAGAATAAATTTAAGGAGAGAGTGGACAGATTGAACTTACCTGAAGTAAGCATCTTTGACTATTCAGAAATAAAATGTTTCCAAACAAAATTGAGTTTCAAAATGTGGCTATCATGATAAAGAAAAAATAAAAATTATTTCCCTGCTACTATATATATCTTAAAGAGGAGGATTTTTATTTCTTGGTAGTACTTTTTACTGAAAAGGTGAAAATGAAGCAAATGTTGCTGGTACAAAGAATTAAAGATAGCTCATGTCATTCCATCTCCCATGAAGAAAATAAACAGGAATAATGCTAAAAATGAGAGGGAAATGCTGCTGTTTTTTAATCCACAGGAAAGTGTCTGATATGGGTTGGGTGTGTCCCCACCCAAATCTCATCTTGAACTGTAGCTCCTATAATCCCCATGTGTTGTGGGAGGGACCCAGTGACAAGTAATTGAATAATGGGGCGGGTTTTTCCTGTGCTGTTCTTGTGATAGCGAATAAGCCTCATGAGATCTGATGGTTTTATAAACGGCAGTTCCCCTGCACATGCAAACTTGCCTGCCACCATGTAAGACATATATTTTCTCCTCCTTCACCTTCCATAATGATTGTGAGGCCTCCTCAGCCACATGCAACTATGAGTCCATTAAACCTCCTTTTCTTAGTAAATTACCCAGCCTTGGGTATTTCTTCATAGCAGTATGGAAATGGATGAATACAGTGTCACATCACAGAAAATCACTTAAATTCCATTCTTTACTTGGATTTATTTCACTTTATCTTTGTACAAATAGACACAGTAAATTTTACTCTCTTCAAGCCCCAGTAATTTACAAGTAGGAGAGTACAGTATGAATAGTATGAGTGTGCTTTTAAATAAGATGGGCAGCCATTTCTCTTTTACACAATACATTCCTAAAAATCAACAATAAAGTTGAATATGAGAAAATCAAATAATAACTTACCCACTAACAAGAGTACTTTAAGTCCATAAAACAAAAATTCATACTAAACTATCCCTTTCAGAAAAAGAAATCATTGATGACACTATGGCAGCATTTCATACTTGCTGTTTAGTTTTGTTATTTTTCTTTAGAACAGCAGTGGTGGGCTTAAGCCCAATAAGGTAGAGATTCTACCTTATTTTATTATCAATAATAAATTTTATTGATAATAATATAAGGTAAATATTCTACATTTTTCATCTCACTGAAGGATTTTTCACTTTTTTTTCAATCTCATTGACTTTTTGACACATATTACATATTTCAGTTGTAGCATGCTGGGTGTTCCATTTCCTAACCCTTAAGAAATAAAATTATAGAAGAAAAATCAGTAAGATATTCAAAGAACCTTCTTAGCATCACTGTACAAAGAAGAAGAGTCAATCTAAAAGTTACCATTCACTAGCAGAGAATAGTATTCAACAGAAGCCTATGGTTCTCCATGATCAGATGTCACAGGAAAGCAGAATTTTGCACATTCACAAATAAGTATAGATATAAATATATACAACCACAATGATAGATACATGTGTGGATATCTAAATCCTTATATGTACAATACATACATGTGTGGATATCTACATAGTTATATAACCATGCTGAGAGCTTGGAAATTCAGTTGAAGGCCAGATGGTGGACGAATTGAAACTCAAGCTTGGGAGATTGTCTGTGAGAGCATTGTCTTGAGCATAGCCAGAGATTCTGGAAGATAGTGAGCCAAAGTCATGATGATATCCTGGAATCCTGCAGACTGTGGCTTGGCCACCTTTCACCTGTGTGGACTGGGAATCTTTCGATCCTCACTGGCCCTCAGTCTTATAATCTGTAAAGTGAAAATGATAGGACTGTTGTAAAAATTAAATGTGAGTTCTATGTGAGGTCTCTTTAACATGGCAGGCATCCATTAGTGTAGGCTTATCATGATTATTGCTGAGACACATTCCTTGAGAGCATCCCTCACTGGGAGATGTGTAGAACAATGAAGTAGGTAAACGTGTGGAGAATGGTAGCGGTGAGGGTATGTAGGAGTTAGATGTGCCAAGAAATCTAGAAATTAACCAGGATTGGAGATTCTGTAACACGAGTCCAAGGAAAGAGACTCAAGCCAAAACAAACCTGACAAAAAAATTTTGGTAAAGTCTCAATTACTTAATATCAATTTTTAGAAAAATATTTATATTTTAGGAGAACCACTGGACATAGTAATGGCATAATCAAAGGAATTAAATAAAATGTTTAAGGTAATAGACATTTCAGTCATTTGTATAGCTAAAACAATAACTTTATCATTACATCATCATTATTATCATCATCACATGAGGTAGGATGTATCTATCATTATGGAAAGCCTAGGAATGTTTATCTATTGATTTGGGGGGATAATTATTAATATCGTTGATGTGCTTTGGCTGTTTCCTCACCCAAATCTCATCTTGAATTGTAGCTGCCTTAATTCTCATGTGTTGTGGGAGGGACTGGTGGTAGATAATTCAATCGTGGGGGCAGTTTCCCCCATACTGTTCTTGTGGTAGTGAATAAGTTTCACCAGATCTGATGGTTTTATAAGGGGTTTCCCCTTTCACTTGGTTCTTATTCTCTGTTGCCCGCTGCCATTGAAGACATGCTTTTCACCTTCTACCATGATTGTGATGCCTCCCCAGCCATGTGGAACAGTGAGTCCATTTAATATCTTTTTCTTTATAAATTATTCAGTTTCATGCTGCTGGTCAGAAGCGTGAAAATGAACTAATACAATCTTCAATACAATTCTTAACATGGAAGAAGGAACTGCATCTTTATCAGTATCATAAAAATGAACTAATGCAATATTTAACATGGCAAAAGGAACTGGTCATCTGTTCTGTCTGTAAACAATCCTGTACCTTCATCACAGAAACTTGCAATATTTAACCACCTCTTCATTCTTCAAGAATGATATTAAATGTTCCTTCTACTGTGCAAATTTCCTATTCCTCCAATATTTTCTATTATTGTTAATTTTCTGCTGTGTATACATGTCAGATACTGATCATGGTTTGTAATGTCCTATTGTCTGATAAATTGCTGGCCAACTCTTGGGCTGGACAGACTTTAAAATTACTCCCAGTGATCTGCACTTTCTAGCGTGTACTTTCTTTTATAGGCCTCTTCCACTGAATGTACCCAGGACCATGGGATATAAACGCTACATTTACTTTATGCTGCATAAAACTCCATCTTGCTAGTCTACTCTCATTAGAGACTTTCTCTCCCAGGGACATTGAAGAAGCCAGTGTTCATGTGAGCTGAGGACAGTCCATAAGAGTGGAGGGTGTCCCTCCTAAGACTAAACCAGGAAAAAGCTGAATCCCTGAATAGACCAATAACGAGTTCTGAAATGGAGGCAGTAGTTAATAGCCTACCAACCAGAAACACAAACAAACCAACAAACAAAAAAACCCACAGGACCAGACAGACTCAGAGCTAAATTCTACCAGAGGTACAAAGAGGAGCTGGTACCATTCCTTCTGAAATGATTCCAAACAATAGAAAAACAGGGACTCCTCCATAACTCATTTTATGAGATCAGCATCATCCTGATAACAAAACCTTGCAGAAACACACACACACACACACACACACACAAATTCAGGCCAATATCCCTGATGAATATCAATGTGAAATGCTCAATAAAATACTAACAAGCCAAATCCAGCAGCACATCAAAAAGTTTATCCACCAAGATGAAGCTGGATTCATCCCTGAGATGCAAGGCTGGTTCAATATACACAGATGAATAAACATAATCCATCACATTACAGAACCAATGACAAAAGCCACATGAGTATCTCAATAGATGCAGAAAAGGCCTTCGATAGAATTCAACACACATTCATGCTAAAAATATGCAATAAACTAGGTATTGATGGAACATATCTCAAAATAATAAGAGCTATTTATGACAAACCCACAGCCAGTATCATACTAAATGGGTAAATGCTAGTAGCATTCCCTTTGAAAACTGGCACAAGACAAGGATCTCCTCTCTCAACACTCCTATTCAACATAGCATTGGAAGTTCTAGCCAGGGCAATCAGGCAAGAGCAAGAAATAAAGGGTATTCAAATAGGAAGAGAGGAAGTCAAATTGTCTCTGTTTCCAGATGACATAATTGTATGTTTAGAAAACGCCATCATCTCAGCCCTAAATTTCCTTGAGCTGATAAGCAACTTCAGCAAAGTCTCAGGGTACAAAATCAATGTGCAAAAATCACAAGCATTCCTATACACAAATAATAGACAAACAGAGGGCCAAATCATGAGCAAACTCCCATTCACAATTGCTACAAAAAAAAAATACCTAGGAATACAACTTACAAGGGATGTGAAGGACCTCTTCAAGGAGAAATACAAACCACTGCTTAAGGAAATGAAAGAGTTCACAAACAAATGGAAAAACATTCCATGCTCATGGACAGGAAGAATGAATGTCATGAAAAGGGACACACTGCCCAAATCAATTTATAGAATCAATTGTATCCCCATCAAACTACCGTTAACTTTCTTTACAGAATCAGAAAAAACTACCTTAAATTTCTTATAGAACCAAAAAAGAGACTGTATAGCAGACAATCCTAAGCAAAAAGAACAAAGCTGGAGGCATCACGATACCTGACTTCAAACTATACTACAAGCCTACAGTAACCAAATCAGCAAGGTACTGGTACCAAAACAGGTATATAGACCACTGGAACAGAACAGAGGACTAAGAAATGACGTTACATATCTACACCCACTTGATCTTTGACAAAAGTGACAAAAACCATCAATAGGGGAATGATTCCCTATTTAATAAATGGTGTTGGGAAAACTGGCTAGTCATATGCAGAAAATATAAACTGGACCCCTTCCATACACCTTATACTAAAATTAACTCAAGATGGATTAAAGACTTAAATGTAAAACCTAAAACCATAAAAACCCTAGAAGAAAACCTAGGCAATACCATCCAGGACATAGCAATGGGCAAAGTCTTCACGACTAAAACATCAAAAGCATTGGCAACAAAAGCCAAAATTGGCACATGGGATCTAATTACACTAAGGAGCTTCTGCACAGCAAAAGAAACTATCATTGGACAGAACAGGCAACCTACAGAATGGGAGAAAACTTTTGCAATCTATCCATCTGACAAATGGCTAACATCGAGAATCTACAAAGAACTTAAATGTACAAGAAAAAACAAACAATCCCATCAAGAAGTGCACAAAGGATACAAACAGAGACTTCATAAAAGAAGACACTTATGCTGCCAACAAACATATGAAGAAAAAGCTCATCATCACTGGTCATTAGAGCAATGCAAATCAAAACCATAATGAGATACCATCTCACACCAGTTAGAATAGTGATCATTAAAAAGTCAGGAAACACCAGATGCTGGAGAGGATGTGGAGAAATAGGAACACTTTTACACAGTTGGTAGAAGTGTAAATTAGTTCAACCATTGTGGAAGACAGTGTGGTGATTCCTCAACAATCTAGAACCAGAAATATCATTTGACTCAGCAATCCCATTACTTGGTATATACCCAAAGGATTATAAATCATTCTACTATAAAGACACATGAACACATATGTTTATTGCAGCACTGTTCACAATAGCAAAGACTTGGAACTAACCCAAATGCCCATCAATGATAGATTGGAGAAAGAAAATGTAGCACATATACACGATGGAATACTATGCAGCCATAAAATGAGATTCTTTGCAGGGACATGGATGAAGCTGCAAACTATCATTCTCAGCAAACTAACACAGGAACAGAAAACCAGACACCACATGTTCTTGCTCATAAGTGGGAATTGAACAATGAAAACACATGGACACAGGGAGGGGAACATCACACACTGGGGCCTGTCAGGGGGTGCTGGGCCACAGGAGGGATAGCATTAGGAGAAATACCTAATGTATATGACAGGTTGATGGGTGCAGCAAACCACCATGGTACATGTATATCTGTGTAACAAAACTGCACGTTCTACACATGTATCTCAGAACTTAAAGTATAATTTAAAAAAAAGAAAAAAAAAAGAGTGGAAGGTGTCCCCTAGCCCATAACCAGCAAGAAGCTGGGCTCTGAGTTCTGCATCCACAAGGAAACTAAATCTGACAACAGCATGCCTGAGGTTGGGAGTGAATTCTTCCCAAGTCCAACCTCCAGATGAGAACTCAGCTTAACACTTTGAAGAAAGTCTTTATAGACTCTAAGAAGAAGACTTGGCTAGGGTTTTCCTGAATTCATGACCCACAGAACCTGTGAGATCATAGATACATATTGTCCTAAGTTTGGGGTACATCACCATTTCTATCTAGGCAGAAAGAGGATGCACATTACTGACCACTTTATGTCCAGTTCAGTGTAGGACACTAAACACTAGAGATCTTAATAAAGATATCTTGGAGATAGATGACTGGATAAATGATCTTAATAAAGAAAGAAAGGAGAAAGTAATGAATTGGAAATGAATGGCATTGAGTTCTTGCAAAGATTTACTCAGTCTCATTGCTGAGTTTTTGTGATGCTGGTAGAAACTCTGCAGCTAAGACAATTGTCTGCAGCTAAGACAACTCATATTGAGTCAATAGACATAACTATATGAGTAAAACCTTCAGAGATGGATGCAAAAGGGAAAGTCCTGCTGTTTACCAACTACTGATACTGCCAAAACTTTAAACTTCCTTTTATTTTATTCTTTTTAATTTGAATGGGGAGGATAGTAAAGCCTCACATAGAATAAATTAACAAACAACTTCAATGGAAAGATAGGTCTGTAAGCTTTTAAGAATGTTCTCCATATTCCAAGCCATGATCAATATGATTTGACTTCTACTGTTTCTTTCCAGAAATATCAAGGGACATTATTACTCAGCTGCAGCAAACTCTCAATTATGACTCTCCCTAATACCACATTAATCTTGTCTATTTAATTCCATATATGTTGTTTCCCTGATTATCATTTTTATTACACTTATGGAGAGAGGCAACAAATATTAAGCTCCTTAACGCAACAGGGGTTTTGGTAAAAGGTGAGATTTCTCTGTTTCTCTATTTCTATGGCTAGCAGTCCTTCAGATTGCTAGGTACAGTGTTTTGCCCATAGGATAGATACATTCATTCAATCATTCATTCAATAAACATACAGTGAGGACAACATTTGTGCCAAGCATGTGTAATAAACTTTTTAAAAATAGAAAAAAAAAAAGAATATGACTTCAGAGACCTTTTCGTTCTTCTGAAATCCAAGATTAGGCTTTGAGATCTTTTAGTTGTATTAGTAACACAATGCTACAGCAGAACTGAAGAAGATCACAACAGGAGTGGCCAGGGTGCTGTTTTAATTGAAACACTATTTGCATTTGTAAAATGAACAATACTTCAATAGACAAAACTTTATCTTCCTATACCTGCAAGAATATTCACACAAGGATATTTTGCATATTCTCACAGATTTAGCCCTGAATCACTATGGCCAAGTTTTTCATTGATATTCAATGACTTTTCATATTAACATCACTTTGGAATATATGCTCTTAAAAATGATACCTCTAAGAGATTTTGTGTTTTCATGATTAGTACATGGCCATGATTAGTTTTTCATGATTAGTGAAAAACTAATTTCATGACTAGTTTTTTATGATTAGTGTTTTAATGATTAGTACATGGCTAATTTCATCTAACCCCTTATACTAAAATTTTGATGAATGCTGTGAAAATGGATCAATTAATTCAATTGATGTCATGCTTTGCTTAAGAAAGAGAATGAAAGTAATTCATATTTTATGAATGAAAGGGAGCAGAGTCTTGCAATCTATGAATTTACATAAGAAAACACTCTTAATACAGATGATAGTTGTTCTAAACTTGAAAACCTATGGAAAAGCCTTTGTAACTCTAAGTCATTAGAAAGACAGATTTCCAGCCTTGAACATGTTCGTATTTCTTTCCATTTTTGGTTTCTATCAACTAAATCAATTGCATTCGGTTATTTAACTTCAATAATAAGTAAATCTGAACAAATATTGCCATAATAAATCAGTCATCCAGTGTCAGGCCTCTGAGCCCAAGCTAAGCCATCACATTCCCTGTGACCTGCATCTATGCATCCAGAAGGCCTTAAGTAACTGAAGAAACACAAGATAAATGAAAATGGCCTGTTCCTGCCTTAACTGCTGACACTACTTTGTGAAATTCCTTTTCCTGGCTCATCCTGTCTCAAAAGTTCCCCTACTGAGCCCCTTGTGACCCCCGCCTCTGCCCGCCAGAGAACAACCGCCTTTGACAGTAATTTTCCACTACCCATCCAAATCTTATAAAATGACCCCACCCCTGTCTCTCTTTGCTGACTCTCTTTTCAGACTCAGCCTGCCTGCCCCCAGGTGAAATAAACAGCCTTGTTGCTCACATAAAGCCTGTTTGGTGGTCTCTTCACATGGACATGAGTGAAATCCAGTAACTGGAATCACATGTTCACTAGAGCATGTCATGTAGGGTTTAAGAGAAATTCACAATTTAATCACATTCTCTGGCATTGAAAAAAACAGAAAAGTTAAATTACCTTGTTTGGCAATTTCAAGGCACCCCTGGAAATGTCCAGTTATTGTTTTACCAGCACATTTTGCTTCTGTTGATGACATAAGTCCACAATCCAATGTACTTTTAAATATATTGGAATCACAAATCGAGATTTCAGCGTTGTAACAAAATGCCTTTGAAGACTTTTCTTTTTATGAAAAGAAAGAAAACCTTCCTGAAACAAAATGATTTAATAATGATGAGAGGAGGCTGACGTGAAATTCTGACTTCCAAGCTGCACAGTGCCCCAACATTCCTGCTGGATTTTGTAGCAATTGAAATCAGAGACTAGCATTAAAGGATGTCTGTTTACCCAAAGTTGTCCAGGACATTTTACCTCCAGGACTTTTATGCAGCTCTTTTTCTCTTATTCTTTGATGCTAGCTTCATCTATAACTACCTCAGAAAATATGATCTCACTCTCTTTTCCTCTCTCCCTCTTGTGATGTTTTACTTTCTTGGAGAATCTGGGCTGTATAAATGCCACAAAAACTTGCATCAAACTGTTAGGGCACTGGATGTTAAAACACTCATTTTACAACTTAACCCACCGCTTAAATTGCACTGCCAAGATGACAGAGATTAAATCATAACTCCCAGAAACACAGTCTAGAACTTAATGAAAAAAGTTCTACCAAGATATGTATATTTTATATTGCTTCCAGCCAACGCTGCTCATGGTGAACCCATCCAGAAGTTCATTTAGAAAGTCAAAAAAGAGAAAGAAAGCAAGAAACAGCATCCCAGCAAAGGAAGTTATATAATTCTCTGGGTTATTTTTAGAATTTTTTCCATGGTGAGACAAATAACAGATGTAAGAATTAAATTAATAAGGTGCATTTAGCTTCTTCGTAGCACAGTGAGCTTTCTGACTAGTGGGGTATGCTATCTCTGCATCTATAAGGAAAAGCCTTCCAGAAGATAAGCATTGCTTTCACATTTCATGTTGACAATGCAAAGCAAATGTCACACTGTTTTCAACTCTTTATTTTTAAGCTTAGGAAGTGCATCAGAAAGAGGGGGAACTGATTCACTTTCTCAATAATTTGCCAGAAGGCTTTCTCCCTACTGCTTGGGAGTCCTCAAAATATTTCTTTACTTCCATACTGTTGAGCAAATATTGTTCTGTTTTCAATAGTTTCCCAACTCGTGCTTCTTAAGATGATGTAAAACCTGCAAATATCAGTACAGTTACACATTTCACTCTGTTCTCAAGTGTTGCTATTTATTATTGTTTTTCCTTCAAAACCTACTTTCTGTTGAATGCAGTTTGATTTCTTTCCAAGCCAGGAGGCATGTACTCAGCATAGCTATTCCATATCCACCATTTTTTTAAGGATATCGTGGAAAAAGAAACAATGCTCTGTGTTTCATAACAATTCTACGAATATTAACTCCACAGCTGGTGATGAAAATGTGCATATTACCAAAAAAAAAGTGGGGATCTCAGTAAGGATACTAAACAGAAACAGTGAGAAGCTCCTCATTACAATTGAACAAGGCACAGTCAGGATCTTAAAAGTATTTTTTCATAGTGAGTATTTCCTTTCTCTGACTCAGCAGATGAAAGCAAAGGAGCTCAGTAGTTTTGCTGCTGGGGATGCTAGCCAAACCTTTCATTTATCTAATGCCTCTAGCTTTCGTGCAGACTTTCAGGTCTCAGGTCTCAGAAGAAGCCAGCAGTATTTGCAGAGGGGCTGAATTAATGCTGAATGGATTTGAACTCATTCTGATGCAATTCTGCAAAAAAAGTTTCATACACTCACCATGACTGCAAGTCAGAGAACTTTTGCAAGACGAGAATTTTGAGGAGCAACTTAATAGAACCTGTCTTCCATGCAGGCAGCCTAAATTTTGTCAAAAGGTACAGCATATGCCAGAAAAATTTCAGAAAGCTTCCCCAACTCCCTGAAGTGGCCAAGATGAGGAAGATTTGGTGTTTCAAACACAGTCCTCTGCCCTGTGTGCTGGTCTGCTATTTTTCCCTTTTCTAAGTGGGGCATTGATTACTGAGTTGTGAGTGGAGGTTCCTCTTCCAAAACTATGCCTTCCTAAACTACGTCTCTAAGTCTTGGATGGAAATATCTCACATCTCAAGGCCCACTCATAATTCTTCTCCTGTTTCTTCATATCACTATAATGGCTATTTTTTTGCTGTTTTTGGAGGCTCCTTTGGAATTTTTCATTTCCTCACAGGTTATTTAAATAGTGTAATCATTTCAGAGCATCAGTAACAGTTAAGAACCAGATGAACAATATGTCTGTCTGAGTCATGGCTGCATTTTTTAGGCTTTAGACTTTCACGCCCCACACTTAATGCTGTCTTTACTTTGCAAGGCCTTCCTCCTATGGGCTGTGACTGTCTTATAAGTTGTAAATTCTCAGAACCAGCATTTTGCTGCAACTGAACTTCCTCTGACAAGAGTCAGCAGGGTTCAGTGTCAAAATTCATCTAATTTGGTGGCTCATGAAGACCTGCTTGTGGTTGGTGGAATGAGAACTCACTCTGTGTGAAGGAGCTTGCAGTCTCTGGCTTGCCTTTTTCACTGAGGACAGAAAACATAGGCTGAATGTTACCCACCATGTGAGGAGCTGAGCTGCCCCCCACTGTCAGGTTGATACCTTGAAGTTCTGAGAACCTCTGAATGTGACTTAATTTGGAGATACTCTTTAAAGATGGGGTAATCAAGTTAAGATGAGGCCATTTAGGTAGGTTATAAACCAGTATGACCAGTGTCCTTATAAAAAGGGGGAGTTTGGACACGGAGACAAAACACAGGGAGAAGATGGCATCTGCAAGCCAAGGAGAGAGGGATCAGGAGAAACCCACCCTGTTGACATCTTGGTCTTATACTTCCCACCTCTAGGACCATGAGAGAATAAATGTCTGTTATATTAACCATGCAGGTTGTAGTACTTTGTTACAGCAATCTGGGAAGACTAAGACTCTCCCACCTATCCATAGCCATAGGTCACCAGAAGGCTAATACTTTAAACCTGGGCTTTCTGACATTCTGCAAGTTATCAAATGTAGTGACAGGATGACATTTGATAAACAGGGAGACACTCTTTGATCAACCATGAAACTTTCAGGAAGAGCTTTCATGTGCTGATAGCTGAGTATGGCTTCCAGGACAAATCTTGCTACACAGCAAGAAAAAGTTTGACAAAATCAGCTGCATGAAACTCAAAATTTCTAAATAACAACGATGTCCTCAACAGCATAAAGAAGACAAGGCATGATGAGGGAAAATACATGCAATAAATCTGTACCAGTCATAATTCTCCAAACAAACAGAACCAATAGGTGGGATGGGCATCTGTATCAATATATATATCTTAGTCAGGCATGGTGACATGCACCTGAAGTCCCAGTTACTTGGCAGCCTGAGGCAGGAGGATTGCTGGAGACCAGGAGGTCATGGCTGAAGTGAGCCATGATTGCACCACTGCACTCCAGCCTGGGCAACAACACAAGACCCTGTCTTAAAAAAAAAAAAAAATTATATTGCCTGGTGTATATTTACAGATTATTGTATATATTATAAACATATATAAATATTATATATTTAAATATATTATATACCATGTAGAGATACATAAATATATATAATCAATCTTATATATGTTATATGGTATATACACAATTCAGCAGGGTTCAATGTCAAAATTGTTCCAATTTGGTGACTCATGAAGACTTGCTTGTGGTTGGTAGGACCAGAGCTTACTCTTTGTGATACATATATTGTATATGTATGTACCATATATAATAACATATGGCATATATATTATTACAATGTACATATTGTAATAATATATGGTATATAAATACATATGCTATATATATTATTACCATATATTATTCTTACAATAATATATATGGTATGTATTATTATAGTATACATATTATATGTGGTATATGTATATTACATATTATATACCACATATCATATATAGCATGATGTACATTATGTTTATCAATAAGCATTTTATATATAATATATGAAGATGTATTTATTTCAAGGAATTGGCTTACTGAGTTATAGGGGCTGACATGTTGAAAATCCGTATAGCAGCAGTCTGGTGGCCTGGAAACTCACATAGGGACTGGTGTTGCAGTCAGTAGACAGAATTCCTTCTCTTCCAGAATATCTCAATTTTGGTTTTAAGATCTTACAACTGATTGCTTAAGACCCATCCCATAATGAAGGATCACCTCCTTCACTTAAAGTCTACTGTTTGTGGATGTTAACTACTCTACAAAACACCTCACAGTAACAGCTAGTATTTGATCAAACTGCTGGATCTGATTGCTTAGCCAAGTTAACACATTATGGGCTAAGTTGTGCACTCCCAAATTCATGTCTTGAAATCCCAACCCTCAGTATCCTAGAACATGACAGTATTAGGAGATATATTCAACCCATGGAATCGTTGGGGGATAGGTTCCAGAACCGCCCCCCCACCTCCGGATAACAAAATCTACGAATGCTCAAATAACCTTACGCAAAATGGTGTAGTATTCGCAATTAACCTACAGACATCTTCCTGTATACTTTAAATCTGAGGTCCTCAACTCTCAAACCATGGACTGATATCAGTCCTGTGGCCTGTTAGGAACTGAGCCACATTAGCAGGAGGTCGCGGCAGACGAGTGAGCGTTATTACCTGAGCTGCACCGCCTGTCAGATCTATTGCAGTGTTAGATTCTCACAGAAGCATGAACCCAATTATGAATTGTGCATGCAAGGGAGCTACATTGTATGCTCCTTATGAGGATGAAATGATAAATGTAATGCGCTTGAATCATCTCAAAACCATCCCCTCATCCCCCAGCCCTACATCTGTGGAAAAACTGTCTTCCACAAAACCTATCCCTGGTGCCAACAATGTTGGGGATCACTGCTTTAAATCATTCCTATATAGCTGATTTCCTCTGTTGTTTGAGAATAACAGGGAAAAAAAAGTATGTATGTGTTGAGTGCAGACACAACCATCCACTTTTTTCCTGTATATTTTCAAATAGCAGTTGGTTAAATCCATAGATGCAAAACCAACAGATATGGAGAACTGACTAGTGTGTTTAAAGAGATATTTAAGGTAAAATAAAGTCATTCGGGTGGTCCTTGATCCAACAAGGCTGATGTTCTTATAAGAAGAAAAAATTGGCAGGGCGTGGTGGCTCACGCCTGTAATCCCAGCACTATGGGAGGCCGAGGCGGAAGGATCACGAGGTCAGGAGATAGAGACCACCGTGAAACCCCGTCTCTACTAAAAACACAAAAAGTTAGCCGGGCGTAGTGGCGGGCGCCTGTAGTCCCAGCTACTCGGGAGGCTGAGGCAGGAGAATGGCGTGAACCCGGGAGGCGGAGCTTGCAGTGAGCAGAGATCGCGCCACTGCACTCCAGCCTGGGCGACAGAGCGAGACTCCATCTCAAAAAAAGAAAAAAAAAAGAAGAAAAAATTAGGACACAGGCACACACAGAGGGATGACTATGTGAGGACACAGGGAAAAGGTGCTGTTTACAAGTCAAGGAGAGAGGCCGCAGCAGGAACCAGCTCCTTCCATACCTTGTTCTAGGACTTCTAGCCTCCATGACAATGACAACATTAATTCTGTTGTTTAGGCTAGCCAGCCTAGGTACTTTGTTAAGTCGGCTCTAGCAAACTAATGGAACAAAATAAAATAGAAAAATATGAACAAAATACAACAGAAAAATATGCTCAAAATACAAAAGAATGTGGGCTGGGAAACTTAAAATATATCCAGAACATTTACCACAAAGGAATAAAGACTGCCCTGTTGAGGGTGACAGAAAAATATATACATTTAAATAAATAAAAATGCTTTTTTCCCCATAAATACCAAAATGCAAAACAAAATAACGGTGGGGCTTCCATATTTTTAAACTTCCAATTTGTAGCAATCCAAAAGATGGATAAGGAATAGGAAGCACTTTTCTTATTTATTTATTTATTTATTTATTTATTTATTTATTTATTATTATACTTCAAGTTCTGGGGTACATGTGCAGAACATGCAGGTCTGTTGCATAGGTATACACGTGCCATGATGGTTTGCTGCACCCATCAACCCGTCGTCTACATTAGGTATTTCTTCTAATGCTATCCATTCGTTACCCAGCTAGCCCCCGACAGGCCCCAGTGTGTTTTGTTCCCCTTCCTGTGTCCATGTATTCTCATTCTTTTAAATAGTGACTGAGAATCAGGCAGCCCCTTGGGAGGGAAATCTGGGAGAACAGACCCAAGGTTAAGAGACACACAGCCCCTGACCCAGCACGTACTTCCACTTCAAGGAATACATCCGGAGAGATGCATTTCCACATCACAGAGAGATATATGCTGAAAGGTGTTTTCACTGCATAATTGCTTTGAAATATCACAAAAACTAGGAAAAAAAAAAAAACCTAAAATGGCTGTTGACAGAAGTTAGCTAAATCACAGTAGTTCAGACACTGAATGGTAGGCAGCCATGAGAAAGATCGCTCACGCATATGCAAGTACGTGCATGTTTGTTGTTGGGGGAAGGTTAGTGGGTGAGTAAATGTATGTGTGAATGAGTCTATTTCCAGATGGTTACTGGAGAAAGCTGTAACAGCAACAATCTCAGACAGCAGTGCTCAGAATCTGTTCTTCAAGGACAATTGACTCTTGTTTGTACATCTTTTCATATACTTGCAATTTTTTCTCCATATGTGCTCCAATTTTTGGTTAAAATCATTGATTAAATATTCATGAATGCCTCATTTCTGTTAACATAGTGCTACATTGGGCCCTATTCTTAAAAATAATCATGTTGATACTATACACAAGTGGCTTGTAAAACATTGTAAGATAAAGATTAATAATGAATTAATTTCTAGAAAAAAACAAATATGCCAGCCTTTTCTTGAAGCTATAAAATATCTTTGAAACAGTCCCAACTCAAGATTATCAGATATAATTTCCATCTTTTACATGCATTCTGAAGGCTGGTTACGATTCACCATATCCAAGCAGACTGTTATATAAAAGTTGACTTAGTTACTGAGCACATCACATCTTACATCTGTGTTTTGTGCTTATAAATACAGAAGGAATCCTTTGCAGTAATAAAACTATGGACCATAAACTGTGCATTCAATAGCTACAAAGAAGAAAAACCTCTGACCTTAGAGTCATAGTTTTCTATCCAGGTTCTAAAAGTTTTGGAAAAGATGATGACATGCTTAAAGTATTCTCCAAATGCCAACAATGTTCATTGCTGCCTCTAAGCAGACAGACTGTCATCGTTAAGAACACTTCTGAGAAGCTCACAGAAAAGACAGTACCTGATATTTATTTAATCGTTCTACAATCAAATTAGCTGCAGTTTCTTCTGCAGAACTCAGGTCATCTGACAGCTTGATGATGCAGAAGCAGAATGCTTCTTTCAAATACTGAGCCAGCTTTTATTGTGGGATTGAGTCACTGTTTGGTCATGTTTTGAGCATCCCTAATATCCCCAATATGCCACCCCAAAAGGCACTAAACTTAGAGCTGTGAACTCTAGTGCCTATTCTATGATGAACTATGTTTCTGGGTGGAATTGTGGCCACAAAAAAAATTCATATGCTGAAGATCTGCTACTTCCTACCTTCTCAGAATGCGACTTTATTTGGAAATAGAATCGTTGTGGATGTATTTAGTTAGGTTGAGATGTGGTCATTAGGGTGGGCCTTAATCTAACATCATGGGCATCTTCATAGAAAAAACAAATTTGGAGAGAGGCATACCAATAGGGAGAATGCCACATGAAGATAAAGACAGACATTGAGGCACAGATAGTGCTTGTATAAGTCAAGGCATGCCACGGATTGACAGAAAGCTACCAGCAGTTAAAAGAGAGGGGTGAAACAGATGATTGCTCATTGAAAGGAAACAGTGCTGGCCCTACCTGGATTTCAGACTTCTACCCCCAAGAATGATAAGACAATACATTTCAGCCAAGGCTTCTATCTAACTCCTGAACTTGTACTAACTTTTTATATGGACAACAATAAGGAAGGGGACATTAGTTTACCCAGTATGGACAGAACATCTGAACTGCAGAAAGAGGTTAAAGAGGTTAAACACAAAAGATTTCAAGAGAGATATGCTAACCCTATTTCGAGGAATGAGGTTTGGTCAGAACATAAACTTGGAAGTGAAAATTGAGGTTTAAAAGTACCCTATGAACAAGACTTCTGAAGTTGGGAAATTACCGTTAACAATCTCCAGAAGAAAATTATGCTCCTCAGATAGGAATTAAAATGTGCCCTCTCAGTGGGGTTTCTTTTTTATAAACCCAATGTATCATTTGTTTAAATATTTTCTTATTGATTTATTTTTTAGTAATTTTCTTTTTTAAATAATTTCAAATTTTATTTTAGAATCAGGGGAGTATATGTGCAAGTTTGTTACCTGGTATATTGTGTGATGCTAAGGTTTGGTGTAGAAATGATCTCCTAACCCAGGTACTAAACATAGTATCCAACAGTTTTTCAGACCTTGCCCTACTCCCACCTTCCTCCCTCTAGTAGTCCCCAGTGCCGATTTTTCCCATCTTTATATCCATATCTGCAGTGCTTAGCTCCTAAAAGACACATGCAATTTGTGTGTTCATAGCAGAGCTATTCACAATAGCAAAGACATGGAGTCAACCTAGGTGCCCATCCACAGTGGCCTGCATAAAGAAAACATGGCCTATCTATGCCATGGAATAATACACAGACATAGAAAAGAAGGAAATCAAGTTTTTGCAGCAACCTGGATGCAGGGAGAGTTGATTATCCTAAGCAAGTTAACACAGGAACAGAAAACCAAGTACTGCATGTTCTTAATGAGATTTTCTTATTTCCCATAAACACAATTTTAGAATATGCATGAGGCAACATTTGTAATTCAGGTATGCTAATTTCTCCCCTTGGGAAAAAGTAGGGTATAAAACAAGATATAATCAGGAGGTCTCAGACATAAAGGTCTCCATTCCCATGCTATGTGTCATCAAATGGTCAACCATGAGCTCTAACACAGGAATCTTAGGCTATCCTGTCAGGCCAGGCATCTATTGGGCTGCTCCTGATCTAATCCTTCCTGTACCCCACCAAAGCACATTCTAATCTAAAATACTATATAACATGACTATAAACAGTTGAGAGTGACAATATGTAAAAATGTTATGCGGGTCCGTGTGAAGAGACCACCAAACAGGCTTTGTGTGAGCAATAAAGCTTTTTACTCACCTTGGTGCAGGTGGACTGAGTCTGAAAAAGGAGTCAGCAAAGGGGGATGGGGTGGGGCAGTTTTCTAGGATTTGGGTAGGTAGTGGAAAATGACAGTCAAAGCGGGTTGTCTCTTGCAGGCAGGGGTGGGGGTCACAGGTGCTCTGTGGGGAGTTCCTCAGACTCATTGTCTGGGAGAAGGAATACCACAAGTTCAATTGATCAGTTAGGGTGGGGCAGGAACAAATCACAATGGTGAAATGTCACAGTTAAGGCAGGAACTGACTATTTTCCCTTCTTTTGTGGTTCTTCAGTTGCTTCAGGCCATCTGGATGTATACATGCAGGTCACAGGGGTTATGATGGCTTAGCTTGGGCTCAGAGGCCTGACAAAAAGAGATGACTTTAAACAGGTTTCTAGGTAAGTGTGTCCTGAAATTCCATGCTCTGGGGACCTGGAGAAATTCCCTCTCTGGGACAAATTGGCCCTTTCTGTGGCTGTGAAAAATGTGCTTCTCATTTCCTTGACTCCAGGGAATGATATTTACTGAGAGCCCAAGATGCTGGGCTTTGAAATCCATCACCTAGTTAGCAACTTGCCTATTCTACCTAGAGACTTAATCCCTCCAGTGACTGAGGATGGCTGGGACACCTAGGTGAGTCCTTTACTGGAGACTCAGGACTCATGATGGCCAGTATTGGCTGGAGTTCTACCAGATCAGCATTCACAAACTTCCTGCTCCCATCCTCTTTCCTTTATGGGAATTCAGAGTAGCATTGAGCTCTCTGTTGTCATCTCCCAGGCTCTTTGGGCTGGCAGGAAATCTCATCCAGAACATGATTTCATTCTTTTTTATGGCTGTGTAGTATTCCATGATGTAGATGTAACACAATTTCTTTATGCAGGTCACTGTGGATGGGCACCTAGATTGATTTTGTATCCTGAGACTTTGCTGAAGTTGCTTATCTGCTTAAGGAGACTTTGGGCTGAGATGATTGGGTTTTCTAAATATATAGTTACGTCATCTGCAAACAGAGACAATTTGACTTCCTCTATTCCCATTTGAATAACCTTTATTTCTTTCTCTTGCTTGATTGCCCTAACCAGAATTTCCAATTCTATGTTGAACAGGAGTGGTGAGAGAGGGCATCTTTGCCTTGTGCCAGTTTTCAAAGAGAATGCTTCCAGCTCTTGCCCATTCAGTATGATATTGGTTCTGGGTTTGTCATAAATAGCTCTTACTATTTTGAGATATGTTCCATCAATACTTAGTTTATTCAGAGTATTTAGCATGAAGTGGAGTTGAATTTTGTCAAAGGATTTTTCTGTATCTATTTAGATAATTGTGGTTTTGTGATTGGTTCTGTTAATGTGATGGATTATGTTTATTGATTTTTAAAAATCCAAAAATTGAGTTTTTAAAAAAATGTTTGCAGCATTTGAATGTCCCCTTTTCTCCTTTCTAGTCATGAATCTTTAAAAAAAAAATGAGGTTTCTGTTTTGGTGAAGGTATAAGCTTCCCAAGGAATTGGTATATCTTTCTATTTGCAAAGAATGTCTGCCTGTGTCTAATGAATGTACTTGACTCTTTTAGGATATTTTTCAGGATAAAAGAAACATGAATATGTCAGAATAGCTGAATATAAATTTTTTTCAAAAAAATTATTTGAGTTGTAGAATAAATGATAGAGCTGAAGAGAAAGTAAGAGCTCAGGAGAAAACCCAGTCTGGTTTACATATTTTCCTTTTCTTTTCTTTCCCTTTTTTCAAGTTCACTCCTAAGCTGTCCCACATACATATTTTTAGGTAAAAAGCTAGAATTGGCTGGCTGCGGTGGCTCACACCTGTAATCTCAGTGCTTTGGGAAGCCAAGGCATGTGGATCACGAGGTCAGGAGTTTGAGACCAGACTGGCCAATATGGTGAAGCCCCGTCTCTACTAAAAAAAGAAAAAGAAAAAAAAATGAAAATAAAAATAGCTGGGCATCATGGCACTTCCCTGTAGTCCCAGATACTTGGGAGGCTGAGGCAGGAGAATCACTTGAACCTGAGAGCTGGAGGTTGCAGTGAGCCATGATGCTGCCACTGCACTCCAGCCTGGTCAACAGAGTAAGACTCTAATACAATACAACAGAACACAACACGACACAACACAACACAATACAATGCAATATAATATGAATATGTCACAGATATCAAAGAATCATAGTAGGTTACAGAAGAATGGCAGTATGTGACTTTCTCTGGCCTAAGGACTCAGTTTAGAAATAATACTAAGACTCAGAGGGGTCAACTGGCTTGCCAAAGATTACAAAATTAATGGGAAAACTAGGATGAAGACTCAAATCTCAGTACCAGGTTGATGACTTTTGTGTGTGTGTTTGTGTGTGTGTGTAAATTTATCAGCTATTTTATCCTTACTACTAATCTCCTACTATTATAGAGTTTCTCTTGTTTATTATTCACAGGGTCTGTGGTGGACCCAGGCTAGGGAAGTCCCCATGATTCAGTGGTTCATATACACGTCCTTCCCCTTCAACATAGGCAGGAATAGTGACTTTCATCTAGCCAAAACATGGCAAAGCTGAAGAGAGTTTTATTAGATGTAATTTATATCCTGAATCAGTTGATTTTGAGTTGTCTGCTGTGAAGATTATGATGGGTGAGTCTGATTTAATCAGGAGAAAGGCCTAAAAAAGACTGATCTCTCACTGAGGTGAGAGATGCTCTTTGAAGGCCTGATGAAATAAGAGGCCATATTGGAGAAATTCAAGTAGCAAGGAAGAGTGAGTGTCCTCTGTGGAGTATGGGTAGCTTCTATTACCCAATTGTTGCCTCTAATCAAGAGGTAGTACAACTGGGAGTCTCCAGACACATAGCTGAAAGGAAATAAATTCTATCAAATGAGTTTGAAAATAGCCCCCTCCACATATAAGCCTCCAGATGAGAACACAGCCTAGCTACCCCCTTGATGGCAGCCTATTGAGAACTTGAGCAGAGGACCCAGCTAAGCCATACCTACACGACTGACTTACAGAAACTATGAGATAATAAACATATGTTGTTTTAGTCCTCTGTGTTATTACAAAACAGTAGTAAACTAACACAATATCTGTTCCCAAATGTTCAGCAAATGTAGCAGGTTGATAATTGATCACTTATAACAGTGGAAGCATTTATTAATTTTTTAAAGACTCTCAGTCAAGCAAAGTGGTTTGGGAGAATTAATAAATCAAGCAGCATTGAGTGAAAATTTAAATAATGCTGTTATTATGCATTAGTCGTCTAACATTTGTTTGTATTTGTTAATTTTCTTGTTTGATCTATTTAGTTTGAACAAATGATTTCCTTTTAAAGAATTAACTAACATGGGCACCAATAAAAAATGTGAATGAGGCCGGGCGCGGTGGCTCACGCCTGTAATCCCAGCACTTTGGGAGGCCGAGGCGGGTGGATCATGAGGTCAGGAGATCGAGACCATCCTGGCTAACAAGGTGAAACCCCGTCTCTACTAAAAATACAAAAAATTAGCCAGGCGCGGTGGCGGGCGCCTGTAGTCCCAGCTACGCGGGAGGCTGAGGCAGGAGAATGGCGTGAACCCGGGAAGCGGGGCTTGCAGTGAGCCGAGATTGCGCCACTGCAGTCCGCAGTCCGACCTGGGCGACAGAGCGAGACTCCGCCTCAAAAAAAAAAAAAAAAATGTGAATGAATAATAAAGTGTTAATAATGTTTATAAGAACTATGAGGCATATTGGAATAGTTCTTTTTTTTTTTGAAATTGCAATGTTGAATGTTAGATAAGTGAAGGAGAGCAATCTATTTTTCTACATTTGGATTAGAAGTCAGAGCAAGAGCATACATGAGCATTTGATGACCAGCAGTTCCAAAGCTAAGGTCTTATAAAAAGTCTTCTATGCCTGGATGATATCTTAGTATCCATTCCAGCAGGGTGGATTCTGTTAGTTCATATAAAGGCCACAACATGTTTATAAAAAGCCTTTTGGCATTGTTAAATAAAAGACAGAGAGACAAAAAATCTGTGTTAACTTCAAAAATCAATAAATTGCTGAGGTTTGCAGGTGAGCGTAAACAGCACATAATTAGAAAGATCTTGGGAGATGAAGGATCTAATATTCAAACCTGTTGTGCAATCAACAGAAGGTCAAATGTTCTGAAAGCATGTATCCTTAAGGTAAATATCCTAAGTTGTGCTCCACATTTTGTCTTGGGATAGAAAAAAATAATAACTAAGAAACATGAATCTCTGAGCATGATCAGTTCTTTGAAGAAGAACAACAACAATAATTTTAGGTATTTTTTTGACATATATATTCCAATTTACTCACTCTGATTAGTCATCACATGAATAAAATGTTAATTTATTAAATCTCTTAACCCTTAATATAGAGGGCTGTTAATTGCTTTAATTAATACATGAGCATATTGAGTCAGAGATAAAGTTTATTTGGATTCAGAACCAGACCCTTTAACTCTACACCACACTGACATTATAATAGAATTAGATGTGTATTAGTAATTCTTGCTGTGTAACAAATTACCCCCAAAACATAGCACCTTATGACAACCACTACTGATTATCACAGTTTCGGCAGATCAGGGACCTCAGCATGGCTTAAGTGGGTGTAGAGCTCAGGGTCTCACAAGCATGCAGTCAAGATGTTGGCTGGTTATGTTCTTATCTGGAGATTCAAAGAAGGAAGAATCTGGTTCAGGTATAGCCAGGTTGTTGGCAGAATTAAGTTACTTGCAGCTCCAGGACTGAGAGTTCTGTCCATTTCTTGCTGCCAAAGACCAGTTCCCCATCTTAGGTCATTCTCAGCAGCTTGAGAGTTGGGCCTCTCACCCTGATGACTGACTGCTTCAAAGTCAGCAAGAGAAGGAATCTAGCAAGAGTCTGCTGGCAAGATTGAGTTTTATGTAGCAGAAGGTAAACAATACACAGAAGTCACATCCCACGATCTTGGACACAACCAAAGAGTGTATCATCATACACAAGGGTGTGAACACCAGAAGGTGAGAGGCATTGAGGGTCACTTTAAAGTCTACCCACTACAGCCAAGAGGACATGTGGGCTTCTCCAATATGGCTGCTTATGTCATTGAGCCCACAAGGAGAACCTTTCCCTCTGCTGAAGTTAGACCTGCCCAAGATAATCACCCACTGGATTTACTTAAAATCAACTAATTTGGGATCATTAATTGCATCACAATTTTTTTCACCTTCTCTATATTCTGCATAACTAGAAGTAAGGCACAAGTCCTACCAAACTCTATGGGAGGGAATGGCACACAGGTCTGGACACCTCTATGGGGACCATTGGCATCACCTTAGAAATATATTGTCTATCACAATATATTTGAAATGCTTATGCACAAGTTCTAAAAATATAGAATTCTAAACAAAATTATCATTGGCAACTATTTATAAAAGAAAGAAAGATGTTTTTCAGGCATAAGTGACCCCAAAACTGTTTCATTTAGAACTTTATACAAACAATATGAAAGGATATACTTTATCATAAATATAAATAAAATGAAATAAATAGGAAGTTCTATGTGTCAATGTGCAAGATAAATAAGGGCCACTATGAGCCATGTTGTTAAATCTATTAATTAATGTTAATTGTAACTATAATGTTAACATAATATTAAAATGTTATTCCAAAAAGTAAGCTGCAATAGAAATATTAAAATCAATAAGGGATGAGATGTAAGGAAGGGCCTTCACCAGGTTGGGTACATTAATACAATTATCTCATGCAGAAAGAGGATAAAAGCTATGAAGTTTACTAGAAAGTTAGAAAATCTGAATATTTTAAAGAGCAAGTGGAAAAAGTAAGGAAGCTAAGCCAACAATGAATAGCATCCCCAGAGGCCAGAAAATAAGAAGAAAAAAAAGAAGTCAGCTAAAGGTCAGGGTTAAAAAATGGAAAATACAATTGAGATAGTAGAAATATGCCCATTTATCTGTTATCACACTAGACATGAAAAGCTAAACTTCCCTATTAAAATGGCACAGACACTCAGGTTGAATTAAAACTAAATAAAATGATAATCCAGCTTTAAACTATTTAATAGTGATACATCTACGAAAACTTTTTGAAAATAATGGAAATGAAACTTGCATACCATAATAGCAATAACCAAAATTAAGTTGATTGCAATAGAATTGAAGACAAAAGTAAGTAACAAAAGTTTAGGAATTTAATATCATAAGAAAAACATGCCATCAGATATCCATAATAATCAAAAACTCATTACATTGTGACTAAGAAGAGAGTGGTTTTTTTTGTTTGTTTGTTTTTTGTTTTGAGACAGAGTCTGGCTCTGTCACCCAGGCTGAAGCGCAGTGGCACAATCTCAGCTCATGCAACCTCTGCTCCTTCGGTTCAAGTGATTCTCCTGCCTCAGTTTCCCAAGTAGTTGGGACTACAGGTGTGCCCATCATGTCTGGCTAATTTTTGTATTTTTAGTAGAAATGGCATTTCACCATGTTGGCCAGACTGGTCTCGAACTCCTGACATAGTGATCCACCTGCCTAGGCTTCTCAAAGTTCTGGGATTACAGCTGTGGGCAGAAGAGAATCTTTATAAATAAGTAAATAAACATATGTGTGTGCATGTGTGCATCTAAGTATTATATATAGTATGTATAGTATAGTAGTATAGTATACTATAATATGCTATAGCATAGTATAGTACAGTGTAGTATGTATAATAGTATATATGTGTGTACATATATATATATATATATATATGCACATAAAATGACAGAATCACTAAAAGATATTTTAAAACCATATCTGTAGTGGAAGACTTGAATGAACCTTTGTCAAGTGTTGATAGAGAAAGCAGAACTCTCTTCCACCAAAAAAAAGAGAGTGAAAAGGATACAACGTATAATGTAGTAATTAACAAACTTCATCTGATTGATATATCAATATGTATCACAAAAAGACATTATGTGTTATTTTTCAGGCATCTAAATTATTTTGAAATATTAACCTGTGATGCAGACAAAATCTCAAAAATTCCATAGCCAAATTCATAGAGACAACATTCTCTGGCTATTGTGCAATTATACACCAACAATAAAGGAATATAAAACTATTTGGGTGACAGCTTCAGCTGAGGCCCAAACCTCAGCATCATGCAATATAATCATGTAACAAACCTGCACGTGTACCTCCAAATCTAAAATTTACAAATATAAATAAATAAAAATTAAAACATGCAGAATGCATTGGCTAGAAGAGAAAATTGGAAGCACACCGATAAAAAAACAATAAAAATGTTTTAAAATCATTATTTGAAAACACAAGAAGATGACTTTACATCCTTGATTTAAGAAGAAGCCTGTTGCAAATTGTTAAATCCACTGATTTCTTAGCCTAATTTTGGCTACTACCAATTATTACTGTTCTTGCAGAAAAATCAGAAAAATTCTGATTTTCCAGGGTCAGATAATAATTTTTGAAATGTGACTATGTTGTATGTGGTTAGCCTCAATTCTGTTTCCCTGGCACCTGGCCATTGAAATCATACATGGATGTAGAAATACACATTTGTTATTATTTGCAATATGTATTCATTTTCTTCTGTGATGGAAGCACTTATCATTCATGGCTGTATTGCTAAAATGTTCACATTTAGAACTTTCCATTTGCAAGAGTATATTCATCTTAGAAATATCTTGGGTGCTACTCAAGCATTGCCAAATAGTATACAGCAACTATATGGTACCTGGAAATATATGGATTTATGATTTCCCTAAAGCACCCAGGAAGGAGATGAAGGATTGAAAGATGCCATACAGCAAAGTAAAAATAGGGTGCAATCACTAATTACTATTTTTATGTTGACACTGAAATTTCAGGTGCAGGTTTTTAAGAAATATTCTACGTTGAAAATGGATTTTGTAATGACTTTCCCAGAACAATGCATCTAATTAAATCTCTTGAAAGAAAAGTGCTTTTCTTTGCTTTAGTAGAACTATAGTAGATAAAATCAATATAAAGATGTGACTTATGCATAGATCTATTGTTAATGCCGTTTTAAAAAATACTTCCCAAGTGATTTGATTGATGGTTATTTAAAATAAAGTCAATTTTAGACTTTACTTTCTTATAATTATAGCTACTATAGAGCTTTTAGACAGTTATTTACAATTTACAAAGATGAATTGACTACTCACCTGTGTGAGCACAGCAACTAACACTGAAGTTATTGCTATACCTGGTGGAATTCAATAATAAGAGGGTAAAAGTCTATGAAAGTAGCCTAGATAAACATTATTGCTGCAATTCATTGATATAATTTTGTCTAACAATGTAACAATTGCATTAAAGTCAACTGCTTTACTTGTAACCTGCTCTCATAATAAGAGGAACTAGGCAAATTCAATTAGATGTAGTAAAGTACTAACTTTGGCATGTTTGGTTCTAAGTGTGGAGCAATTAAAAAGGAAACAACATTCATTTCATTATTGTATGTGAAATAGGATTATCTTCACAATCCATTTGGCACTTTTCATCAACATATTTATTTTCCATGCATCCTCCTGTATCCTAAAATAGCTTTAAATAGTGATTTAAAGAAAGATGTTCTGAATATTTAGTAGCAAAGAGAATAGATCAATTAAAATTAATCATTGGAAGGTTGCTGGTTGATAATTAGAATCATGTAATTCATGTGCCTAAATCACTCTGTCTTTTTTTTTTTTTTTTTAAGACGGAGTTTTCCTCTGTTGTCAGGCTGGAGTGCAGTGGTGCAATCTTGGCTCACTGCAACCTCTACCTCCCAGGTTCTAGTGATTCTCCTGCCTCAGCCTCCTCAGTAGTTGGGACTACAGGCACTCACCACCACATCTGGTAAAGTTTCTGTATTTTCAAAAGAGATGGTGTTTCACCGTGTTTGCCACGATGGTATCGAGCTCTTGATCTCAAGATCCACCCATCTCAGTCTCCCAAAATGCTGGGATTACAAGCCTGAGCCACTGTGCCTGGTCAGCACTCTGTCTTTATAACTATGGAAAGTAGCCCAGGTATCAGCCACAATGTGTTCCTAGATCTTCTTGTATTTTGAAGTCTCCTTTTAATAGTCACACATTGAAGGATGAAGGGCCCACCTCATATCCTGATTTGGTTTCTTATCACTATCCCTGGGGACTCCAGAGGAATCCAAGGGACATCCACCCTCTGTCCAGTCCTCATTCAGGTCTAAGGATGAACCTGCCCCATGGCTTCATCCTACTATGAATGCCAAGCACCTGTCAGGATTCCATCTGCAAACCCTACCCCAGTGATTTCAGACCTCCTACAGGGCACTCTGACAAAACAATGGAAGGTGTGGGCCATGGTGACTTCAAATTAAATATTAGAAATTCCAGTCTTAAGAATTTTATTTTCTTCTGAGAGCACAGGCTTTATCTGAGCTCTCTCTTTTCAGATCAGACCCAAAAATTTCACTCTTCACACTCAAGGGGGAAATTCAAGGCATTTCTCTCAATCAGGAGTTGGCAAGCATTTTCCATAAAGGTCTGGATAAAGAACAATTTAGACTTTGTAGGACTGACAACCATCTCTGTCTCAGCTATTCACTTCTGCCACTATAGCATGACAACAGTCACAGACACTACGTAAGAGATTTGGTGTGACTATGTTTTAATGGATATACACTGGAATGTGAAATTTTTATGACACTCATACGCCAAGAAAGACTCTTATTTGTTTTCAACATGCAAAATGAAAACTCTATTTGTGTAGTTTGCAGTCCATGTGAATACAGGTTTTGCATGGATTTGGCCCTGAGATCATAGTTTTCCATGTCCTACCATAAAAGATAAGTATCACTTTGGCTATGCTTCTTAAACACTAACCCAGTACATGGAAACTGCAACAGACAGATTTCTTTAAGTAACATAATTAAAGAGTTTTACTACACCCAAAAAGACTTATCTTGAACAGAAATTGGACTTAGTGGGGGGCAGGACTCAGGCTTATAATCCCAGCATTTTGAAAGTTTGAAGTGGGAGGATCACTTGAACTCAGGAGTTTGAGACCACCCTGGGCAACATAGAGAGACTCCATCTCTACAGAAAAATACATTTACAAAGAAAATTAGTCAGTTGTGTTTGTCCCAACACAACTACTGGGAGACTGAGGTGGGAGGATGGCTTGAGTTTAGAAAGTCAAGGCTGCAGTAAGCTATGATTGCATCACTGCACTCCAGGCTAAGTGACAGAGCAAGACCCTGTCAGAAAGAAAGAGAAAGAGAGAAAAGAGAGGAGAGAGAGACAGGAAGAAAGGAAGCAAGGCAGGAAGGGAGGAAGAAAGGAAGGAAGGGAGGAAGGAAGGAAACAAGGAAGGAATGAAGGAAACGGCAGAAAAGATCGCAAGAAAGAGAAAGAATGAATGAAAAGAAGAAAGAAAAAGAAATTAGTCCTAGAATCAGAAAACCTTGATTTCAGGCCTAACTCAGGTGCACCTGTTTTGGAACTTCTGAAAACAAGACCTGACTACTAAATTCCTAATGTAATAAAACAATAATAATTCCTATCTTGTCCAATCCTGTGGATTTCTGAGCAGTTGATATGAAGGAATGTAGAGAAAGGCTGCACTCCACATTCTTTCCTACCAATGAGGGTCATAGCAAAGAGGTTTTATGTGGCTAGGATTTGATTCTTTGGGCCTCAAAGGAGGAAACCTATTACCTGCATGCATTGCAACATACACCTCCAGAAAAGGCAGTGAAGTTTGACCAGACTTGTTCTCTCTTATTCTGCCTTTGTATAAAAAAATCAGCAGATATGACTCTGTGGCCACAGCTTAGTCATGATCATGGGATTCTCCCCAATGTGAAAATCATGCTGTAGTGCTTGGTTCAGTAGCAACTCTTCACTTCAAAGGTTGGTGATCAGTGAAGCTCTGTTCATTTGAATCAACCAGGTTTGCCTTACAAGGTTCTCCTGCAGTCTCTATCCTTAGCCTCTGAAATAATTTGTCTGCATCGTCCTGCTACAGATCACCAGGCAGAGAGTTGAGGTAAGATTCCAGTGCAACTGAAATATTTATATTCCATTTTTAAAGTTTTATGACTCCAAATCTCTTCAACAGGCAGAGAGATTAGGTGAGATTCCAGGCAATTGCTCACTTAAAAATGTTATGATTCCAGGCCAAGCATGGTGGCTCACGCTTGTAATTCCAGCACTTAGGGAGGCTTACGTGGGTGGATCACTTGAGGCCAGGAATTTGAGATGAGCCTGGGCAACATGGTGAAACTCCATCCCTATAAACAACACAAAAAAATAACTGGGCGTGGTGGCATGTATCTACGGTCGCAGCAATTTGGGAGGCTGAGGTGGGAGGATAGCTTGAGCTCAGGGAACAGAGGTTGCAGTGAGATGAGACCATCCCGTGGCACTCCAGGCTCAGTAACAGAGTGAGACCCTGCTAAAAATAAAAAATAGGAAAAAAAAAAAAAAAAAAAGACTTGACTCCGTGGCTCAAGCCTGTAATTCCAGCACTTTGGGAGGCCGAGGCGGGTGGATCACAAGGTCAGGAGTTCAAGATCAGCCTTAGAAAGACGGTGAAACCTTGACTCTACTAAAAGTACAAAAAAAATTATTAGCAGGGCATGGTGGTAGGTGCCTGTAATCCCAGCTACTCAGGAGGCTGAGGCAGAGAATTGCTTAAACCCAGGAGGCGGAGCATTCAGTGAGCCAAAATCGCTCCACTGCACTCCAGTCTGGTTGACAGAGCAAAACTCTGTCTCAACAAAAAAAAAAAAAAAAAAAAAAAAAGGATTCCAAATTTTTCTATGTTGTTTTTGTTTTAGTGCTTTAAATTTTTTAAATATTTTATGTTCACTTTTATTTATTTTTTTCCACTTAACTTTTATATTTTGTTGAAAAAAAATTTCCAACTCCCCAGTCAACTTTTAAAAATATTTTTGACACGCAATCTCTAACTCTACTACCTTGAAAAACTGTGGTGACATAGACCCTCTACTTGGAATTTATGGCACTAAGCAAACCCACCTATAAATACCACGTATGTTAATTGTGTAAAATACAATGCCTGAGGGATAATGAAGAATTTTCAGGGTGTTCAATTTCTCAGGTTGTCTATAATTTTAGTCTCAGTGCTTAATAAGCAATAAACACATAGAGGACTCCTGGCACACTTAACAAAAATAATTAGTTGAAATAAATGATCTTATTTTTTAAGGCACAGAGAACCTACAGAAAAAGTTTTGTGTACTCTCAACTTAAAATTTATTTAAGAAGGAATGCCTTCTCAGGTTGGAAGATCCCATTAGGTCCAAGTGGAGACCAGGCCCGCCTCGGCCTCCCAAAGTGTTGGGATTATAGGCATGAGCCACCGCGCCTGGCCCCCAGAATTTTTAAATTGATTCTTCATGGAATTTTTCTTGTTTCAATTTCCTAGAAAAAGTTGTGGTGTGCTTTCTTTCTTCTCTGATAGCCATGAAATCAAATTTCTAAATGATGCCAAACAGGGAGTTGGAAAATTAAAAAAAAAAGTCATTTATACTGGTTGAAGTCCAGCCCAAATTGAGACTGACTTAATGGCTAGACCAAATTGGTTGTTCAATGTCAAGGTCTATCAAAGCAAACTGAGTGTACTTCCCTTTCAGATGACTGCAGACTTATTAAGAGAGCTGATCCATTTCTAAAAAACAACAAAAACAACCCCAACTCCCCAACAACTTCGAATTTGTGTTTTGTCTGACATACCAATCTCCTGTCTTGGTTTTAGATTATGTTGGATAAATCCGCAGTATCTTTCACGATTATGTTTCTTTTGGCTCTATATAAGTTTGTTTGGAGGATTGTTGTTGAGTATTTCAACACATGGTTTAGTAAGAAAATCTTCTGGGTGTGAGAATAGAATATGACTGGTGATTTGTCCTTTTATCCCATTTTTCAGTTTATCTCAAGGGAAAGCACTCTTCCAAATAAGAATATTGCTATATATTTGCTTATCTTGGAAGAAGCCCCTCTGGAAATTAAAAGGGCAACATGGTGAACACTCATCAGTTTTGCAACCATTAAAGTGAAGTGGATTCGCTTTGGGCTATTTGTTTTTCTTGACACTTATTTTTCTTGAATTCTCTCTGAGGCCTTGATTGACACTCCCTTAAAATATGTAACACTCAGAAAGATTCAGGGCAGATAAAACCAATTCCAGCCAAATGGTAAAAACCAAAGCAGAATGGGAAAATCTGGTTAACAACTAAAACTTCCTCACATACTCAATTTCAGTCCCAATGTCAATGACAAATGCAACCTGCAAAGAAGTCAATCTTAGGACATCCACAAAGAGCTCAGTATTTCAATGTGCTTCTGGGTCTAAATGTTTTGAAAGTAGGGGAAATGTAGTTCTCCTCATGAAGTGCAATTAAATAAACTTTGTTCACACGCTGAGAAAACACAAACACTGCATGTTAACTGCCTGTTTTTATTTTTAAGAAACAGGGTCACTCTTTGTTGTCCAGGCTAGAGTACACTGGTGAGATCATGACTCACTGCAGCCTCAAAGTCTTGGGCTCAAGTGATCCTCCTGCCTCAGCCTTGAGAATAGCTAACAGTACAGGCACACAGCTGCATGCCCAGCCAATTTTTTTTCTTTATTTTGTAGAGATGAAGGCTTGCTGTATTGCCTAAGATGGTCTCAAACTCCTGGCCTGAAGTGATCCTCCGGCCTTGGCCTTCCAAAGTGCTGGGATTAGAGATGTGAGTTACCATGCCCAGCCAGCTACCCACTCTTAATGCAAGCAATTTTCCACAAAAAGTTCATTGACTTTATTATAATAAACTGATGTGGTGTTGTGGAAACCTAGCCAAAGTATTTTCCATAACATTTTTTTTCTCATCGCCTCTTCACCATAGTTCCCTGGTTTTCATCCTCAGTAAAAATTGATAGTTATGCCCCATGAATCATATTTAAATGAGAATAAATTTAAAGAAATAATAATAATCACTTTATAACCATCAAAAGGTCTTTCATATCAGTTACTTCCCTATCCAGAAATATCCCCAGCTGAAATAACAAAAGCTTTGCTCAGCCTTTTAAAAAATATAACACAATTTGGCCGGGCGCGGTGGCTCACGCCTGTAATCCCAGCACTTTGGGAGGCCGAGGCGGGCGGATCACGAGGTCAGGAGATCGAGACCATCCCGGCTAAAACGGTGAAACCCCGTCTCTACTAAAAATACAAAAAATTAGCCGGGCGTAGTGGCGGGCGCCTGTAGTCCCAGCTACTTGGGAGGCTGAGGCAGGAGAATGGCGTGAACCCGGGAGGCGGAGCTTGCAGTGAGCCGAGATCCCGCCACTGCACTCCAGCCTGGGCGACAGAGCGAGACTCCGTCTCAAAAAAAAAAAAAAAAAAAAAAAAAAAAAAATATATATATATATATATATATATATATATATATAACACAATTTTCATAAATGTTTTTAAACATCAAACTTGATCAACAGAACATTTCAACTGCCACTGTGTGAAAGTAAATATGAATGACCATGTAGGAGTAGAGCTTTTCAATTTGTTTAATAGCCTTACTATTCTTCGTGAAAGCTGCCTATGTTTTCATCTCCCGAGAAAACTGAGTACGAGAAATCAAACTTAGCACATTCCTGCAGTTAACTTCTCAAATTGTTTCCTGTCTGTCATTTTTCTCTCATAAAGTAAAATATTCATCCACTGCAAATGTTCAAATTCAATCACTATATTACTTTTGCTGAAATGTCTACTTCAGTAAGAGAAAGCAGGAGATATTTTAATAATGAAATAGTATAAAAGGTTTCACTAAAAACAACTAAAATTTTGTGTTACCACTATTAATCCCTTTAAAGTATGTGGTACATGTTTAAATTCCTCTGTCTCAACAAAACAAACTTCCATCATGTTCACAGAACAAAAAAAGTGCTTCAAATTATATCATTTAATTATAGTTTCATATGTTTGTGAACTATATGACATTGGCTTGTGAAAAAAAAAAAATTTTCCCAGTCCTTGACTTCGAATGACAGATATGGAATACTGTCTTGATGACTCAGGTTGAGTGAGAATGTCTACTGTAATTGTGTCTGATTCATTCCCAACTGTCCAGTAAGATCAATTCTAAGTCTTCCATTGGAGAGTTAGGGGAAAGGGCTGTTGCTGTCATATTTAATAACAAGAAAGTTATCACAATTACTCTGTCTAATTTGTTTATTGTGCATTTTGTTGAAATATAAAATTTCTTAGTCATGTTGTTATAAAATATTTAAATATTATTGGTAATACAAATAAGTAAAAGCCATATATTATGGGAAGATATCACCAAATTCATTGAAACTAACTTTAATACATGCCTCCTAAACATATTAGTAAAGCCCCACACCTAACAGCTCAGTTTTTCTTTTCTTTTTTTTTTTTTTTAAGACAGAGTCTCCGTGTGGGCTGGAGTGACAATGGTGTGATCTTGGCTCACCGTAAACTCTGCCTCCTGGGTTGCAGCAGTTTTCCTGCCTCAGCCTCCTGAGCAGCTGAGGTTACAGGCGCTTGCCACCATGCCCAGCTAATTTTTGTATTTTTAGTAGAGACACAGTTTCACCATGTTGGCCAGGCTGATCTTGAACTCCTGACCTCAGGCGATCCACCTACTTCGGTACCCCAAAGTGCTGGGATTACAGGCATGAGCCAAGGTGCCTGGCCACAGCTCAGTTTCTTCTAGGCCCATGTCCCCGTCACTCCCAACCCCAGATCATAAGAACTTCACTCCACCTCCTTTGGAGAAAAAGGCCTCAGCCAAGGAAAGGAATCAATCTCCAACAGCATTGTAACCAAATATGCCTATTATTTTAAATACAAAAAGCTAAATTTTAAATAATAGCCACTCTAACTTATGTGAAGTGGTATCTCATTGTGGCTTTAATTTGCGCTTCTCTGATGACTCGAGATGTGGAGTATTTTTTCGTGTTTATTGACTGCATGTATGTCTTCTTTTGAGAAATGTCTATTCATGTCCTTGGCCCACTGTTTAATGGGGTCATTTGTTTTTTCCTTGTTAAATTGCTTATGTTTCTTATGTCCTTATAGATTCCAGATATTAGAACTTTACTGTATGCATAGTTTGCAAATATTTTCTCTCTCGATAGTTTTCTTTGTTGTGCAGAAACTCTTTAGTTAAACTAAGTCTCATTTCTCAATTATTGTTCCTGTTGTGATTGTTTGTGAGGTCTTAGTCTAAATTTGTATTTTCTCATGGTAGGTTTTATGGGGTTAGGTTTTTGATAGTTATTAAGCTTACAAATATTAAAACTCAAGACTGGTTTATAACAACAGGCCATTGCCAAAAAGCATGGGTCCTTTTAAAATGTCTGGCTCCATGCTCAAAGGACAAAGTGATCAGTTAAAAAGGGTTTCACTAGACTTGTAACAATCATTTAATTATTTTACATAAAATTACAATAAAACCAATTGGGACAAGCTGCATTTGTGAAAAGCCATCAAACCCCAACATAGATGGAAATGGAAAAGCTAAACTACAGTTAACCAGCAAGTAGATATATAGATATAGACTATAATTATACACTATGTTTCACTGTTTTATTAATTGGGCATCAATTAATCAATTTTTTAACTCTTGAAAGGTATTCCATATAATGCAAGAATTATTCACATTGCATCTTCCAGTTCTCCCTAATAGCTGCGGTGGTCTCCTAGACCAATTTGCACTTGATCATGACAGTTAATCTCTCGTATTTCAGAATTTAAAAAAATGTCATTGTTAAACGCAGTGTCCATTAAAAATTTAATTTTACAATCTTAAAAATACATACATTATTTTAAAAGGTAATACATGGTCAAAAGTCATTACTAATTATTATGCTTCATTTTACTATTATCTCTACTCTTGCGGTTATTTAAACCTGTTTCATCTTCATTGTGGAAACCCTCTAAAATCCTATACTAATGCACCTCTCTTTGCATGTCCATGCTCTGGGATTTCACTTTGATATATGAAGTTGGACAGAATCCAAGTAAATACACTTTGGAATTCAGTAAATCCTACTAATCAAAATTTCCGCCTCTGACACTTGTTAATATTTACCACCATGCTTCATGTAGAATTCTTCCCCATAATATAAACAAACATTTTCTGAGGACAATGCCTAATACCTTTCGTTTTGTTTTTTGTTTTGTTTTGGAGACAATGTCTTGTTCCAGTGCCCAGGCTGGAATGCAGTGGTGCCATCACAGCTCACTGGAGACTTGAACTCCTGGGCCCAAGTGATTCTCATGCCACAGCCTCCACAGTAGCTGGTACTATAGTTGTGCACCTCCACACCCAGATAATTTTTTGTATTTTTGGTAGATACAGAGTCTCACTACCTTGCTCAGGCTTGTCTGTAATTCCTGCATTCAAGTGATACTCCTGCCTTGGCCTCCCAGATTGTTGGGTTTACAGGCATGAGCCAATGTTCCTGGTCCCATCGCCTTTCTGAACAAATTAACACACTGAGTAACGTACTGAGTATATCCACCTCAGTAAACTTTTTTTTACATACTTTTGGTGAATGTTTATTGATGCTATTTGAAGACATGGTAACATTTTATAATTTGTCCCTTAAGTCATAGATTCAGTGCCTTATAGAAATATTTATCAGCTTATTGTTCATTATCCCCACCACCACCTCCAGGAAGACAATTTAGATGTATTTTTAAAATTTGGCCCCGCCATGTGATTTTCACACTGCCAACAGATCTGTTTTTGCTTGTCTACACTATGTAAATCTTTATACATAAAAGACTAGCTTTTTGGCGCCTCAAGGACCATTTTTTACTCCCCAGAGGTTGACATTATCCTGTCAAGAAGGGAAGTCTAATAGTTTAACAACACTATTTGCTGATGTTGTTACTCATTCCTTGTTAGCTAAGCCATATCCTGTGAAACTCTTCTTCAGTATTTTGCTCATGTCTTTTGCTGTGTCTGCTTCTGGATAGAAACAAGAATTCTTGGCCAGGCACAGTGGTTCATGCCTGTAATCCCAGCAATTTGGAAGGCCAAGGTGGGAGGATCACCTGAGGCCAGGAGTTTGAGACCAGCCTGGCCAACATGGTGAAACCTCGTCTCTACCAAAAATACAAAAAATTAGCCAGGCGTGGTGGTGCACACCTGTAGTCCCAGCTACTTGGGAGGCTGAGGCAGGGGAATCACTAGAACTTGGGAGGGAGAGATTGCAGTGAGCTGAGATCGCACCATTGCACTCCAGCCTGGATGACAGGGTGAGACTTCATCTCAAAAAACAAAAAATTCTTTAAAGTCCTACCTATAGCATTGTGTCCAGAATTTATTCCTTCTGGTGGGTTCTTGGTCTTGTGACTTCAAGAATGAAGCCATGGACCGCCGCAGTGAGTGTTACAGTTCTTAAAGATGGTGTGTCCAGAGTTTGTTCCTTCACATGTTCAGATGTGTCGGGAGTTTCTTCCTTCCTGTGGGTTTGTGATCTCGCTGACTTCAGGAATGAAGGTGCAGAGCCTAGCAGTGAGTGTCACAGCTCATAAAGGCAGTGTGGACCCATAAAGTAAGCAGCAGCAAGACTTATTGTGAAGAACCGAAGAAGAAAGCCACCACACCAAGAAAGCAGATGCTAGCAAGTTGCTGCTGCAAGCTCTGGTGGCCAGCTTTTGTTCCTTTATTTGGCCCCAACCACATCCTGCTGATTGGTCCATTTTACAGAGTGCTGATTGGTCCATTTTACAGAGTGCTGATTGCTGATTGGTGCTTTTTTTACAGAGTGCTGATTGGTGTGTTTACAATCCCTTAGCAAGGCACAGAGTGCTGATTGGTGCATTTACAATCCTTTGGTCTCCACACGACCGGGAAGCTCAGCTGGCTTCACCTCTCAGCATTATTATCTACATAAGTCAAGACATGCTTAAGAGACTCTCTAAGCCTCAATTTTCTTAACTGTGTTATGGAGTGATCAAAGACCATCTTCCCCCACTTATTGAAAATATTCAGGAAGAGGTTGCATGTGGAAAACTCAACCCCATTCTCTGATTACAAGTGAATCACTCTTCCCCTTAAATATTTTTCCACATTCCAGTTTGGTCAGTTTCATTTCAGTAGATGAGAGCATCTTAAATACTATTTATAAACACAATCTTATGTAGACCAGATGAAAATATTTATCTTTGTATCAATAGTTTGCTGTCTCTCGGTGCATGTGTGTTTGTCTGTGTGTGTGTGTGTGCATATCTCTCTCTGTTTATCTGTCTCTCTCTTTTTACTCTGGCTTTTTTCTGCTTCCTCTCTCTCCTTACTTTCTTCCCTTTAGCAAAATAGTAAGTGGGCTTAAAACACCTGGACTACGGGACGGGTACGGTGGTTCACACCTGTTATCGCAACACATTCGGACGCCAAGCAGATAGATTGCTTGAGCCCGGGAGTTTGAGACCATCCTGGCCAACACCGTGTAACCCTGTCTACTAAAAATAACTAAATAATTAGCTGGCGTTGGTGGCATATGCCTAGATTCTCAGCTACTGGTGAGGTTGAGGCAGGAGAATCGCTTGAGCCCTAAGTAGGAGGAGGTTGCAGTGAGTCGAAATCAGGCTACTGCACACCAGCCTTACAGAGAGGGATACTCTATCTAAAACAAAACATCAACAAAAATACGTAGAGTACCGGGTGGGAAAAAGGCCAAAAATTGGAAGCAGAGTGAAAGGAAAGCCCTGTGGATAGCAGGCTGCTTCAAGACACGCAGAAGGAAACATTTGTTTCTCTAGGAGTCCTCTACCAGGGTAATTCAGCTTCTAAACCAATGCAGGGTGTTTGACCTCCACAATAAATGAAAAGTGCATGTCCTTAATTAAGCAAATGATGGCTTGATGGGAAGCCAGACTGTGGAGGAGTGAGCCATTGGAGGGAAGATATCTTTGCTTCTCTGACAAGGCAGGGGTGGTGCAAACTGATTGATACCCAGAAAGACCCAGTGTCTGCAGCCCAGGGAACATTGCGGTGAAGTATGTCCCCATCTAATTTGGTAATTTAAAGTGCCAACAAAGGGGAGAACAAAAGTCTTGTGAGTTGCTAGTGACTGCCTAGTTTTTGTGCTGGTTTTCTGTTCATACAGAGCAGACAAATTAACGGGGAAAATTCCTCTAGGGGGAGGCTCTCTGAAGTGTCAGAATCACTCTCCCCAAGCTCTGGGGAACTAGCCAGGTGGGGATGGCCAGAGGAAATTCAAACTCAGGACGTGTGTGTCTGTGTGTGTGTGTGTTTCAGAGGCTTCACCTATGTATAAAAATAAATGTGCCAGGTGTGGTGGCTCATGATTGTAATCTCATCACTTTGGGAGGCTGAGGTGAGAGGATCACTTGAGGTTAGGTGTTTGAGACCAGCCTGACCAACAAAGTGAAACCCTAGAAATACAAGCATAGTGGTGGTGCATGCTTGCAATACCAACTACTTGGGAGGCTGAGACAGAAGAATCGCCTGAACCCTGGAGGCGAAGGTTGCAGTGAGCCAAGATCACCCACTGCTCCTCAGCCTGGGCAACAGAGCAAGACTCTTATATCAAAAACAAACAAACAAACAAACAAATAAATAAGTGAAGATAGTTTAAAAGAGAGTTATAAAAATCATGAAATCTTTGTTTGTTTGTTCGTTTGTTTGAGAGGGAGTTTCACTCTTGTTTCCCAGGCTGTAGTGCAATGAATGGCACAATCTCAGCTCACTGCAACCTCCGCTTCCTGGGTTCAGGCGATTCCCCTGCCTCAGCCTCCTGAGTAGTCAGAATTACAGGAGCCTGCCAGCACACCAGGCTATTTTTTTTTCTCTATTTTTGGTGGAGATGGGGATTCACTGTGTTGGCCAGGCTGGTGTCGAATTGCTAACCTCATGATCCACCCACCTTGGCCTCCCAAAGTGCTGAGATTACAGGTGTGAGTCACCGTGGCCATCCAAAATCATGATATCTTTTAAATACACACAATGAAATAGTTGATACTTTCAGCACATAAAAGAAAATACAGTGATTGTCTATATCCTAAAGAATCTCATGTTGGGGCCCTGCTGTTATTGATGATGAAGCAGTTGATGTGTGAATTTCTTACCCCTGGGTCTCCTTCCTCATCCTGCCTCCTCTTCTTGAGGCTGGAAGTGTGGCCACAGGTTGATGCCTGGAAGTCGGTCAGGAGGGTGCTGTCCTGGGACAGGCAGCCTCTTGTGCAACTCTGAACACAAGGATGGTTCTCAAAGAGGCTGAGGTCTCAGGTCAAGGAAGGGCTTCTCAAAGGAAAAGTGTGAGAGAGCCTGAAGTTTATGAAGGGCAGCCTACAGGTCCCTCACAGGAAGCAGAATTCACTACATTTTACAATCCTTGCTTGTCACTGCCCAGTTCCGTCCAAGGGGGAAAAATGTGGTTGGAGGGGTGGTGGCTGTGGGATGGGTGTGTGTGTGTGTGTGTGTGTGTGTGTGTGTGACAGAGAGAGAGAGAGACAGAAGAGAGGAAGGGAGACAGAAATTACTTTTCTGAGTGTCATGAAACACATTTCCAATTTGAATAAAAATATAATGTATAAATGATTTTTATTTTCTTTAAATTGGCCAACTTGAAACAAAGATTTCTTTGTAGTCTTGTATATCCTATGTGCTAGAGACTGCGATATAGATATTTATCCCCATTCACTATTAAAGGCTGCTTTACCATCTGGGGTCTAAGAACAGAATGGCTTAATATTGCTAGTTGTTAGTGCCCGTAACTTAAGAATTATAATGATGTGCATAGAAATTGTGTTTACCTGGGACTTCCATCTGTTCCTTTTGTTAATAAAAAGCATGTTACTTCCTTTAATACCAGAAGGCCAATGACATTAAGGTTTTATTAGATCTCATGTGCAAGTGACTACACCATGGTCTACATAAGACAAGAATCTCAACACTCAAGAAAGATGCAATGTAAATGGGAAGATGTGGTAACATCCACTGCTCCAAGGAAGTTTCCATTGATTTTTGTGAGTAATAAGATCAGTGTACAAAATGAAAGTGAAGTGAAGAAACTGAAGGCAAATTTGATTGTTATGCAAAATACGTGAAGAGAAAACAAGATTATCGATGTATTACCAGTGAACTGCACACTTAACAATGGCAAAGACAGTAAATCATATATCTATATTTCACCTCAATTTAAAAAATGAATTAGCTGAGTGCAGTGATTCATGCCTGTAATTATGGCATTTTGGGAGGCCGAGGCAGGTGGATCACTTGAGTTCAGGAGTTTGAGACCAGCCGCAGCAACATGGTGAAACCTCGCCTCTACTGAAAATACAAAAATTAGCGGGGCGTGGTGGTATGTACTTGTAATCTCAGCTACTCAGAAGGCTGAGGAAGCAGAATCACTTGAGCCTGGGAGATGGCACAGGTTGCAGCGAGCAGAAATTGCACCACTCCACTGCAGCCTGGGCAACAGTGCAAGTCCCTGTCTCAAAAAATAAAACAAACAAATATTTTTAAAGAAAGGCCTTAGGGACAGACATGGAAATGGAACCCACAGTGTGATGGATGGACCCCCCCAGCAACCCACACACACATGCACACTGTGCATGTCATTACAAATAGGGCAATTAGGTGCTGTTAGAAAGTTAAGGTGTTTTTAGAGTAGGAAGGTGGGACGATGAATTTTTCGGAGGAAGGGATTTTTGGGGAAATGGGTGAGTCAAAGGAAATTGCACTGATCCCATCTTGAGGAAGATTTGGGGGACTATGCATCAGTCCATGAAGAGGAAGTCATCTCCTGTGGAAGGAACATGAAACACAGCAGTCAGCAACTAGCAGTATGTGATCAGCCAACACCTACTGGTTTAACAGTGGTTCTTGGCCAGGAAACTTAACACTCCCTTCCTCTCCTCCCCCAGGAGTATTTGCAAATATACAAAGGTTGTTTGTTTGTCAAAATGACTCAGGAGCCTAGTGCAATTATGAGAGAGGTGCCAGAAATGGTAAACATTCTGAAAGGCACTGGAGACATACATAACACAGAGATTCAAAATGACAACGGGAAGGTGGTGAGAAGAATTGCCTAGCGTGGCTTTCAACTTTGTGCAAATTGAAGAAGTGTTTCCTTGTTTTTTGTTTTGTTTTTTTTTTGGTTTTGTTTTTTTTGATGGTTTGTTTCTTTGTTGTTTTAGAACAATGATTCTCAATGATGGTGATTTTGTCCCCCAAGACACACTGAGCAATGTCTGGAGACATTTTTTATTTAAACAACTGGGTAGGGCTGGGGAAATGATACTAACATCTAGTGGGTGGATGCCAGGGATGCTGTCCAACACCCTGAAATGCACAGGATATCCCTCTGTGAAAAAGAATTTTGGAGCCACAAATATCAATTGTGCTAAGTGTGAGAAACCTTGCTACAGGCCTTTCCATATGTATGTAGTTCAGGAAATTTGAAGTCCCTGGAATGGCATATTTCTGGACTCTCACACCATGCTCAGCACAGTGCCTTCCAGATATTAGGAGGATGTGCTCATCATGTGTTGATGTGGTGAACTGTAGAAAGATCAAGACTATTGAAGACAGCAAAACAATTCTCAGACAAAGTTAAGAAAATCTATTTTGCTTGATGCAGAAACTACAGACTTGATTGTTAAATTTCTCCTCTTCCTAATTTGACACCTTTTGGCAGGTTTATGAGCAGATTATGAATGTTTTACTCTGGTTCAGTCATCTATGCTGTGTCTGAAAGAGATGTTGCAGCAATCCTGCAAACTGTGAAATAGCCAGCATATTTGTTCAACTTGCTCAATTTCTTTTTACTCTTCCTATCTGCTAAAGTTGTTTATTGTCATCTATGTCTATATCTATCCCTACATATGTGTTTGCATGCATACATAAATAATTTATTACAGCATATTGGCTCAAAAAATACAAATTTCATATGTCTTGGCTTCTGTGCATCAGTATTTGGAAAACAGTTGAATCCTCTGCATCATGTTTTTTTTAAATTTTTCATTTATTTATTTTTTTGCAAAATGCCAGCCAGGGCTCAGGTCTCATCTGAAGACTCCAGTGGGGAAGAACTCACTTTGAAGCTCACATCATTGTGGGTAGAATTTGGCTTCTCATGGGCTGCTAAACTGAGGGCTTTAGTTTCTCATTGACTGCTGGCCAAGGCCCAATATTAGTCCCTAAATATGTAGACTTTCTCAACATGAAAGTTTACCAGCACCTATTATTATCACAGGGGCACCCCAGCATGTGTGGGGCAGGCCTTAGCCATCTCATGCAGTATTTGATACTCTTGTTTAAAGCCCTATGCATTCCACATTGATTCTTTTTATGACAAAAATATTAAAATGAACAAAGACATCCTACAGTCATCATAATCACAAAATAGGTGTTTTTTTTTTCAAACATAAATCAACAAGGAAGAAGAATGGCTGGCAAGATGGAAGTCACAATCTTTATAAGCTAACCACAAAAGTGACATCCTTCAAATATTGAAGTATTGTATTGGTTAAAGGCAAGTTAATCCAGTAGAGGATAGATAAATATACAAACGTACAAAATATATGGTACACAAGCCTGGTGCGGTGGCTTATGCCTGTAATCTCAGCACGCTTTGGGAGGTTGAGATGGACAGATCCCTTGAGATTGGGAGTTCAAGACTAGCCTGGACAACGTGGTGCAACGCTATCTCTATTAAAAACACAAAAATTAGCTTGGTGTGATGGGATGCACCTGTAATCCCAGCTACTTGGGAATCTGAAGCATGAGAATCATTTGAACTCAGGAGGTAGAGGTTGCAGTAAGCTGATACCATGCCACTGCACTCCAGCTTGGGGGACAGAGTGAGACCACATTTAAAACAAAAAAAAGTATGTAATGTGTGGTACATAGTCTCTCTCTCTCTCTCTTTCACTCTTGCTCTCTCTTTTTCTCTACATGCATGTGAAAGTGTGTGTGCATTGTGTGTATTTTTAGAATACGTCTTTCTCTGTTTCCAAAGGTGGAGTGCAGTGGTAGCACAATGACAGCTGGCTACAGCCTTGAACTCCTGGACTCAGGCAATCCTCTTGCCTCAGCCTGCTGAGTATCTAGGTCTATTGGTTTGCACCGTTGCACCCATCTAATGTTTTAATATTTTTAGAGATGGGGTCTCTCAGTATTGTCCAGGCTCTTCTCAAACTCCTGGCCTCAAGTGATCCTCCTGCCTCAGCTTCCCAAAAGTGTTGGGATTACAGGCATGAGCAACTGTGCCAGGACTGTAGTCTATATTCTTTATATATATATAAAATGATCTTTTATGAATTACATGTATTATCTACATATATAATATACACTATATATGTTCGATACACACACACACACACACACAATATAATGCTTTTTTTCTTTTTTTTCTGTTTTCTTTTTTTTTTTTTTTAAGAGAAGCTCTGGTTCTGTTGCCCAGGCTAGAGGGTAGTGGTGCAATCTCAGCTCACTGCACTGCAACCTTCACCTCCTGGGTTCAAATGACTCTCCTACCTCAGCCTCTCGAGTAGCTGGGATTACACATACCTGCCACCAAGCTCAGCTAATTTTTTTTTTTTTTTTGGATTTTTTGAGTCTCCCAGGGTGCTTGGTTTACAGGCATGAGCCTCTGCACCTGAGAATGCATATTTTCAAATAGGGTTTCCTGCAGCCACCTCAAAGACCGCGAGGATAGAATGGTCCGTCATCCCCCTCTATCAGTACACACACTTCATTTACAGCATCCATGCATGGTCTGTACCATAATTCCCAGATTTGTGTTGTTGTGGAAAAATAAAGATGAATTGCATTAAAAAAAATTGTATACCCTTGCCGTCTCCAGTATTATGTCTGCAAAGTTCACTTCATCAATTATTCTACTTTTATATATTAAAAATTTAATATTTTATTATCTTAAGGGCAGCACTGGATTAACAGAAGAATTCTGAAGACAGTAAGACAGTCACATACATATTATTGAGGGTACATACTATCAACATAACATCACTATTGATGATGACCTTGCCCACGTGTTTGACGTAGTGTTTGCCAGGTGGCTCCACTGTGAAGTTACTCTATTGTCACTCTTTTCCAAACTGCAGGTAGAAAGTCACTATGTCAGCCCACACTTAAGGAATGCAGATTAATGCACCCCTCCATGAGGGTGGACAATGCTATTAGTGCATTCTTGCCTTGGTATAAAGAAATGCTTGAGACTGGATAATTTATAAAGGAAAGAGGTTTAATTGGCTCTTAGTCCTGCAGGCTGTATGGGAAGCATGGCAGCATCTGCTTGGCTTTTTAGGAGGCCTCAGAAAACTTACAATCATGGTGGCAGGCGACTGGGAAGCTAGGTGTCTCACATGGCCAGCACGGGAGGAAGAGAGAGAGAGAGAGGAGGTGCCACATGCTTTTAAAAAACCAGAGCTAGTGAGAACTCACCCACTATACAGTACTAAGAGGGGAAGGTGCTAAACTCTACATGAGAACCCTGTATCCATGATCCAATCACCTCAGGCCTCACCTCAAACCCTGAGGATTACAATTCAGCATGATATTTGGGAAGGCACACAGATCCATGCCATATCACAATATCTGAATAAATTATTTGGAATGATTTATCTATTACCCCTCATAAATTATTTATATTATCAATCATTTGTGTATATCAATATTGAACTCATAAAGCATTTTTTATTCTTTGGGTTATAATAAAATAATGCTTTATTTACTCAACTGCTCAAAGGGCTACAACTGTGGGCGTTGGGAGTTCTTTTGGTTGGCTTTTCTGTTCCTCTGTCCTTTGATATATTCTTATCGTTACATTTTGTTTGTCTTTGCTTTTTGTCTGTTTTAGCACATTTTTACTTTCTGTAAGTACATGATGCTCCAGGCTCATCTTGGATATTTCCTGCACAAGTCCTAGAATCATTGATTTCTGTATTAAATCCCTGGGTTCTTTTATTGGAGAATAGTATTAGAAATCAAAGTCAGAGCATTAGGTGTGCTTATTGGTACTTAGACTTTGTGGCTTTTAGATTCCACCAATTGTTTATAATTATCATTATCATTCCATTATCATCAAGTGCCAGGAAAAATACAGCATAATAATAGCATGACTCTGTGGTTTTGTGCATTTCATGTAGGTTTTATTCCTATAATATTATTGGCAAGCACTAACCAATAGTTAAATTTTAATCACCTATTAGCCAGTCTTTAATAATGTATGACAGGGTGTTAGATAGATTGTTTGATATGATTTGGCTGTGTCCCCACCCAAAAGTCATCTTGAATTGTAGCTCCCATAATTCCCACACATCATGGGGGGACACTGTGGGAGGTAATTGAATCATGGTAGGTCTTTCCCATGTTGTTCTTGTGACAGTGAATAAGTCTCATGAGATCTGATGATTTTATAAAGGGGAGTACCCTTGAACAAGCCCTCTTGTAAGAAGTCCCCTTTGTTCTTCCTTCATCTTCTGCCATGACTGTGAGGCCTCCCGAGCCATGTGGAACTGTGAGTCCATCAAACCTCTTTCCTTTACAAATTACTCAGTCTTGAATATGTCTTTATTAGCAGCATGAGAACAGACTAATAGACTGATTTTATAGGTACTGTATCTCCCCCAAATTATTGCAAATGATTCTGTGTCTTTTTTCCCAACAAAATGAACTAGATCTGGTTGAAGTGGATACTTGGCATTTTAGATTGATTATTTTAAAAATCCACTGTAATTAGTCTGATTAAGGATAAAGTTCTAGCACTGTTCTGCCAATGTGTATTTATGTAGTTTCACTAAAGCCCAGTGGTGCAAGCAACGGAGAGAGTGATGAGTGGGCATTCTAATTGGCTCTCATGGCAATGAGCGCAAACTCATGTCAGGGGATGACAAAATGTATGGCTAAACCTAAGGATGAGCTCCGAAATTTGAAGTTAATTCTCAGTGAGTCACTGGAATCAGCCCAGAGACAAGGTGTCTCAAAGCAAGAAAAAGTATTGCAGTGCAGAAGGTGAGAAAAGCTGCCTTGGGGAAATTTAGACTTATCCAAGAAGCTGGGCATAATGGCTGTGCTCAGAATGCCTCTCCACACAAAGTTTGTACACTGAAATAGAATTCCCCATATGATATTAAGAGGTAGGCCCTTTAGAAGGTGATAATTTATCTTATGAATGGTATTGGTGCCTGCACCAAAGAGGCTTTCAGTATCCCTTTGTCTCTTCTGCCATGTGAGTACACACAGCAGCCATCATCTTTGAAGGAGAGAACCCTCCCCATGTGCTCAATATGCTTGTGCCTTGATCTTGGACAACTAGGCTTCAATAAATTGCCGTGGTTTATAAATTACTCAGCCTAAGGCAAGCTGTAATAGGAGCCCAAATGGACTAAGAGAGTGGCTTATTGGACATATGGAAATATTTTCTCATTAACCAAGAATGGAAAGTCCACAGCAAGTTAAATACGTAAGGAAGCAGGTCGTCATTGACCTCAGCCAGATATATTTTTACTTTTATCTACAGTCAGTGAGTCAATAAATGTAGGTGACCACAGATCTATCTGCTCAAATTTGATCCTGAAGATGGATGTATGGAGTTACATTAGGTGTGGGGAAAGAAGGGTCATACTGAAAACCAGCTCCTGATACAAGGTCAATTGGAAGCAGAGTTGGTGTGAAAGATTCTGGGGTATGTGGCATAAATGGGTTTGCCAGATAAAAGTCTACAATGCCAAGTTACATTTTTTTTTTTCCTTTTAGACTGAGTCTCACTCTTCACCCAGGCTGTCATGCAATGGTGTAATCTGAGATCACTGAAACTTCCACTTCCCAAGTTCAAGTGATCCTCCCACCCCAGCCTCAGCACAAGTAGCTGAGACTACAGGAGCACATTACAACACCTAGCTAATTTTTGTATTTTTGGTAGAGACAGGGTTTTGCCATGTTGGCTTGGCTGCTCTCAACCTCCTGACTTCAAGTGATCCACCTGCCTTGGCCTCCCAAAATGCTAGGATTACAGGGGTGAGCCATTGCGTCCAACCCCTAGTTGCATTTGAATTTGAGGTAAACAAAGAAAAAATATGGCATAATTGTATCTCAAATATTGCACGAAATATAATTTCACTAAAGTTTTGTTATTATGAGTCCTGTATTTTTAGCTGTTAAATCTGGCAAACTTCGGCCCAGATGTCTGTGCTAACATCTGGTCCATCTATCACTTAGATAGATAATTGTGTGGTTATATGCTGTCTACTCATGTGGTTATAAGCTGACCACTCCACTACTCCCAGAGAGCTTCCTTACATAGGTTTCCTATGACAAAGCCCCTGTCTTAATACCGCTCATCTTCTCGAAGATGCATTTTAAAAAATACATTAAATGTGGATTAATATTAATATATTAATTTAATTATATATTATATATTAATTTAATTACATATTTTTAAATTAATTTAATTATATATTATATATTAATTTAATTATATTGATAATATCAATATATTAATATATTAATATTAATATTAATCCACCTTACATATTACTTCCTGTGCAAGTAACATAAACCCAGTTAAATAAGCTTAATCAAAAGAAAACAGAAAAGGAAATTTGTTGGAGGACACAGAATATCTCAGAGGTTCCAAGGGCAGTTTATCAAAATGAATACTGTCCACTAAAAATTCATGTCTACATAGAACCTGGGAATGTGACCTTATTTGGAAACAGGGGCTTTGCAGATGTGATTAAGGTAAGGATGAAGATGAGATCATACCAGATTAAGGTGGGTCTTCAACCTAATGAGAGTATCCTTACAAAAGACAGAAAAAGACACATGAAGACACATACAGAGGAGAAGGCAATGCGGAGATGGAGGCAGAGACTGGAATGATGCCGTCACAAGCCCAGAGGTGCCTGGGGCCACCAGGAGCTGGGACAGAGAAGAAGGATCGTCCTCTAGAGCCTCCAGAGGGAGAAGAGCCAGGCAGACACCTTGATTTCAGATATCTCGCTTGAGAACATCTTTGGTTTAAGCTGCCTAGTTTAAGGTAAAGTGTTACAGCAGGTCTAGGAAATGCATACAGGTAAGAATGTGATGGGGCTGGGTGTGGTAGTGCACTTCTGTTACTTTAGCACTTTAGGGGGGTTGAAAAGCTGGAGGTTCCTGTTAGAGGTGACGGTGTGCTGGCAGTCCTCACAGCCCTCGGTCGCTCTTGGCACCTCCTCTGCCTGGCTCCCACTTTGTTGGCACTTGAGGAGCCTTTCTGGGCTGGCCAAGGCCACAGCCCTCTCCCTTAGCTTGCAGGGATGTGTGGAGGGAGAGGTGGGAGCTGGAACAGGGGCTGTGCACCAGCTGAAGTTTCCGGTGGGCGTGGGCTTGGTGGGCCCAGCACTGGCAGTGGCCGGCTGGCCCTACCGGCCCGGGCAGTGAGGGACTTAGCACTCGGGCAAGCGGCTGTGGAGAGTGTACTGGGTTCCCCAGCAGTGCCAGCCCACCAGTGCTGTGCTCAATTTCTCACTGGGCCTTAGCTGCCTTCCCACGGGGCAGGGCTCAGGACCTGCAGCCCACCATGCCTGAGCCTCCCATCCCCTCCATGGGCTCCTGTGCAGCCCGAGCCTCCCCGACTAGTGCCACCCCCTGCTCCAGGGCACCCAGTCCCACTGACCACCCAACAGCTGCGAAGTGCAGGCGCATGGCGCGGTACTGGCAGGCAGCTCCACCTGCAGCCCTGGTGCTGGATCAACTGGGTGAAGCCAGCTGGGCTCCTGAGTCTGGTGGGGCCTTGGAGAACCTTTATGTCTAGCTCAGGGATTGTAAGTACACCAATCGGCACTCTATATCTAGCTCAAGGTTTGTAAACACACCAATCAGCACCCTGTGTCTAGCTCAGGGTTTGTGAGTGCACCAATCAACACTCTGTGTCTAACTACTCTGGTGGGGCCTTGGAGAACCTTTATGTCGACACTCTGTATCTAGCTAATCTGGTGGGGAAGTGGAGAACCTTTGTGTCTAGCTCAGGGACTGCAAACGCACCAATCAGCACCCTGTCAAAGCAGACCACTGGGCTCTACCAATCGGCAGGATGTGGGTGGGGCCAGGTAAGAGGATAAAAGCAGGCTGCCTGAGCCAGCAGTGGCAACGCAGTTGGGTCCCCTTCCACACTGTGGAAGCTTTGTTCCTTTGCTCCTTGCAATAAATCTTGCTACTGCTCACTCTTTGGGTCCACACTGCTTTTATGAGCTGTAACCCTCACTGCGAAGGTCTTTAGCTTCACTCCTGAAGCCAGCAAGAACACGAGCCCACCAGGAGGAATGAACAACTCTGGACACGCCACCTTTAAGAACTGTGACACTCACTGTGAGGGTCCACGGCTTCATTCTTGAAGTCAGTGAGACCAAGAACCCACCAATTCCGGACACATTTTGGTGACCCAGATGGGACTTTCGCCTATCGCCAAGCAGTGAGACAATCACCTATCGCCAAGCAGTGAGTACCATTGGACCCCTTTCGCTTGCTATTCTGTCCTATTTTTCCTTAGAATTTGGGGGCTAAATACCGGGCACCTGTCGGCCAGTTAAAAGCGACTAGCACGGCCGCCAGACTAAAGACACGGGTGTCAGGCTTTCTGGGAAAGGGCTCTCTAACAACCCCTGACTCTTCAGAGTTGGGACCGTTGGTTTGCCTAGAACCAGATTCCACTTTTCCTGTACTTCTGAGCTGAGCCAAGGGTCAAAAGAGAGGGAAGCCATGCAGCTCCAGGGTCCTGACAAGTTGGTTGACCCTTGGGTCATGAGAGGAACTCTCAAAGGCATGTGGCCTAAGTGAGACTTGCCCATCTATCCTATCTATCCTGACCCTTGCCCCCCGGGTCCTAATGCCTGCCAGATAAACTTACTCTCATCTCTCTTCTCTGAGGTTAGACCCACTTCTAAAAATTCCTACCTGTCTCTGGTGTTTTCTAGTTTCTCCTATAAGAATGATTTCTAGTATAAACTCCAGGACTCTGTCCCTTCTTTAGGCACCCGGGCTAACCAATCAGAAAGACAGAATTTTTGCCCAAAGCCCCATCATAGTGGGGACTACTTGGAATTTTAGGATCCCTCCTCAGACTAACAGACCTAACAAAATCTGTTCCTGAAGCTAGGATATGAGGAGCCTCAGAAATTGTATCCTTCCTATTCATATGCGTGAGGACAAAAGGAAGCACTCCTCCGACTCTGGAGATCCCTTCCCTCCCTCAGGGTATGGCCCTCCACTTCATTTTGGGGGCATAACTTCTTTATACCACAGGGGTAAAGTCCCAATACTAACAGGAGAATGTTTAGGACTCTAACAGGTTTTTGAGAATGTGTTGGTAAGGGCCACTAAATCTGATTTTTCTCGGTTGGTCCTCCTTGTGGTCTTGGAGGACAGGCAAGGGTGCACATTTTCAAGAATGCGTCAGTAAGGACCACTAAATCAGACCTTCCTCAGTCCTCCCTGTGGTCTGGGAGGAAAACTAGTGTTTCTGCTGCTGCGTCGGTGAGCACAACTATTCTGATCAGCAGGGTCCAGGGACCGTTGAGGGTTCTTGGGCAGGGGTTGTTTCTGCTGCTGCGTCAGTGAGTGCAACTGTTCTGATCAGCAGGGTCCAGGGACTGTTGCGTGTTCTTGGGCAGGGAGAGAAACAAAACAAACCAAAACCATGGGCGGTTTTGTCTTTCAGATGGGAAACACTCAGGCATCAACAGGCTCACCTTGAAATGCATCCTAAGCCATTGGGACCAATTTGACCCACAAACCCTGAAAAAGAGGTGGCTCATTTATTTCTGCACTATGGCTTGGCCCCAATATTCTCTTTCTGATGGGGAAATATGGCCACCTGAGGGAAGTACAAATTACAATATTATCCTGCAGCTTGACCTTTTCTGTAAAAGGGAAGGCAAATGGAGTGAAATACCTTATGTCCAAGCTTTCTTTTCATTGAGAGAGAATACACAACTATGCAAACCTTGCAATTTACATCCCACAGGAGGACCTCTCAGCTTACCCCCATATCATAGCCTCCCTATAGCTCCCCTTCCTATTAATGATACTCCTCCTCTAATCTCCCCTGCCCAGAAGGAAATAAGCAAAGAAATCTCTAAAGGTCCACAAACCCCCCTGGATAATTTGTTATGTCCCCTTCAAGCTGTAGGGGGAAGGGAATTTGGCCCAACCTGGGTACCTGTCCCCTTCTCCCTCTCTGACTTAAAACAGATCAAGGCAGACCTCGGGAAGTTTTCAGATGATCGTGATAGGTACATAGATGTCCTACAGGGTCTAGGGCAATCCTTTGACCTTGCTTAGAGAGTTGCGATACTACTGTTAGATCAAATCCTGGCCTTTAATGAAAAGAATGCGGCTTTAGCTGCAGCGCGAGAGTTGGGAGGTACCTGGTATCTTAGTCAAGTAAATGATAGAATGACAGCAGAAGAAAGGGACAGATTCCCTCCTGGTCAGCAAGCCATCCCCAGTATGGATCCCCACTGGGACCTTGACTCAGATCATGGGGACTGGAGTCATAAACATCTGTTGACCTGTTTTAGAAGGACTAAGAAGAATTAGAAAAAAGCCCATGAATTATTCAATGATATCCACCATAACTCAGGGAAAGGAAGAAAATCCTTCTGCCTTCCTTGAGCGGCTACGAGAGGCCTTAAGAAAATATACTCCCCTGTCACCCAAATCACTGGAGGGTCAATTGATTCTAAAAGATAAGTTTATTACCCAATCAACTGCAGATATCAGGAGAAAGCTCCAAAAGCAAGCCCTGGGCCCTGAACAAAATCTAGAGACATTATTAAACCTGGCAACCTTCGTGTTCTATAATAGGGACCAAGAGGAACAGGCCCAAAAGGAAAAGCAAGATCAGAGAAAGGCTGCAGCCTTAGTTATGGCCCTCAGACAAACAAATATTGATGGTTCAGAGAGGACAGAAACAGAGCAGGCCAATCACCTGGAAGGGCTTCTTATCAGTGTGGTTTACTAGGACACTTAAAAAAAGATTGTCCAATGAGAAACAAGCTGCCCCCTTGTCCATGTCCACTATGAAGAGGCAATCACTGGAAGGTGCACTGCCCCAGAGGACGAAGGTTCCCTGGGTCAGAAGCCCCCAACCAGATGATCCAACAACAGGACTGAGGGTGCCTGGGGCAAGTGCCAGCTCATGTCATCACCGTCACTGAGCCCCGGGTATGTTTAACTAGTGAGGGCCAGGAAATTGACTTCCTCTTGGACACTGGCGCGGCCTTCTCAGTGTTAATCTCCTGTCCTGGATGACTGTCCTCAAGGTCCATTACCATCTGAGCAATCCTGAGACAGCCTGTAACCAGGAATTTTTCCCACCTTCTCAGTTGTAATTGGGAGACTTTGCTCTTTTCGTATGCATTTCTTGTAGTGTCTGAAAGTCCCACACCCTTATTAGGGAGGGATATATTAGCCAAGGCTGAAGCTATTATCTACATGAATATGGGGAACAAGTTACCCATTTGTTGTCCTCTACTTGAGGAGGGAATCAACCCTCAAGTATGGACATTGGAAGGACAATTTGGAAGGACAAAAAATGCCCACCCAGTCCAAATCAGGTTAAAAGAGCCCACCACTTTTCCTTATCAAAGGCAAGATCCCTTAAGGCCTGAAGCTCATAACAGATTACAGAATATTGTTAAACATTTGAAAGCTCAAGGCTTAGTGAGGAAATGCAGCAGTCCCTGCAACACCCCAATTCTAGGAGTACAAAAACCGAATGGTCAGTGAAGACTAGTGCAAGTTCTTAGACTTGCCATTGAGGCAGTAATTCCACTATATCCAGTTGTACCCAACCCCTATACCCTGCTCTCTCAAATACCAGCAGAAGCAGAATGGTTCACAGTTCTGGACCTCAAGGATGCTTTCTTCTGTATTCCCCTGCACTGTGACTCCCAGTTTCTCTTTGCTTTCAAGGATCCCACAGACCACACTTCCCAACTTACATGGACGGTCTTGCCTCAGGGGTTTAGGGATAGCCCTCATCTGTTTGGTCAGGCTCTGGCCCAAGATCTAGGCCACTTCTCAAGTCCAGGCACTCTGATCCTTCAATATGTGGATGATTTACTTTTAGCTACCAGTTTGGAAGCCTTGTGCCAGAAAGCTACTCTAGATCTCTTGAACTTTCTAGCTAATCAAGGGTACAAGGTGTCTAGGTTGAAGGCCCAGCTTTGCCTACAGCAGGTCAAATATCTAGGCCTAATCTTAGCCAGAGGGACCAGAGCCCTAAGCAAGGAATGAATACAACCTATACTGGCTTATCCTTGCCCTAAGACATTAAAACAGTTGAGGGGGTTCCTTGGAATTACCGGCTTTTGCTGACTATGGATCCCTGGATATAGCGAGATAGCCAGGCCCCTCTATACTCTAATCAAGGAAACCCAGAGGGCAAATACTCATCTAGTTGTATCGGAACCAGAGGCAGTAATCCCTTCGAAACCTTAAAGCAGGCCCTAGTACACGCTCCAGCTTTAAGCCTTCCCATAGGACAGAACTTCTCTTTATACATCACAGAGAGAGCCGGGATAGCTCTTGGAGACCTTACTCAGACTTGTGGGACAACCCCACAACCAGTGGCATACTTAAGTAAGGAAATTGATGTAGTAGCAAAAGGCTGGCCTCACTGTTTAAGAGTAGTTGCAGCAGTGGCCATCTTAGTGTCAGAGGCTATCAAAATAATGCAAGGAAAGGATCTCACTGTCTGGACTACTCATGATGTAAATGGCATACTAGGTGCCAAAGGAAGTTTATGGCTATCAGACAACCACCTACTAAGATACCAGGCACTACTCCTTGAGGGACTGGTGCTTCAAATATGCACTTGCGTGGCCCTCAACACTGCCACTTTTCTCCCAGAGGATGGGGAACCAATTGAGCATGACTGCCAACAAATTATAGTCCAGACTTACGCCACCCGAGATGATCTCTTGGAAGTCCCCTTAACTAATCCTGACCTTAATCTATATACCGATGGAAGTTCAGTTGTGGAGAATGGGATACGAAGGGCAGGTTATGCAATAGTTAGTGATGTAACTATACTTGAAAGTAAGCCTCTTGTCCCAGGGACAAGTGCCCAGTTAGCAGAACTAGTGGCACTTACCCGAGCCTTAGAACTGGGAAAGGGAAAAATAATAAATGTGTATACAGATAGCAAGTATGCTTATCTAATCCTACATGCCCATGCTGCAATATGGAAAGAATGGGAGTTCTTAACCTCTGGGAACCCCCACGGATGCCACAGGGAAGTTATGGAGTTATTGCACATGGTGCAGGAAACAAAAGAGGTGGGAGTCTTACACTACCAAAGCCATCAGAATGGGAAGGAGAGGGGAGAACAGCAGCGTAAGCAGCTGGCAGAGGTAGGGAAAGACCAGCAAGAAGGAAAGAGAGAAAGAGAAAGTCAGAGAAAGAGATAGAGAGAGGAAGAGACAAAGAAGAAGTCAGAGAGAAAGAGGGACAGACACAGAAAGTTAGAGAGTTAAAAAGAGAGGAAGAGACAAAGAAGAAGTCAAAGAGAGAGACGGTATTAAAGAAAAAACAGTGTACCCTATTCCTTTAAAAGCCAGGGTAAATGTCTACCCACTCCGCCTAGGCATATTCTACTTATGTGGATCTTCAACCCATATCTGTCTCTCAGACAGTTTGCAAGAAATAATGAAATCTATTCTTACTTTACAATCCCAAATAGACTCTTTGGCAGTAGTGACTCTCCAAAACTGCCGAGGCCTAGACCTCACTGCTGAGAAAAGAGGACTCCTCACCTTTTCAGGGGAAGAGTGTTATTTTTACACTAACTAGTTGGGGATAGTATGAGATGCCACCTGGTGTTTACAGGAAAAGGCTTCTGAAATCAGACAATGCCTTTCAAATTCTTATATCAACCTCTGGAGTTGGGCAACATGGCTTCTCCCCTTTCTAGGTCCTGTGGCAGCCATCTTGCTGTTACTTGCCTTTGGGCCCTGTATTTTTAACCTTCTTGTCAAATTTGTTTCGTCTAGAATCAAGGCCGTCAAGCTACAGATGGCCTTACACATGGAACCCAAAATGAGTTCAACCAACAAGTTCTACTGAGAACCCCTGGACCGACCTGCTGGCACTTCCCCTGGCCTAGAGAGTTCCCCTGTGAGGGACACTACAACTTCAGGGCCCCTTCTTCACCCCTATCCAGCAGGAAGTAGCTAGAGCAGTCATTGGCCAAATTCCCAACAGCAGTTGGGGTGTCCTGTTTAGAGGGGGGATTGAGAGGTGTTAGCCTGCTGGCAGTCCTCACAGCCCTCACTCACTCTCGGCACCTCCTCTGCTTGGGATCCCACTTTGGTGGCACTTGAGGAGCCCTTCAGCCCACGCTGCACTGTGGGAACCCCTTTCTGGGCTGGCCAAGGCTGGAGCCCACTCCCTCAGCTTGCAGGGAGGTGTGGAGGGGGAGGCGTGAGTGGGAACTGGGGCTGCATGTGGCACTTGCAGGCCAGCTGGAATTCCAGGTGAGCGTGGGCTTGGTGGGCCCTGCACTCAGAGCAGCCGGCTGGCCCTGCCGGCCCCGGGCAATGAGGGACATAGCATCTGGGCTAGCGGCTGCGGAGGGTGTACTGGGTCCCCCAGCAGTGCCAGCCCACCGGTGCTGTGCTCGATTTCTCACCAGGCCTCAGCTGCCTTCCTCTGGGGCAGGGCTCTGGACTTGCAGCCCACCATGCCTGAGCCTCCTATCCCCTCCATGGGCTCCTGTGCGGCCCGAGCCTCCCCAACGAGTGCCAGCCCTGCTCCACGGCGCCCAGTCCCATCGACCACCCAAAGGCTGAGGAGTGCAGGTGCATGGCACGGGACTGGCAGGCAGCTCCACCTGCAGCCCCGGTGCTGGATCAACTGGGTGAAGCCATCTGGGCTCCTGAGTCTGGTGGGGCCTCGGAGAACCTTTATGTCTAGCTCAGGGATTGTAAATACACCAGTTGGCACTCTATCTGTAGCTCAAGGTTTGTAAACACACCAATCAGCGCCCTGTGTCTAGCTCAGGGTTTGTGAGTGCACCAATCGACGCTCTCTATCTAGCTACTCTGGTGGGGCCTTGGGGAACCTTTATCTCGACACTCTGTATCTGTATCTAGCTAATCTGGTGGGGACATGGAGAACCTTTGTGTCTAGCTCAGGGATTGAAAACGCACCAATCAGCGCCCTCTCAGACCACTGGGCTCTACCAATCAGCAGGATGTGGGTGGGGCCAGATAACAGAATAAAAGCAGGCTGCACGAGCCAGCAGTGGCAACCCGCTCGGGTCCCCTTCTACACTGTGGAAGCTTTGTTCTTTTGCTCCTTGCAAAAAATCTTGCTATTGCTCACTCTTTGGGTCCACACTGCTTTTATGAGCTGTAAACCTCACCGCGAAGGTCTGCAGCTTCACTCCTGAAGCCAGCGAGACCACCGGGAGGAATGAACAACTCCGGACACACCGCCTTTAAGAACTGTAACACTCACCGCGAGGGTCCACGGCTTCATTCTTGAAGTCAGGGAGACCAAGAACCCACCAATTCTGGACACACCTGTGAGGTCAGGAGTTTGGGACCAGCCTGGGCAATCTAGTGGGACCCTGTCTTAATATTACATTGTTCCTAAATAATTGTGGTTTTTGCCATTAAAAGTAATTGTGAAAACCAAAACTACTTTTGCACGAACTTAATAAAAATTATGAAATAGCTGGGCGTGGTGGCACATGCCTGTAGTCCCCAGCTACCGAGGAAGCTGAGGCAGAAGGATCACTTGAACCCAGGAATTTGAGGTTGCAGTGAGCTATAATAATGCCTCAACAGAGCAGACTGTCTCTAAAAAAAAAAAAAGAAAAGAAATGAAAACAAAACAAAACAAAACAAAATATGATGAAGATCCAGAAGGATGTGCAGCCCATCTCTTTGCCATTCATTACACTTCTGTCTTCATATCTACTTCCTCCATTTTCCACCGGACAAGGTGAAAAAGCATGACCAGTTAGGCCTCTAAATTTACCTGTTGCCCATCTACTCCTCTAGAGCCACTGTTTGCTGTGTACATGGCTGTGTCCATGGATTGCGGTGTCACAGTTGTGAGACAGATTTCCAGGGAATGCATATCCATAGTCCAGCTTAGCTTACATGCTCAATCTTGTACCAAGCAACGTGGCCAGAAGATGCAAATCTCTTTGGATAGACCCGGAAACTCCTATTTTAACTCTGAGCCTGTATGACCAGATGCCTTGAAGGCCATGCAAATCTGTCCTGCAGGCAAGAGCTTCTCCAATTTCAGCATTTGGTTCAGCATTTGGTGCAAATCACCAGAGAACATGTTTGACACAGTTGACCTGGGGTGGAGACCCAAAGTTATGCATTTTTAACAGGCTTCCAGGTATTAATAACACCCATGATATTAGATCCAGGACTATAATCTGTTTAGCAAAGTACCAAAACTTTAGATCTTTTTGTATATTTGGAGGAAAAGAACAAGTATTGCATGGGTGTTCTTTACATAATTTTAGTCATGACAATTCCAGGAGAATATTACCAGGCTCCTAATATGCCAGTGCTTTATAACAGATCGATCCTCACTCAAAACAATCCCATTTGTATTTATACATATGTTCCATCTGCTCTGTTTCCACTTGTATACATACACAGGTGTGTGTACTTGTAACATGCAATACAGTTTTTGCAATACATTCCCTCTCTTCTCAATGAATCATACCTGAAAGAAAAACAAAAGGGGTGTTTTTAAAATGATTCCAATACAGGCTTTGAGTTTGAAAGAATAAAAGAGAGCCATTGTCTTAGAAATTTTTTGTCAACCTCATTTTATTTCAACTAAAATTTGTAAACCATACTGCATTCACCAGAGAAGGTGTATATGGCTATATGCCTATGTCTGACACTGGTAATTAAAAAGAGAGAAGCCTGTTTGCTTGAGCTTTGATAAATAAAACATATTGATGCTACCTCTTATTATGTCTTCCCCCTATGTTAAATGTTTCTTTTTGAAAATATAGATTATTTGAAGTACAAAGCAAGAAAGCAGGAAGAGAGTGTATGTGCACACACAGAAGAGAGATACAATCAGGCATAAATCCACCATCCTGGGAATATAAACCCCTCTGTATCATATACATATATATATATACATATAAAAATATAGATATAGATAAATCTCTACATATCAATATATAGATATAACTATACATATAGACAGATACATCCATATCTCTATAGATATCTATAGAAGCTACAGATATACATATATATTTCTACAGATATCTACAGATACAGATATCTATAGAGATAGAGGTACAGATATGTATTGAAATACACATAGCAATCTTTATAAACACCTATTATAGAGAGGTAGATGTATGGATCTATATAGATCTATCTATCTATATACCTATTTCTAAATCTCTCTCTCTCTCTGTGTATGTATATATATATATATATATATATATGTGTATATATATATATATATATATGTATATATATGTACATCAACAATTCCAAGGTCCCAATTAACTTGGAGAAAGATTTATGTATATTTGCATACTTTTAAAGGGTAGGGCATGTGCCATTCATCAAAGAGACATATACATTGTAAAAGATTTTCATTTAAAAGTCTTAGGCAAGAACATTGGTGCAGTCACTGTATAATGTCATTTAAAAATGAACTCTATTTAGGGCCTCTTATTTGAAATTCAATATCCTTTGTTTTCTTACAAAAGCAATAGTTAATGGATTTCTCACCATCAATGAATGTTACACAATAAATGATGTGTTATGGGTTTGAAATAACAGGTTTCAGAAGACTAAATCCTTCAAGAAAACTGAAATATCTTGCCCACAAAGAAATCTTTATTCCCATTTATCAGATGCAAAACTTGAATTAAGGGCCTGTACAACCTTCTTACTGGAAAACGTGAACTTAAAGTATTTCCGTCAAGGTTTATTAATCTTATAAAATACTTTCCCTACAAAACCAAGGGGAATAAACAAGATCATCTCTTTATCTCTTCCAACTGTATTTCTGTAACTATGTTTATGTGTAAAAAAAAGTACCTCCATCAACTATTTCAAGAAAATCTCATTTAAGTGACTGAAATTAATTTTAAATTTATGATAACCCAACTTAAACTGGTCTGGAGTTTACTTGATATCATTGAAAGAAAAAGGTTTATTTAGCAACAGAATGAAATTTGCTAAACCTTAAGGGTGCAAACATTTCTAAGGTATATGTCATATTACTCTTATTGAATCCATGTTGTTAATTATCTTACTCTGTAATCTAGACTTTAAATCCTGTTTGGGAATAACACTCCTTAAATGTTTTCTAAAAAATTGAGTATGTTGTTTACCCTAGTTTATGATTTATATATAGATAATATATAACTTAACATTATATATTTTAAATATATAATATCTATATTCATATGTGGATATAGATAGATATAGGTATCAAAACAGATATTATACAAATGTTACTTTTTGTCCTATGATTTCTGATGTATATTAAAACTTATGCTCTGAACTGGCCTCATATAATTGTGAAACCTGTGGCATTTATCATCAATATGTTGCAGAGACTTTTTTCTAAACCATGCCTAAAATAGCAAATAAAAGTAAGAAACACCATAAATAAACTAACAGATACATAAAAATAAAATGAGGAAATTGTTTGGATTAGAAGGGGCATGGGGTAAAGAATTAGGTATGTGAGAGCAAAAACTATGTCTTATTTATCCATCTTTTGTATTTTGCAGAGTTTGTGGAAAAGCAACAGTTCTCACATTCATGCTTAGTGAATAAGTGAATAAAAACAACAATTAGCAAACCACTTAAAAATGACCCACTGTGAATCACAAGGTCAGGAGATCGAGACCATCCTGGCCAACATGGTGAAATCTCCCCTCTACTAAAAATTAGCTGTGTGTGGTGGCGTGCACCTGTAGTTCCAGCTACTCGGGAGGCTGACTCAGGAGAATTGCTTGAATCTGGGAGGTGGAGGTTGCAGTGACCTGAGATCCCACCACTGCACTCCAGCTTGGCAAAACTATAAGACTCCATCTCAAAAAAAAAAAAAAAAAAAGATCCACCACAAGCCTGCTATTTCTGAATTTACCTTATCTTTTTTTTTCTTTCACATTAAGACTATAATTATGATTTCAACTTCCTCATCTGATTCCCAGTCATGAATCTATCTAACATATTCAGCTGAAGGCTGTCAATGTTGTACTGATTCCAAAATGCAATGATACTCTCCCATTTTCCTTCACTCCTAAAATCTCTGAAGACTGTGACACAATTGACTCCTGCCTACTCCTTGAGAAGGTTACAATCCTTCCTTGAATTCCATGCCATGTTTTCTCTTGCCAGAGATCTTTGCAGATGGGACAATGACCCTATTTCAGGTTGCTATCAAGACCCTACCCAGTGTCACTTCCTCCAAAGATTTGCCTTTCCTTTTAAGTGAACGCTTTCTCTATTTTACACCAAAATGTTAAGTATCATATCCACAGGGTTTGTGCTCAGATCTACAGATCCTACTTTAAGATCCCTATTCAGATCAAATCTCCTCTCCCAAAGATCTCAGGTCTGTGGGTCATTGGTATTTCTATGATCCACAAGCATCTCATTTTTCTTTCCATACAAGTGACTTTGGGTGAATGCACTATCACTCATCATATCCTTCCCATAGCACCACATCAAAGCTATCTTTAGTCTTTTCTCATTTTAGGGCTCCATCCCGTTTTTACTCAACTTTTGCAACTATGCATATAGTCAAATGCCATCCATAGTGAAAAAAATTTACTACTACTCTGAAATTTCCCTATTACTGGGTATTTTCACTACTAATATCCTAATTTATGAATGCTGCAGTATCACTGTCCTCTTTTGTTCTAGAATGTCCCGGATCTTAAATTCCCTCAGAGTAAATTCTCTGAAAGGTAATCTCTGCCACCATCCCCCACTAACACCAATAAGGATTCCAGTCAATGAATATTCATAATCCTCTGTAGTCCAGCCTTCTTATTCTCCTCTTTGAATCACAAGAACCTACAAGTAGCTCACCACCATTCCTGTTCTCAGAGTTTAACTTGAGTATTATCTAATAAAACAACCTCATGTAGCAGGGTGGCCCCACATATTCAGGTTCCCAGAACTCACTCGAGACCTGTGAAGTTTGAATCCTGGTGTTTAGCTCTAGAGGCATGGATTTTGTAACCATCTTCCTGGGTCATCCTTGTTGACCTTGAAGTTCCAAAGCCTCTGCTCACTCCATATCTATTTCTCTTCTCTAGATATTATTAACTTGGAATAATTTCCCATATCTACTCTCCAATTCCCCAGAAAAAACTTGTTCTGTGAACCTTTTTCTCATCATCCCAATAGGATGCTTGTTATGCCTTCTGTATGCTTTGGAGATGGCATATATCACACATTGAGTTGCATTTTAATAATTGAAGAGTTTAATTTATTCCCTTATTAGATTTTAAGCATCTTTTATGCTATACATATTTATCTTTCCAATAATGATTAATAACATAGTATATATTATTATTGCACTAACAATTATCCTACTGAAAATATTTGTTTCAATTTGACCATTGTATTAGGAGAGTCAATAGGAATCAGTAGTGCCCTATAGTGTATCTGGCTTCACCAGTATTGTATTTCGAGTTCCACATATTGATCCCATAGGAGCATTAACATAATAGTATGTATGAATGTATGTATGTTCATAATAGTATGAACATAACAGTATGTAGAATGTAGTTGATGAAGACACTGAGATGGAAAATCAGAGAGAACAAGTAATGTGGTATAGATTATGTCTCATGTTTCATCCAGTTCTTTGTACCAAACCCAGCTTATATATCCTTCTAGGAACCCTACTGTTTTATTTCATTTTATGAATCCTCCTAGCTCCCACATCTCACCATACTCCACAATTAGATTTCAAGTGGAAACATGAAGAATGATATCCTTATCTCTTCCAGGAATTCAGAATTTAAACCTCCGAAGCTCTTCTGTCTGTATCGTAATCCTGTGGCTCAGTTGTTAAGAACTGGTGTTTTAGGTTCTATCCTGGTCACTTATGAGGGATTTTGGATTAGGGAAAATTATAAACTCATAATATCTTATATTCACTTTTTCTTATAAGCATGATTCCATTTGTCTAAGATGCTTTCTTAATTTTTTTTTTTTTTGAGGGAGGGTTTCATTCTGCAACACAGGCTGGGGTACAGTGGCATGATCATGGCTCACTGCAGCCTCAACCTCTCTGGCTCAAGTGGCCCAACCTTCAGCCTCTTGAATAGCTGGTACCACAAGCATGCACTACCACTCTTATTTTAATTTTTTGGTAGAAACAGGATCTCACTACATTGCCCAGGGTGATATCGAACTCCTGGGCTCTAGTGTTCCCCCTGCCTCAGCCTCCCAAAGTGCAGAGATTCCAGGCATGATCCACTGCTCCTGGCCTTTTTTTTTTTTTTAAGAAATTAATTAATTAATTTTAAAAAGTCTTAGTGAAGTAATTCAGACAGAAGTGACTTGTCTGCTCTCTCCCAGGTCACATGTCTCAGGGAAGAGATCTGCTACCCAACCAATGCACCCACAAACTAAGCCAAGCATTCAGATTTTGCCCAAAATCTCCCTCCCAATCTCACTTTATCATGCTGCCTTAAAGTATTTAGAGTTGATGTCTCCCCACAGCAATCTCCACTCCCTTCCCTTCCCCTCTCCCCTCCCCTCATCTCCCCTGCCCTCCACTCCCCTCCACTTCTTTTCTGTCCCTTCTTTTTCTCCTTTTCTCTTTCTCTCTCTGTCTCTCTCATTCAGGACTTGATTTGTCACAGCCATTCTTGCAACAACCTTACAAACATTTTCTTTGCTTTCCACATTGGCCCTCTTCAACTAGTTCTCCATGTTGCCATCACAGTGATTGTCCTAAAACATAAATCTGATTATTTCTTCTTCCCTCACTGCAGAAAATGTGTTATTGGCTTTCCCACTGCCTACTGGATAAATTCCACCTTTTCAGCATGACATTTAAAACTCTTCACAATTAGGTCTCTAATCCTTTCCTCACTACCTTCTTTTCAAATTCAATGTCCTGCCATGCCAAACCCTCCCTATTTCTAGATCTCCACACATACAGTATTGCTGCGATGTCTTTAGCCATGGCTTCTTTTTCAACTTCTTCAACCAATCAGTGTCGATGTACCATTCCTTCCCTACTCTGAATGTTCTTCCTTTGCAAACCCTTGGTTAATTATTTTAACCTCTATGGGTCCCTATTAATTTATATGTATTCCTTGTACACACCTTCCTGTAATCACATTTTTTTCTCATGCTTTTCATTATCTTGTCTACTATAATGTATGCTTTCTCAAAAATAAATGGATAAGTCTCACTCACAGTTACATGTCTGTGCTTAGGACTGTGTCAGTGCTAAAAAAAAAAAAACCTGAACTTATGAATAAGTCAATGAATTAATACATTCTTGGCAAAGTCCATGACTTTGTGGCCTATTATAAATTAGTGTGTTCAAGTTGAGGTTCTGGTTTAGTTTAGGACATAGATATCTATATATAGTCCATATATCTACATATATATGTCTACATCCATGTATATCACTGATTTGGGGGATAAGCTGTATTTATAAACAATACTATCATGTTAATGGGTCTTCAATATCTACACAATAATGGAAAAAAGTATATGTATATTTCTAAATATCTAATGGGAACACACACACATATATGTATGTATGTATATACATTTTTCTATTATTGGCTATAGATATCTTTTAATAGATAAGTGTATATCTATGTACCAATCTTGTTGGCAAAGGATGCTTTCATGCATATTATCTCATTTAGTCCCCACAAGGAAAAGCAACCCACAGGAAAGGTAATAATAATGTCAGCTCAACAGAGTCACAGAACATAACTGACTTTATGACAAGGCAAAATTTGTGAGGATAGAGTCTTAACATGAAACCAGGTCCCCAGATTCATGTCCATCATCTTCCCCATTATTGCTCATGTTGTCCAAAATCCTTCGCATCATCATGGAAGGCTTCATGCTTAGGTTTACTTCCTAAAGCAGAAGCAATTAGGAGAATGTCCTATGTGTTGTGGACATTATCTTTTTTCCTTCCATAAATGAATTAATGGGCAATGAAATAATTTTAAGAAAAGCTAACTTTTATAGCCAGGTAGAATAAAAGTAATCACCATGAAATATTGTGAAGATAAGCAGGCCCCACACACTAGCTCAGCTAATCAATATGACAATATTACATGGAGATTATCTGTTCCATTTTACAGATGCAGAAATGGAGGCGAATATTAAAATTCATTCCTAAGGTCACATGCAACTTAAACCCAAGCAATCTCATTTTAGAATCTGTGTTCATTGCCACAACATTCTATGATGTACTCTGATCTTTGCATTGCCAATTTAAATCCAACTTTCTTGAAGCCAACTTTAAATACTGGGAACTTTAAGCATTGTCAATTTCAAGCCAACTTTCTCCAACCCAATTTTAAATACAGGGGTCACACCCTCCTCCTCGCCCCCTGCAACTTGAAACTCCCTGGGAAAGATAACCTCCTGGACCTGGGAAATGAGGAGTATTTAGAAACAACTGCCTCTTGGTAAGCACACCTCCTATATTTTATCCAAATCATGAAATTATAACAATAGAAGTAAACAAAAAGCCTTCATTCATCCTCTTTCAACCATAACCTCGGCATAAAAAGCTCCTGTACTTTACAGAGCTGTATTCCAATTTTCGCTGCTCTTAAAATTTTTTTTAATATCATTGCTTCCCAATTGACTCACAATAACGCAGACATAGGGACTGCTGGAGACTGTGACCTTAAACAGTTAAAGATGTCTGCATATACGACATCATGTTTGGTGTGGAGAGTACCTAGAGATTCCTAAAAAAGCAAAGAGGAAGAAGGTTTGCTGTGCGCATCTGGGTACCCTGCTCTATCTCCAGGGTTCCCAGGATCTCTCTGTTACAGCTGGTTTGCACTGGGATTAGTTGCTCTTTGCATGAGGTTGTAGCTGTGGACGTGGGTTTTGTAGCGATTGGGACGACTCTGGAGATCTATTGGCTGCTGGGTTTGTAAATTTCATTCATTTTGGTCCAATGGCAGAAGGAGAGCGCCGGAAGCAGAAGGACCTCTCTCCCCTAGCTCTCTTTTTCTTGCAGAGACATCTTTCTCCCATCTCTGTCTGTTAGTACAGAGCTCTTATTCAGCCACTAGCTCGGCCTTTCCTGCTTCAATTGTAATGCTTGTTCTGCCCGGGGACACACTATTGACAGCAGAAACAATGAATTTCCTCCAAACCCGGCAATGTTGGTGGCTCTTGCATTCCTCTGGATGAGCGAATCTAGTTGGGGGGTTCCCGAAGGGGAAGGCGCCTGGGCTTTCAATACATCCTCCTGAATCATACTGCGTTTCAGGTTCCTTAGAAAAATTTGGATGTGTAAAAAGAACTCTTAACGGCGATGCAGGTCTTCCACAGCTAAGGTAGGTGCAGTTTTAAGACGTGTCTTTCGCATATTATTATCCTTATTTTAAAAAGCCGTTTAAACAATTTGACTTGCAGTGGCTCTCCAGCAAAGGAGGGAAAGCCTCACTGGCGATATTTGAGCTTCATTTCATCTAATATTTATTTATTTTTTCCTTTTATTATTATTATTATTGGACAATTTGGGCTGGACTCTCTCCCATCTGTCTCGCTCCATTTCTTTGGTGTGGATGGGAATGTGGACATCGATGTATGGCTTTTACATGCAATCTCTCCACAGGAACATTTGGTTTTATTTTCACTTAAAAATAAAAATGCAGACCACCAATGTTGTTTGGAAGCATTTTGCTGCAATCAGCTGTTTGAACAGCTCTGGGGCCATGTGCGGTGTGTTTAAAAAGTAGCGCTGCCTTCCATACAAATTAAAGGAAGACTGTGGCGGGGAAAGGAGGGGAAAAATATATATATATATACACACAGACATATATATGCGTATGTGTGAGTTTGTGAGTGTACACATACACACACACATATATATATGTACACACACACACATACATGCAGTACAGGGGAAAAGGAGGGAAAAGGCCAGGGCTGGAGATGGCGAAAGCAGGAGGACTTCTGCAAACTGTGAGCATGGAAGGCTTTTCTTCTCTTTTCTCCCCACTCCAAAGCCCTCGTCTTCTTTAAGAAAACCACCACTGCCTGGGGTGCTTCTTTTGGGAGGCTGGGGTTGGGGGTTGGTGCCATTAACCAGAGAGAAAAGGGGAAATAAAGCTTGGTTGGGGTTGCATTATGAGATTTTTTTTTCCCTTCCTTCATCTCCTGGCCTCGGATAAGATAAGGCTTGGGGGATGCACGAAATAATCCAAGTGATTGATTAGACCTGGCATGGCTTGGTTGGGCTGGAGAAAGATCGGGGCGCGCTGGAAACCCCGCGTGAAGATGAAATGACTGTAGCTCCGTGCTGCTCCTCCAAACTCGGGAGCGGTATCCATGCACCCCTTTCCCGTGTGTGTGGGTTACGACGTGGGTGGGAGTGGTGAGGCAAGCCGCAAAAGTGGGGTAGAGCTGGTGGTTTTGCTTCTTCGGAAGCCTTTGAGTGTGGCCTGGACCTTAGATGGGGGTGCAGGGCGGTTTGCCGCTGCCACCCTCGGCACCATCTCTGAACTGCCCGCTTTTCCGGAGGAGCGGAAAAGTTGGAAGCCGAAAAGACAGGCGCCCGGAGCCCTGGTCTAGGTATCAGGTGATCCGGAGCCCTAGTCGGTGCCCACTAAGAACACCCCTTCTCCCATCGGGGGTTCGGAGGAGTGTTAAGCCTGCGGGTCTGCCAGTCCCTAAGGTAGGGATGGGGGAGGGGTCTGAGGAATCCGTTCCAATAGGCACACCATCCCCACAGCCCTAGAAAAGGCAACCACCACCCGCTCCTTCCTCCCGCACCATCCCATCTCAAGGCTCTCTGCTGACCCGGGCCGATTTCATCTGGTCTCTTCTCCCCCGCTTCCCACCTCCCAATTCCCGCGCAGCTCGGCTCCGTTCCCTCCCACTCCCCTAGGCGGAACTGAAAGCGAAGATCAGCCAAGAGCACAGTCGGAGGCGGCAGAGACGGTGGCGGGTGAGCTAGGGGCTGTGAGACGAAGCAGGGAGAGAGTGAACTTCAGCCCCGTCCCCTCCCCACTGCCACGGCTGGGGCAACCCAACCCGCGCCTGAAGCGGCTTGGCTTGACCTGCGGAAGCGCGGGCCGGGATGGCGTGGGGAGAGGGAGGTAGGTGCCACTGGGCTGCAGATGACGAGTGGGTTGGGGGCTTGCTGTGGGACAAGAGGTTCAGGTTCCGGCCTGCGCCTTCCACTCCGCGGTGGCGCTCTCTGCCTGCGGTTTTCCAGGAGGCCGATCTACCCCAGGGACACTCTCATCCTTCAGGCGGTCTCCTGGACGCCCTTTCCTCCCCTTGCCTCCCAGCCTGACCTGGCTCTTTCGCCCCTCGGAGAACCGGTAGGTTGGGGTCCCTCGGCGGGGGTCTAGTGAGCCGAGTCGCGAGCTTTGCGCCCCCGGTATCTAGGCCCCGTGCCGCGCGCAAATCCGGGCCCAGGCGTACAGTTCTGGAGCCTAGTCGCCGCCAGACACAGGGCCCTTTGTACCCGGAGGAGCGGGAGCGGGAGCGGGGGCGTCAGGGCAACCCTTGCACCCCAGAGGCCTGCCTAGGACCACCCTGGGAACAAATGTCTCGCTCGGAAAACGAGGTGAACCCGGAGGATGTCCTACGCATCATACCCCTCCCCTTCTTGAGAAGGCTTTTTCTTTTTTTCTTTTTTTTTCCCGGTTTCCTTTTCTCTGGCTTCTTCCACACCTTACCGCAGGTGTGGGCCTCTTTTCATGTATGTGCGGCTGCTATCTCGGGGATGCAGGGGAAGGCGGTGTAGGAGGCAGCGTGGAAGGGTACTAGGAGGTGGCGGCGGGATTTTGGGCCTGGTGATGTGCCCGAGCTTGCAGCTAGCTGGGGCACTGGGCCCCCAAGTCACGAATTCAGCCCAGGGCTTGGGCGAGACTGCCCGGAGCAAGGACGGAGGATCCAGATTTACCATTTGGACCCAAATTAAGAAATTTGGGGTGGGGGTTGGGTAGGGGTTTTGAAACTAAGCAGGTGACGTCCTTGCGAGCTGAATCCACAAGGTGGTAGTATGGCTTATATTATTTTTATTTTATTATTTTATTTTATTTTTCTATTGTTCATTTTTTTTGTGTGTGGGGAGTGGGGGATGTTTTTTTCTCTGTGTACTCCAATCTTATGCTTTTTGAAGGCATCCATTGCCCGTAGGGTTTACATAAGACCGCGTTGCATTATATTTTCTTAAAAGTGGGGTGGTGTGCATAAGCTTCCATTTCAGAATCAGTCGCTCCTGTGATGTGAGGGAGGCAAAAGCAAAGAAAAGGAAAAATAAACAAAATAAGAAGTTTAGGGAGACTTCATTATCCCCACGAAGCCGGAATTGCCAGTTTGTGTGGTCGTTCTGCGGGCAACATAGAAGTGCGTGTTTCAGAAATCCTTGGATAGCTTCTTTCTTCTCCAACTAGAAATTAAATGGCCAGGGTGCAAACACCTGACTTTGATGAAAACAAAGTGGCAGAAACTACAAGAGACCTGATTGCTTTCAATGAACGCACTGAGCCTTTTCCTAGAGGATGGCAGAGCTGGGAGAAATCAGATCTCAAAGAAATCTACAGTTTTGTGAGGGCAGATTTGGAGAGTGGAGAATTATTTCATACCTTTAGTTGGCCCTGGTGAAGATGTTAGCAGTAATCCATCAAATCCTTAGCATAGATTTTCCTGTGGAAATGAGCAAAATGTTAAGGGGTTGGGGGATGGCTATATAGGAATTTCATGGAGACCTCTGCAAGGATGTATTTTCTCAGATTAGAAATCCGGTATTTTATTACACAATGCAATGAATGCATTCTACACACACATGCATTCCATATTTCTGTATGTGTGTCTGTGTGTGTGTGTGTGTGTGTGTGTATGTAGTCTTTTTAAAGAGTATCTTTGACATGTAAAAACATAATCAGGGCCATTGTAGGAAGTGGAAAATTACTTCATCAGTTTTAAATCAGTGGATTAAAATCGGAGGCTTGATTTTGTGTGTGTGTGTGTGTGTAACACTAGAATGATAATTGCATATTCATAATAATGTTTGTGCTTGGATACCATTTTAAAGTTGCTTTGATGTTTTCTGCTCTGGTGAAAGAATTTTTCTTTTCTTTGTGTTTTATTTAAATAAACTAATGCTTCATATACAGTAGGCCCTAAAACCAGTAACCTAGCTGATTTTTACCCAAACCTAAGAATATAACAGATACTTGGTAAGGGACTAGTGGCTGCATAAGGTAGATAATTATGTTATCTTGATGCTGTAAAATTTACAAGCAGACTTGAAGGAATTTGAAAGTTCACAGTTTTGGGCCTGGAATGTAGACTAATGGTAAGCATACAGATTTGTTTTTAATTTGTGAATTTGGCTTTTTCATTTTTGTGTGTGTAGTAATTTGTGGAAAGCTTATAGTCTCTCCACAAAGACAGGAGCTTTTGACTGACTCGCCATCAGAGAATTGCTTTCACAAGTGCAGGGGTCTCTTTAAAATCTCTTTGGAATACTGTGCTTTTATTTCTACACCACAAAAAAGGATCTCACAAAAGTAAACATTCAAGTGCATGACCGAATGACCTTTTTTAAACATTCTTTCATTTTAATTGGTACTCCACACTTCAAACCTTTCCTAAAACTTTGAATATTGTCAATAATGCAAGTTGCTGAGCGAATATTGTGAATATTGCATTCAAATGAAGTAGCAATATAAAAATATTTTAAGTCATTTAATGTCCTCCTTCTGAAGACAGGCGTATGTGGTTAAAATATACTTAAATTCCAAATATGGTGAGAGCCGGTCTTAGGATGTGAATGTCAAGTTTAAGCAACACAATTTTAGTTTGTAAACCAGAATGTATTCTTTCTATACTACTTTCTGATTTTTAACAATATGTATTCTATTCCTAAATGGGAAAAATATGTTCAGTTGAGTTCAAATCCATTGCTGTTTTTTGTTTTTGTCTGAGTACTACACTTTTTCAGAGGAGAGTCTTCATCTCCTACTTAATTATGTGAATGGATTTTCAGACAGACTGTGCCTTCTGTATAGCCACCTTTTATTTCTTAAACCCCTGAGCTACAAGTTTTAAATCAAAGATACAGCTTTTGCCCAGTCATTTAGAGAAAGTGAGAATGGAAATTGAAGCCCAGGCCATTGAGGCAATTAGGTCATCTGCTGTGCCCTCTGCTACCATTCAGTCAATGAATATTTTACAGTTTCATCATTTTAATCTAAACAACCTACATTTGGACTTTGAAAGGCTCCACTGTTTTTTGTTAAGTGAATGGCAGTGTAGGAAACCCTTCCTCATTTTTCTTGGGGCAGAGTGGCACACATGAATGAGAAAAAAAGAAGGCGATACCTCCTAGCAGTTTGTCATTGTGACATTCATAGGCTTTGAATAAATGTGTAGATGAAAAGGCCTTCTCTCTGCAGGTGATTACATGAAATAAAAAATAAGTAAATAAAAGGCTCATAAAAACACTACAGGAGTGGAAGGTTGATGGTGGAAAACAGCCTATCTACCTTGGGTTGAGATTTCAAACTTTAGACATTTTGTGTTGAGTTCACATGTCCCTGATGTATGGGGAACACCTCCATATACCACATCTTCCCAAGGCATGCTCATCTTCCCAGAAATGGTACCTGAAGGAGAGCAGGCCTAACCCCAACAATATTTTTAAAAACTCTCTCTATATATGTAACTATATATATAGAGTAAAATCTGTATCTTACTGTATATTATATATATATAGTAATATATATTTTAATAAGGTTTGTATTTATAAAGGAAAGAAGTTTAAATGACTCGCAGTTCAGCATGGCTGGAGAGGCCTCAAGAAACTTACAATTATGGGAAACGGGAAGCAAACACATCCTTCACAGGATGGCAGGAAGGAGATGAATGAGAACCAAGTGATTCATGGAAAGCCCCTTATAAAACGATCAGATCTTGTGAGAACTTACTATCATGAGAATGGCATGGAGGAAACTGCCCCTGTGATTCAATTATCTCCCACCACGTCCCTCCCATGACACATGGGGATTGTGGAGCCGCAATTCAAGATGAGGTTTGGGTGGGGACACAGTCAAATCATATCATGAGGTTTTATTATTTAAGACAGGAAAAGAGTAATCGTCCATACTTTAGACGGGAGATGAAGTACAGTGAACATTCATAGTCCCATTGGTTGAAGAATACATTTCGAAGAGAGAAATGTTAATTTCATTATATTGCTAATGAAATGATCTAGGCTTTCACTGCTCTCTGGAAATGTGGAGAAGTGGCCCAGGATCTTGTTTGGGTTGTTCTATTTAAAATGTACATTACATAAAGAAATCATGATTTGTCAAAGTAACAGAGTGGTATTTTTGGCTTACAATGGGACTTTCTTAGCTCCACCTGTTAATATCGATGATCATTTTGGTTTTAAGAGGCCAGTATCTGATTGGATGATGAAAACCTGGATCTCAAAGCCATCACCCCAGACATGTGATTTTATTAACATCTGTGGGCATGTCTCCTGGCTCCCACATCAACCCTTCATCCAGGCTCATTTTCTCTGTTTTTGTTTGGTTGTTTGTATGCTTTGGGTGGGGAAAGGGGACACATATTTTGCTAAGGGCACCTTTTTCAGTCATGAAACGTAGCCTGTCAATAAGCTGAAAAGGAACTTGAGTTGTTTCAAGTTGCATTAGGTAGTAAGTTTTTGGATCCTTTAAAAAAAAAAAGGACTGAGGTTACTAAAAGTGTTATTGGCACTGATAAAAGAGCCATGGTGACTTGTGGTTTGTTTTCACAAGGTGTGGAAAAGGCCTCCTTGGTTCTTTGATGATGGCTGTAGTGAAGTTGCATGCGGTGCCATTTTCCATGTTTAGTATTTCAACAACACCAATATGTGGCTCTGGAGTATGGGACGGGCAATTCCAAGAACTCAGTGAGGCATGCCATGTGACTCCAATGGTCAGTCAGAGCTGTTCAGCATGGAACTATGGTCCCAAAAGCATGGGGGATGGGGGCAGAAGAAACTCATTGCAACTGAGTGTCTTTAACTTGTTCCAGTCCTCACTACTCTCTGTGAATATAACTCTGTGAGTGGGTTAGGTGAGGAAACTCACAAAAGTAAATGCGTGTTTTCACAAACAAATTTTATCATTGTTAACTGTTTTCCTAAGTGAGACAATATGCCCTCATGCCCTGAAGCTACACTGTAAGAATGGCAGTATGTATGAGCAGGTGTATACACATACATGTGCACATATGCCAACACACTAACTAGGAACTAGTCCTTGCAGAAAATGTTTTTCTCAGCCATTCTAACACACTAGATAAAAGCAAGTATGTGTGTGTGTGTATATATATACACACACATATGTACATACATGTATAAACACATATATGTACATATATATATATATATATATATATCTGAAGGAAAAATATCATTTTTCATTAGTTACTTTCCTTTTTTTATTCCCATCATTCACCAAACCTATGTTATATTAAACAATCCATAACACCTGGCCTGGACAATAGAGTGAGACCCTAACTCCACAAAGAAACAAAAATTAAAAACAAAGTAGCTGGCACTAGGCAAGTACCTGTGGTTCCAACTGAGGTGGGAGGATCACTTGAACATAGGAGTTCATGGCTGCAGTGAGCTATAATTACACCACTGTACTCCAGCCTGAGAGACAGAGCAAGACCCTATCTCTAAAAAATATATATAAATAAAACATAAAAAATAAAAATAGAAAATTTACAATGAAAGGTGTAAAGTTACCTATGATGGGCCTGGGTGTAATCTTCATTTAGGAGTGAATATATTCATTAAAGTGAGACCTAAGTAGTATAAAGTATGTGTTTAGGGACAGGTGCCCATTTTCTCTAGGTCTCCTGGAATATTTTTTTTCTAAATTGAGTTCTGATTCCAAAAAAGGTGTTATTGCCTATGCTTATGGTGAAACTATATGTGTGACAAAATGCTACTCTGTCTTGTCCATCAATATTGTGCAATGTGGTATTCTTTCATGGAGCAATTGACAACTTTTACAGTGATCAAACTGGGCACTCTTTACTAAGGCTAAATTCATAACCCTTTTATCTGACTTTGTAGAAGATTCTCACCTTTATTTCTCTCGGTGCCCAAAGGCTGGCCTGAGAGACTGTTCCCATTGAAGCCTTACAGAAAGCTTGTAGAGCATTGTAACAGCCCAGCTTCAGAAACCCAGCATTGACTTTCAATAAATATGAAGGAGTTTGAAGTCACAAATGTTGAGAACCTCATTATAGTCTCTTTATGAACTTGAGTCCCTCTCTTCCTGCAGACTTCCTTTGAACTCAAATTTAATGTGCACTACTTATTCACCCTTGTACTTATGGAAAAGCATTGACAATCCCAGGTAATAACTAGAGAAGAAGTGAGTGAATGCTAGAGGGTTTCTCATTTAGGTTGTTCACTCACCACTGTGCACAGGCTCTTTAGAAATCTACTTACACATGATGAGACTGTAAGCAGACTTATGTTTCTGAAGCATCAGTATACAGGTGTGCAGAAAGAAATGGGCTAGGTCACTTAACAGCTACGAGTATAACTAAGATGGACAAAATAGTTTTATTTGCAGATTATATCTATAGAGCCTTCATCATCTATATCTATATCTATATATAAAATAGGGTGCATATAAACATACACAGATCATAGATTATTCATTTCAGTTTCTACATACAATATGTAATTTATATACAATTGCATTTATGTGCATTTATATAATAGTATTTGTATACAACTTCTATACTTGAATAAAACTGTCATCTTCAATAGCTGTTTAATATATATTTATTTCTAGATAGTTGTATTTATGTACATTTACATAATTGTATTTATATACAGTTTATATTACTGATGAAAGCCTTTATCACTTGCAAACTTACTTATACAAAATACAATTTATCTAAACATAAAATGTATTATATAAATATAAGTTATATATTAATATATAGCATATACAATAAGTCATAAATATATAATAAAAATGTGTTTTGTATACTTATTTATTATATATTGAGTATAACTCATTTAAATACAATTTTTATATTATATAATGTATTATATATTGTGTAATAAATATAATTTATATATTGCTATTATATATACCTATTGTATATAAGATATAATAAAATCCATCTAAATCTATAATAAAATATGTATATATTTATGTTCTGTATATGTATTTTTCTTGCTTTTTATGTATTAAAAATACATACAAACTATATATGTAGTATACTGCAAACTATATATATAGACATGCATTTTCCAAAAGAAACTGTGTTATAGGTGGTGAGTGAACTTCTAGGCTGATTCACAGGAGCTATGGTTACTATGCGTAGTGGTCCATGGAAACTACAACTTTACTTTCAAGTGGAGCATAAGAGCTATAAATGACTGTAATATGATAGCAAGCACATCATGGCACTCTGTGAATCCTGAGAAATCGACCTTTCGTGTGTTTTGTGAACCAGTCAGGAAAGCTCATTTGAGTGGGAGGATGTGTCAAGCCATGTGTCTCTCCCACCGAGATGGATAGACAACATCTGCTTATAGACTGAGAAACTACCTGAGGTTGTGTGGAAGTCATGACAAATTGGCAATGTCCTCAGTGTGTTCGGGGTGGGAGGTGGTGATGTCCCTGGACCTATGCTTAGCTTTTATCCCTCTGTGGGACCAATTCTGTTGGCAAAATCACTTCTGTGGTCTTGCTCCAGATGAAAAATCAACATGGAAGGCTTAGGGGTTTAGTGCTCTAGTTAATGGCAAGAAAGAAAATCAGTGACTAAGATCAATTTATCCTTTTGTGCAAAACAGCTTTTTTATTGGAGGAGCTAGGTCTTATATAGAGCTAGCTCTTATATAGAGCAGGAGCTAGCTCTTATATAGAGCCACCTAGTATGTTCTTTCATTTGTCATTTTTATTGATCATCTACTATATGCCAGATACAGGCCAGAAAGCAAATTCTGAGCTGGTAATGGAGAGGCAAAATAGGCCATCCCTGTACTCTAAAAAATCCTGCCTATGTGTGGATGTTCACAAGAACGTTGTTAAGATTTTTAGTTCAGGTATGGATTACTTTCTTTCATTTTTGTTGTATACATTACATTTTTTTTCTTTCATCCTCATACCTCTCTCCTTCCCTTCCTTCCTTCTTCCCTTACTTCCCTCCCTCCTTCCTTCTTTTTCTCTATTTTCCTTCCTTTTTTTCTCTCCCTCCTTCCCTCCCTCCATCCTTCTTTCCTTCCTTCCTTCCTTCTTTCCTTCCTTTCTTCTTCCCTCTTTCCTTTATGCTATTTGGATGAGTGATAAAATCTCAAGGGTCCTTAAAATATTAAAGGGAAAATGAAGATAATTCTATTGAAGAACAGATCAAATAGGAAAGAGTAATGAAAAGAAAGCTTCCTGGAATGAGAAATTAGCATGTTCTTTACAATTTAATAGAATTTTTCATATACTATATTTGTATAGCTGGTTAGATTTTAAAACTTTGTCAAACCCTACATTTATAAAACCTTAGTTTTCATTTTAGTAAGTTATATGGATGAATGCACACATAAAGCAGATTACCTTGATTCAACAAAAACATTCAAATATTAGTGATCCTTTTTTTTTAACATATGGTAGTGGAAACAGCTTGATTAATTTATGGCTATTTCCTACATACTTTTTAAAATCAATAAGCAACAGTCAGATATTTCAGCATTTTTAAGGCATGAACAGTACCTTGAATTGTAATATATTTTAGTCTAAAACATCTGGTAACATCACAGGTAATTGCTTCAAACTCTACTGCCGCTCATATAATTTACTTTTTTCATCAATTTAAGGTCTTTTAGAGTCATGAGAGGACCTTTAAAATAGATAACATCACTCATACTATTGAGCTAGGATTGCTTAAAGATGGAGCATAGATTACATTGTCTCAGAGGAAAATATTTTATGAAGATTCTTTTTTTTGTGTGTGTGTTCTTGGATACATGTGCAGAATGTGCAGGTTTGTGATAGAGTTATACATGTGCCATGGTGGTTTGCTGGACCTATCAACCAGCCATCTAGGTTTTAAGCCCCACATGCATTATGTATTTGTCCTAGAGCTTTGCCTCCCCCTTTCTCCCACCCTGCACCAGGCCCCAGTGTGTGAAATTCACCTCCCTGTGTCCCTGTATTCCCATTGTTCAGATTGGACTTATATGAGAACATGTGGTGCTGGTTTTCGGTTCCTCTGTTAGTTTGCTGAGAATGATGGTTTCCAGCTTCATCACGTTCATGGAAAGGACATGAACTCATTCTTTTTCATGGCTGCTTAGTATTCCATGGTGTATTTGTGCCACATTTTTTTCTATCCAGTCTATCACTGATGGTCATTTAGTTTGGTTCCAAGTCTTTGCTATTGTAAACAGTGCTGCAGTAACCATACATGTGTATGCGTCTTTATAGTAGAATGATTTATAATCCTTTAGGTATATACGCAGTAATGGGATGGCTGAGTCATATGGTATTTATGGTTCTAGATCCCTGAGGAATCTCCACACACTCTTCTGCAATGGTTGAACTGATTCATAGCCAACAAACATGTGAAAAAAAGCTCATCATCACTGGTCATTAGAGAAATGCAAATGATTCTTTAAAAAGTATAAGAACTCCCGAATCAGGTATTCTATCTTGAAGAGGCTCCCTGGTCCAATATTTCTGGAAAACCTCATGTATCATTTGCCTCTCTTGAATTTTACCCTGAAGACAGACACATTATGGCCTTAAAGCCTCCTATACTAATGGATTTAGCAGGCATACCAAATAACTTAAGGTTGGTTCTTTGTAATGAATTTTAATCAAATTAACTACCTAACAGTATTCAGAATACTTCCATTGACACAGAGCAGAAAGAAGTGCCAACAGGATATGAAGTATCTTTAAATTACCAAAATAATTTGGAGAAATGAACTTGTTGATTTTTTCTTTATTTTATTTACTTATTCAAAACTTGTTGAGTGCCAAGAAGTGGGATAAAAATACAATGAAATTGTTTATTTTTCCTATATTAACGATAGGCTAATATTATTTTGCACCTCTGGTCTTACTGGTCTTATGTTTGAGAACAAATAAGTTTTATCTGAATATTTTATCTCTCGTGTGTGTGTGTGTGTGTGTGTGTGTGTGTGTGTGTGTTTAATCTCTCATGTCCTGTCAAAAATTAAGAAAAAGAACAGTTTGATTCAGTCTTCACACATCTTTCTTAAACAGTTAAAGGCAAAATCATCAGAGCTACATGGCCCAAATATTAGCAGGTAGGTTCATGTTTGAATTCTCAGAGGGTGATTATGTAGTTCAATTTTAACTCCTTCAACAGACAGACTACTATCGTTGATGAGCAAGGAGACAAAAGTATTTGATAAACATTATGTAGTTAATATTATCCTTGAGGGAGGGGAGAAGGCTGCCTGTCTTAGGTAATGCTTTCGATGGCAGGTTTGTCCTAGGCTTGAGGTAGCAGGCTTGCTCTTTTGGCTGAAGAAGCCCTAACATGCATACCAGTATTGCAAATTTACCCACATGCCAATTGTATGCTGTGGAAAGAAATGAATAATGTAGATCCCATTACAGAGAATGATGTGGAACAGATAGACTTAATGCATCAGAACCAGTGAGCAGTAGACAAGACATTTAGAAAATAACAACAGCAGTGAAAACAAATATAAACAAACCACAAACAAAACCATTACATTTGGGTTTCTGGTTGCCTGTTACCTCAGAGGGTTCTGGTTACAAGCTAAAATGTCTTGACCATTAGGAAGGTCAAGACAAGGCCCTTAATGCTGTGTAAAACAGTAACAAACAGTAAGGGTGACCCAGGGAGAAAGGGTAACAAGTTACATTGAAGTTAAATACCAGGGAGAAAGTGTAGCAGTTACATGGAAATTAAATACCAGTTACCTGTGCAGAGACTGAAAATACAAAGCAGACACAGGAACGGTAGTAGTAGAAGGCCTAGGGCAAGGGATTGGCGGGGCGGGGGTTGGGGGGATGGGGCGGGAATCTGAATTTGATCTGAATTTGTTGCAGCTTGAAATTGCAGCTTGAAACTAGCCAGCCAACTCTAATGAGGGCATTGATATGGGAAAAACACTACCTCAGAAAAAAAATCTGACAACCTAGGTAGAGATCAAATGGTACCATATTCTGAGGATGGAATAATAATTCACACATGGCTTCACATAAAATTTGTGTGACAATGGTTATTTACTATGATTCAGTCTGCCATGACAATTTTACCAGTAAAATAACTTTCTAGGATTTATTTGATATCAGTTAATAAGCCTACCTTAAATGAATAACCAGAATATGACAATTGAAAATTAATGTAAAATTACACAAATAGTTATGTGTCTAGATATTTCACAATCAAATGTATGTGGGCATTTAATCTAGTCAGATCCAAATAATAAAAAATTCTTTCTTTCTAGACCAACATTTATCTTGATATTATACATACATATGTAAATTACAACCACATATTTGCATATGTAAATTACACAGCAATTTACACATAGATACATACATAGCTCACTTTTTGTTGGTGAACACATTTTCCTGAAGGTTTTTTTTTTTTTTTTTTTTTTTTTTTTTGAGATGGAGTCTCGCTCTTTCACCGAGGCTGGAGTGCAGTGGTGCTATCTCGGCTCACTGCAAGCTCCGCCTCCCGGGTTCATGCCATTCTCCTGCCTCAGCCTCCTGAGTAGCTGGGACTACAGGCGCCCACCACCGCGCCCGGCTAATTTTTTTGTATTTTTAGCAGAGACGGGGTTTCACCACGTTAGCCAGGATGGTCTCGATCTCCTGACCTCGTGATCCGCCTGCCTCGGCCTCCCAAAGTGCTGGGATTACAGGCGTGAGCCACCGCACCCAGCCGAAGGTTTTTAAAATAATAATTATTCTACCTGTAATGCCATAGCAGTATTGGTAAAAAGTTCAAATGTGGCTGGGTGGAGTGCCTCATTCCTGTAATTCTAGCATTTTGGAAGGCCAACACAGGAGCATTACTTGAGTCCAGCACTTTGAGAGCAGCCTGGAAAACCCTATATGTACAGAAAATAAAAAAAAAATAAAAAATAGAGTAAGCCAGGTGTGGGTGGTGCATGTCTGTATCCCTGCTACTCAGGAGGCTGAGGTATAAGGATCACTTGAGGAGTTTATCAGTAGTTTGAGGCTGCAGTAGGCTATGACCTCACCACTGCATTGCAACCTGGGCAACAGACTGACACCCTGTCTTTTAAAAAGAATTCAATTGCATCATTTATGTGGACAGATTTGACTGGTGTCATTCTGTTGCTGAATCATTCCAAGGTATGCACTTACCTTTTCTCTCTTGAAACAGCTTATGCAAAAACAAACAACTAAATAGAGAAGCAGTTTGCAAAACTATATTTAAAGGTAAACCATACTCCCTCACCCCCAACTCCACAAAAATAGTTTTATGTAGAGAAACCACAGATGGTGCAGCCCCCAAATCTGGAGCATCCTCAGGTACCTTGGGGTATTCTGGAGTGAAAGACTAAATCTCAGAGGCTTTTGGTCACACTTGGGTAGGCATCCTGATTGGCTAGTGAAGAAACAGCTGTCCCTGCTGTGGTCAGTTTCAGCCTTTCCTGGAAGGGAATTTTCCAGCATTGGGTGTTCCTGTAGATGCTTATAGCAAGTTATGTTCAATGAAGCCAACTGCATCCTGATTTATCTGTTATTCAATCTGTGCTGCATAATAAAAAAGGTCTGCTTTGAAAATGAAATCATGCACTTTGCTTTATTTTGCCCATTTGATATTTCTTCTAATGTTGTAAGCTTCTCATGAATTGGCATAAGCAGATATGTTACAAATTGATCCATCCAGGACATCCTTGCTAGTCTTAGCTCACCATAGCAAGTCAGAATGGAAGACAGTTGCTTCTCCTCCCTTCCTCTCCCCATCCCACCTCACATCTGACATCCTTCTCCTCTGAGGAAAAATAATCCTCTGTTCAAATTTAAAAGCATGGCCTGGTATGATGGCTCATGTCTGTAATCTCAGCACTTTGAGAAGCCAAGGCGAGCAGATCACTGGAGGTCAGGTATTCAGTCAGTGATACACTCTCTATACTAAAAATATGCAAATTAGCCAGGTGTGGTGTCATGCACCTGTAGTCCCATCTACTTGGGAGGCTGAGGCAGGAGACTTGCTTGCACCTGGGAGGTAGAGGTTACAGTGGGCTAATATCATGCCACTGGACTCCAGCCTAGGCAACAGAGTGAGTCTCTGAAAAAAAGAAAAAAATATAGAAAAATGTTCAAGTATTTACTGTCCACATCTTTCAGCTATTTAACACTTCACTGGGATTGTGAAGTGAAATGGAGTGCCATTATTACCTTGTTAGCCACTTTCAATTTGGAAAGGTAAAAATGTCCTTCAATGGCTATTGAACTGCCTGCACTGAATTTAAAGTACAGTTTGTTGGAATATTCGTGATGAAGTTGAAAAATAGAATTACAGATTATTAGGACTTGAATGTACTTGAGGAATCATTTGTATTCCCTCATGTACACAAGGAAATGGAGTCACAGAAAGTTTCAGGGATTTATCCCCATACTTTTAAACACTGAAATGTTCCCAAAATGAAATGAAATACTTCCAATTGTTAACATATCCGCTTATGTCAATTCATGACAAGCTTACAAAATTAGAAGAAACATCAAATGGGCAAAATAATGTGAAGTGCATGATTTCATTTTCAAAACAGACTTTTTTATTATGCAGCAGAGATCGAATAAGAGATAAATCATTTTGATGAAAGGAACAATGAGAGAAAGCAAAGAAAGACATGTCCTGCATTAAAAGCTGCATTTGATGGTAACTCATTTTGTTTTATGAGTTATGATGAATGCATCTTAGCTGTTTCTAACCTCCCTCCCATTCCCTATTTTTATTTGTCAGTTAAAGCACAGCATTTTTCCCTTTTTTTTTGAAGTGTTAATTAATTGCATTTGTTTAATGCATCTTGCTGTGTCTCAAGCATGGTTAACAAGGGATAATGCCTTTTTTCAGGGATGATTCCTTCCTTTCCTTACGGGGCTTTGTCTGTGATGGGAACTTTGTGTTTTATTTATTTATTTTCTTTTTAAGAGACAGGGTCTAATCAGGTTGCACAGGCTGGTCTCAAACTCCTGGGCTCAAGGGATCCTTCTGACTGACCTCTTGAAACATTGGGATTACAGGCGTGAGCCACCGCACTTGGCTCTATCTTTCTGCAAAAACCTAGCAATTCTAATTCTCTCTCCATCTATGTCTAGACCAGGGAGATATAATCAAGAGAAAAGAAACAACTACCTTCATTAGATTAAGAGTCAAAAGGGCCTACAGGCAAAAAGACTCCAGGACCCTCTTGAGTGAGCCTGTGCATTGAAATCTTCAGCTTCATAGAGACACAGAAGTCCAAATAGGAAGTTGGATTTGCCCTATTTTCTTAGCCTCTTCTAGTCTGTGACCGTTTCTTAGTCTTTCCTTGTTTTTCATGACCTTAATAGTTTTTTGGTATTAATATTATGGAGAATGTCCACCACCTGGGGTCTGTCTGATGTTTTAGACAGGGATATGTGTTTTGGGGAGGAAATCTGCAGAGATGAATCAATCATTTATATCACTATGGGCACATGGATGTTTTGGATATGCTTTAGGTTTTAATTCAACACTACACTACTGTGACTTGCTCTACTTTATATTCTTTGTGGCCATGATGAGACACTAAAACATCTATTCACTTGAATAGCAAGTAAATGAGAGGACTCAATGGCAAATGACTGTTATGCTTTAACATATCCAGTTCTTTGTATATTTTTTGACATTTAGGTTATTTTAATGCCTTTGCTCCTCTAAGGTATTTCCTTCTTCTTTTTTTTTTTTTTTTGCTCCACACCCCTCCCTCCTCTAACTTGTTTCCAAATTCTTCCTTGTAAATTGTGCATTCCTCATTCTAGGGGCATTACTTATTTTCTTTTGCTTGCTTCAAAAAACACTCTGCATTGGTCTGTACACATTTTCCCTCTTATATCCTTTCTGTAAGCATTTGTATTCAGTTGAAATCTTATGGAATACTTTACCACAGAAAATTTCTGGTGTATACCAAAAAAGGGAATGAAAATAGAATAATGGATCCCATTTGCCCATCATTTGCTTCAGCAATTATAAATGCATAGCATAATCTTTAGTATTTAACCTCATTTATGTTTCCATTCTTATTATGGCATGATGCAATTTATTTAAAGATAGTTTGGTGAGAACCATTCACTCCCCTGGAAAGGAGGCTGAAGCCCAAAAGTCAAAGTGGTGTGGCTCGGTGGGTCCCATCCCCACTGAGTCCGGCAAGCCAAGATCCACTGGCTTGAAATCTCGCTGCCAGCACAGCAGTCTTAGGTCAACCTGGGACACTCCAGCTTGGTGTGTGTGTGTGTGTGTGTGTGTGGTGGGGGGGCGGGGGGGGCACATCCACCATTGCCAAGGCTTGAGTTGGCAGTTTTACCCCCACAGTTGTAAAGAAAGCCGCCTGGCAGTTCAAACTGGTCAGAGCTCTCCACAGCTCATCAAGGCCACTGTGGCAAGACTGCCCCTCTAGATTCTTCTTCTCTGGTCAGGGCATCTCTAAAAAAAAGGCAGCAGCTCAGTCAGGCACATATAGTTAAAACCCCTATCTCCCTGGGACAGAGCAACTGGGGGAAAGGGCAGCTGTGGGTGCAGCTTCAGCAGACTTAAACGTCCCTCCCTGATGGCTCTGAAGAGAGCAAAGGATCTCCCAGCACAGTGTTCAAGCTCTGCTAAGGGTCAGACTGCCTCCTCAAATGGGTCTCTGAAACTTGTGTATCCTGACTGGGACACACCACCCAGCGGGGGCCAACGGACACCTCATACAGGAGAGCTCTTGCTGGCATCTGGCTGGTGCCCCTCTGGGACAAAACTTTTAGAGGAAGGAGCAGGCAGCAATCTTTGCTGCTCTGCAGCCTCCACTGGTGATACCAAGGCAAACAGGGTGTGGGATGAACCTGGAGCAATCTCCAGCAGAACTGCAGCAGAGGGGCCTGTTAGAATGAGAACTAACAAACAGAAAGGAATAGCACATCCACTCAGAGGCCCCATCTGAAGGTCACCAACATCAAAAAACAAAGGTAGATGAATCCATGAAGATGGAGAGAAACCAGTGTAAAAGGCTGAAAATTCCAAAAACCAGAATGCCTCTCCTCCTCCAAAGGATCACAACTCCTCACAAGCAAGGGAACAAAACTGGATGGAGAATGAGTTTGATGAATTGACAGAAGTGGGCTTCAGAACGTGGGTAATAGCAAATTCCTCTGAGCTAAAGAAGCATGTTCTAACCCAATGCCAGGAAGCTAAGAACCTTGAAGAAAGGTTAGATGAATTTCTAACTAGAATAACCAGATTAGAGAAGAACATAAATGACCTGATGGAGCTGAAAAACACAGCATGAGAACTTCATGAAGCTTACACAAATATCAATAGCTGAATTGATCAAGTGGAAGAAAGGATATCAGAGACTGAAGATCAACTCAATGAAATAAAGCAAGAAGATAAGATTAGAGAAAAAAGAATGAAAAGCAACGAACAAAGCCTCCAAGAAATGTGGGACTTTGTGAAAAGACCAAATTTAAGTTGAAGTGGTGTACCTGAAAGTGACGGGGAGAATGGAACCAAGTTGAAAAACACTCTTCAGGATGTTATCAAGGAGAACTTCCCCAACCTAGCAAGGCAAGCCAACATTAAAATTCAGGATATACAGACAACACCACAAAGATACTTCTCCAGAAGAGCAACACCAAGATACATAATCATCAGATTCACAAAGGTTGAAATGAAGGAAAAAATGTTATGGGCAGCCAGAGAGAAAGGTCATGTTACCCACAAAGGGAAGCCTGTAAGGCTAATAGCACATCTCTCTTCAGAAACACTGCAAGCCAGAAGAGAGTGGGGGCCAGTATTCAACATTCTTAAAGAAAAGAATTTTCAACCCAGAATTTCATATCTAGCCAAACTAAGCTTCATAAGGGAAGGAGAAATACAATCCTTTACAGACAAGCAAATGCTGAGAGATTTTGTCACTATCAGGCCTGCGTTACTGGTGCTCCTGAAGGAATCAGTAAATATGGAAAGAACAACTGGTACCAGTCACTGCAAAAACATATCAAATTGTAAAGACCATTGACACTATGAAGAAACTGCATCAAATAATGTGCAAAATAACCAGCTAGCATCATAATAACAGGATCAAATTCATACATAACAATATTAACCTTAAATGTAAATGGGCTAAAAGCTCCAATCAAAAGGCACAGACTGGCAAATAGGCTAAAGCGTTAACACTCATTGGTGAGCTCTATTCAGGAGACTCATCTCATGCAAAGACATACATAGGCCCAAAGTAAAGGGATGGAGGAATATTTACCAAGCAAATGGAAAGCAAAATAAAAAAGCAGGGGTTGCAATCCTAGTCTCTGATAAAACTCACTTTAAATCAACAAAGATCTAGAGACTAGGACATTACATAATGGTAAAGGGATCAATGCAAGAAGAAGAGCTAACTATCCTAAATACATATGCCCCTAGTACAGGAGCACACAGATTCATAAAACAAGTTCTTAGAGACCTACAATGAGACTTAGAATGCCACACAGTAATAGTGGGAGACTTTAACACCCCACTGTCAATATTAGACTGAACAATGAGACAGAAAATTAGCAAGGATATTCAGGACTTGAACTCCGCTCTGGATCAAGTTAGATCAAGTGGACCTAACAGACATCTATAGAAGTCTACATCTCAAATCAACAGAATATACATTCCTCTCAGCACTTCATCTCAATTCTTCTAAAATTGACCACATAATTGGAAGCAAAGCACTCCTCAGCAAATGCAAATGAATGGAAGTCATAACAAACAGTCTCTCAGACTGCAGTGCAATCAAATTAGAACTCAGGATTATAAATCATTCTACTATAAAGACACATGCACACATATATGTATTGCGGCACTATTCACAATAGCACAGGCTTGGAACCAACCCAAATGCCCATCAGTGATAGACTAGATAAAGAAAATGTGGCACATGTACACCATAGAATACTACACAGCCATAAAAAGGATGAGTTCATGTCCTTTGCAGGGACTTGGGTGAAGCCGGAAGCCATCATTCTTAGCAAACTAACAAAGGGACAGAAAACCAAACACCACATGTTCCCACTCATAAGTGCAAGTTGAACAATGAGAACACATGGACACAGGGAGGGGAACATCACATACCAGGGCCTGTGGTGGGGGTGGGGGGCAAGGATACTATTAAGAGAAATACCTCATCTAGATGACTAGATGACGAGCTAATGGATGCAGCAAACCACTATGTCATGTATATACCTATGTAACAAACCTGCACGTTCTGCATATGTACCCCAGAATGTAGAGTATACATAAAAAAGATCTTTCAGTACATTGCTGTAAAATATAGGAACCATTTTATTTTATTTAGCTGCAGAATCTTTTCCATGCCTAAAATTATCAACAATAATTCCTCTATGTCACCAACTATCAAATTATAAATGTCAAAATAATATTTTCATAGTTTGCTAACTCACACAAGGTCTATGCACTACAATCAGTTGATTTGTCTTTTACATTTCTTTTAACTGATATAGATTTCTTATCCTTTTATGCACATTCTTGTTGGAAAAAACTGCTCTTTTTACTCTACATGAAAATGGGTTTTAGAGTCGGAAAATTTAGCTGTCAAGTTATTTTAGAAGGAACGTGAGTATTTTCCATAATGCTCAGTCTTAGGTTACCAACTCCTTAGGAGCAAATGCTGTGTGACTTGGTAGTGATCTACCCAGAAGGAATGCTGCTGGGTAAATTTGGCCAGCTTGTGTGACAGCTCTTTGGACTCACTATGTCTCAGTTTCATCTACTTTTAACAGTGTTTTATTTTGAAGATAGTTTCTGACTCTGTCACCCATGCTGGAGTGCAGTGATGCAATCATAGCTCGATGCAGCCTTGAACTTCTGGGCTCTAGAAGTCTTCCCACATCAGCCTCATATTATCTAGTACCTGGCAGAGATACAGATCTGATGAGAAACAAAGATAAAGGGGTGTCAGAAGGTAGCTTTTGCTGCATCATCAGACACGCACACATGCGCACACACACGTGCATGCATACACACATGTGTACGCACACACAATCAACTGCAATTTTTTCCTCTTTACCAACCCACAGTTAGCTGAAATTATCATTAGGGTATTTCTAGGTTATATGTGCACACACAACCTACTTAAGTTCTGAGCTCAATATTCTGTTTTATTCTTTCCTGTTCAGAAGCCAGCATCCATAGCTCTGGGTCTCATTATTTGCTTTTTGTCGTCCAGTTGTGCTCTACTGATTTAAAAGTTATCTTTACATTTTCAGTTTCCCAGTCAATTCAAGCCAAAGCATATTTATTGGGCATCTACCATGTGCTATGGACTGTGAGAGACTTAAAGATTAATAACAACAACCATAAAAACTCATTGATATGCTGGGCATTATTTCTCTCCCCATGGCCTCCAAATGCTTGGCCCATAATTCAAAACACTACAGCAACTTGAAGGCAGCAGATTGTTTCTCATTTCAGGGATCCACAGGTTTATGCCTTCTCAAACAAAGGTCTGGTAATTCCAGGCTGCATGCAGCTATTCTTCCTTTAAAGACTGAGAAACCATGCATACAACATCTTTTCTTCCTTCTTCGTTTATACAATTGATAATTACATATTGACATCTTACTTTGAGAAAGTCGTCATACTGGATACCGTCAGTCATAGAAACAGAGATAAGATTCAACCTCTGATCCCAAGGAAGGCAGACTCTTAGTAAGGAAGTCAAAACAATAAATGAAAATGCCCATACTGCAAGGCATGCACATCATACATTCCATAAGTGGGTAAAAACATGCCTTGGCAGCACAGAATCTTGCTTTCCATTTGTGTCATTGAGGACAGTGCATTAGTTATCTATTGCTGCATAAAAAATTCCTCTAAACTTTAGGTTAAAACCGCAAACATTTTTTTTTCCTCGTGCAATTTTCTTTTTTTTTTTTTTATTATACTTTAAGTTTTAGGGTACATTTGCACATTGTGCAGGTTAGTTACATATGTATACATGTGCCATGCTGGTGCACTGCACCCACTAACTCCTCATCTAGCATTAGGTATATCTCCCGATGCTATCCCTCCCCCTTCCCCCCACCCCACAACAGTCCCCAGAGTGTGATATTCCCCTTCCTGTGTACATGTGATCTCACTGTTCAATTCCCACCTATGAGTGAGAATATGCGGTGTTTGGTTTTTTGTTCTTGCGATAGTTTACTGAGAATGATGATTTCCAATTTCATCCATGTCGCTACAAAGGACATGAACTCATCGTTTTTTATGGCTGCATAGTATTCCATGGTGTATATGTGCCACAGTTTCTTAATCCAGTCTATCATTGTTGGACATTTGGGTTGGTTCCAAGTCTTTGCTATTGTGAATAATGCCACAATAAACATACCTGTGCATGTGTCTTTATAGCAGCATGATTTATAGTCCTTTGGGTATATACCCAGTAATGAGATGGCTGGGTCGAATGGTATTTCCAGTTCTAGATCCCTGAGGAATCACCACACTGACTTCCACAATGGTTGAACTAGTTTACAGTCCCACCAACAGTGTAAAAGTGTTCCTATTTCTCCACATCCTCTCCAGCACCTGTTGTTTCCTGACTTTTTAATGATTGCCATTCTATCTGGTGTGAGATGTTATCTCATTGTGGTTTTGATTTGCATTTCTCTGATGGCCAGTGATGATGAGCATTTTTTCATGTGTTTTTTGGCTGCATAAATGTCTTCTTTTGAGAAGTGTCTGTTCGTGTCCTTCGCCCACTTTTTGATGGGGTTGTTTGTTTTTTTCTTGTCAATTTGTTTGAGTTCATTGTAGATTCGGATATTAGCCCTTTGTCAGATGAGTAGGTTGCAAAAATTTTCTCCCATTTTGTAGGTTGCCTGTTCACTCTGATGGTAGTTTCTTTGGCTGTGCAGAAGTTCTTTCGTTTAATTAGATCCCATTTGTCAATTTTGGCTTTTGTTCCCATTGTTTTCAGTGTTTTAGACATGAAGTCCTTGAGCCTATGTACTGAATGGTATGGCCTAGGATTTCTTCTAGGGTTTTTATGGTTTTAGGTCTAACATTTAGGTCTTTAATCCATCTTGAATTAATTTTTGTATAAGGTATAAGGAAGGGATCTAATTTCAGCTTTCTACATATGGCTAGCCAGTTTTCCCAGCACCATTTATTAAATAGGGAATCCTTTCCCCTTTTCTTGTGTTTGTCAGGTTTGTCAAAGATCAGATAGTTGTATATATGCGGCATTATTTCTGACGGCTCTGTTCTGTTCCATTGGTTTATATCTCTGTTTTGGTACCAGTACCATGCTGTTTTGGTTACTGTAGCCTTGTAGTATAGTTTGAAGTCAGGTAGCATGATGTCTGCAGCTTTGTTCTTTTGGCTTAGGATTGACTAGGCAATGCAGGGTCTTTTTTGGTTCCATATGAACTTTAAAGTAGTTTTTTCCAACTCTGTGAAGAAAGTCATTGGTAGCTTGATGGGGATGGCATTGAATCTATAAATTACCTTGGACAGTATGGCCATTTTCACGATATTGATTCTTCCTACCCATGAGCATGGAATGTTCTTCCATTTGTTTATATCCTCTTTTATTTCATTGAGCAGTGGTTTGTAGTTCTCCTTGAAGAGGTCATTCACATCCCTTGTAAGTTGGATTCCTAGGTATTTTATTCTCTTTGAAGCTATTGTGAATGGGAGTTCATTCATGATTTGGCTCTCTGTTTGTCTGTTATTGGTATAAGAATGCTTTTGATTTTTGCACAGTGATTTTGTATCCTGAGACATTGCTGAAGTTGCCTATGAGTTTAAGGAGATTTTGGGCTGAGGATGATGGCGTTTTCTAGATATACAATCATGTCATCTGCAAACAGGAACAATTTGACTTCCTCTTTTCCTAATCGGATACCTTTTATTTCCTTCTCCTGCCTAATTGCCCTGGCCAGGACTTCCAACACTATGTTCAGTAGGAGTGATGAGAGAGGGCATCCCAGTCTTGTGCCAGTTTCCAAAGGGAATGCTTCCAGTTTTTGCCCATTCAGTATGATATTGGCTGTGGGTTTGTCATAGATATCTCTTATTATTTTGAGATAGGTCCCATCAACACCTAATTTATTGAGAGTTTTTAGCGTGAAGAGTTGTTGAATTTTGTCAAAGGCTTTTTCTGCATCTATTGAGATAATCGTGTGGTTTTTGTCTTTGGCTTTAAAACTGCAAACATTTATTATCTCATACATTTCTGTTCTTCAGGGATTCAGGAGCAATGTAGCTGGCCAGTTCTAGCTCAGGATCTCTCATCATTTTGTAATGAAATTGTAGACAGGGCTTGCAGTTTTATGATGGTGTGAGAGAATCTCACTTATGTGTGCTGGGCAGGAGGCTTCAGTTCTTGGCCACATTGGCTTCTCCCTAGGGCTATACATGAGACCTTAACAGCTGGCTTTTCTGAAAGTGAGGAGAGAAAGAAGGAGGCTAAAAGGGAGTCTAATATGAAAGCCACACACTCTTAGAACTTGATCTTGGAGGTGACACCTTGTCGCTTTTGCACTAGATTTGGAGGTGAAACCTTGTAACCCCAGAAGGTGTTAATTGTAGGTGTCAATTGGCCATCTTGGAAGCTAGACTATCACAGAAGCTCTTCCAAAGGAGGTAGCTTAGGAGCTGCATAGAATTTTGTCATAAGGACAAAGGAGAAACTGTGAACAAACACATAGGTACAGCAAGTGTTGAGGATGGGCTGTGTTGTGTTCAGTGTTATCTTAAGGGTTGAGCTTCTGTGATGAAATTGAAATCAGATCATTTCAGGTGGTGCAACTTGCTGGTAAGCCATGGATGTTATTCTGTAGGCAATGGATGAATCATAGCAGGACTTTGCAGAATTATTAAAGAATATCAGTTTCATGATAGTAGAGGTTGGGATAGAATACAGAAGATTAGTGGTGCGAGTTGAGATCTACTTATAGATTCAACTGGGTTAGAGATTGAGGAAATGGGGAAGGAATGAGGCTCTGCAGAGGCATTGGAAGGATGATACTGATAGAAATTTGCAAACCGTTAGAGGCCAAGACAAGAAATAACCATCCAAAGTTGCAGTTATAGGTAAAACTGTCCAATTAAGAAAAGAGAAAGAGTTCAGAGGTGGGTGAAGGTCAAGATTATTAGATGCTTTGGAGATCCTTGGGACTGACGGATATGTTATTTATTATTTTCTTGGTGATTATAAGGTAATTAATAGAAATTTAGAGATTATTGTTTTTCCATATTTTCTTGTTTGGAGGCATTTTTTTTAACCTGAAATTGGCATTTCCTTTTTTACCTGAAACATATCCATTATCCAGACAGTTTCAGTGAGGCACGGTGGCCAAAGTAGGAGGATGACTTGAGTTCAGGAGTTGGAGACCAGCCTGGGCAACATGGCAAAATGCATCTCTACAAAAAATATAAAAATTACCCAGGCATGACAGTGTACACCTGTAGTTCCAGCTGTGTGGTAGGCTGAGATTGGAGGATCAGTTGAGCCTGGAATGCAGAGGCTGCAGTGATCCCAGATCATGCTATTACACTCCAGCTTGGGTGACAGAGCAAGACCCTGTGTCAAAACAGAACAAAACAAACAACACACAAAACAAAACACAAAACACAAAAACAAAAACAATAAAACTTTCTTAACCATTCTAACCTAATTATAATTCTAAGACCTATCTGTGTCCTGACCTCAAGAGCAGGTACAATTATTGAAAAACATTTCTTTAATTATTCCCAGTTCTCTTACACCTTTTTTTTTCTCACAATAGGCAGCATCCCCTCAGTTGTCCAGCTGACCACTGGAAGGGCTGATACCTCAGGAAACACATACCCTGCTAGGAGATTCTCCATAGGCCCTGACTTGTTTATTGCCCTGCTTTAGGTAGCTTTCTCCTTCCTCACATTCTGTTCTCCTAATTTTCTTCCACTGCCTAATAATTGAACTGACTTTTCTGACTGTCTGTTCCTCCTGCCTTTGCAGTTATTGTAACTCCATAAATGCCACCCTTGAGTCACTTCTCTTCCTTCCTTCCTACTGTCTCTCTTACTGGCCTATGTAGCCTTGCATCTACTCATGGTTTGATGATAATTTCCTTTGGAGAGACCCCAGGGGCCTATACGTTCTGCCCTCACTTCCCCTCCAAGTTTCTTCCTGCCCTTATAGCTCCCCTTTGAACAACATTGCCTATATGTTCTGCCCAAAACTCAATTCAGTGTTCCCAAAATTGTCTCGTCATCTTCCCAAGCTTACCCGGCTCCCTGCTCATAGCATCTCCTCTCAGTCCCTTATCTTGGGTTTGAATCCCCTCTCTTTCCCATCCCCAATGTAAATCACTTTCAGAAATAACAGTTACTTCCATTTCTTCTTCTGTGATACATCTCTAATTTCCTTGGTCATATGCTCCCTTTTTCTGTTACTATTTTAATCATATCCTGTCTATGACTTGTACACTCTCTAATCTATTTTTAAAGCTATTCTTCATCTTCCTATATAATTGATTGTGTAAGACTATCTCATTCAAAATTCATCAACAAGTGTCCACTGTGCTACACGACCTGCCCCATCTCCATCGTCACAACGACAGTCATCATTTCTTTCCTCTGGATGGTATACTTCATCTTCCATCCAACCTGAGTTTACCTAGGAATCACTGCATTTCACCCTTGGTTTCTTGCTTTTTCTCATTCTTTTCAGGCTCTCTTCAACTTGGAATACTGCTACTATTCCATCTCCACACAATTTATTCATTACTGAGGGCTAAAATGCTGTTTCTTGCACTTCTCTCCCAGTTTCCTCGTTCTGCAGAACTAATTTACTGATTCCTCTCTCATCAGGGACAGTTCCTTTCCAAAATCCTACAACGTGGGTCCATGAAATCAGCTAGAGAAAAAGAGGGACAGGATGGAGGCTAGGATTATCATGGGCACTGACATACTGGCCTCTGGGGGTAGGAAGACTAATACTCCCTAGGAAGGAAGGAAAAGAACCTTGGAGAGGACTGTTTTATCTCAGTATTTCCCAGAAGCTCCAACAGTGGAGACTTCCCTGGGACCTTCACCCCATCTGCTCCTAATGAGCTTCCTGCCTGTGGGGCTCCACTCAGAACGTTACATCCGGTGATGCATAGGACACCATTTGCAGAAATGTGTGCATGCGTCCTGGCGTGTGCGTGCTTCCTGGCGTGTGCGTGCTTCCTGGCGTGTGCGTGCTTCCTGGCATGTAAGTGCATGTGCACATGTGGCATTTACTGAGCATGCATGCATTGATGTGAGAATGTATTTTCTTCCTTTCCACGATGAACTGCCACAGAATGGTTAAAGTTTTTCAGGGCTGAAAAGGTTGTTTTAGCTTGAATATGCACAAATATGTTTTTATTGCAGCAACTATTTAAAATAGCTCTGAAAGCCATTATTTTCCCCATTCCTTCTTCCCCCCAAAATTTGACTCTTTATCCAATTTTCCATTCTGTGTCTTTTAATTGGGGCATTTAGCCTGTTTACATTTAAGGTTATTATTGTTATGTGTGATTTGATCCTGTCATTATTATGTTAGCTGGTTATTTTGCACATTAGTTGATACAGTTTCTTCATAGCAACCTTGGTCTTTACCATTTGGTATGTTTTGGCAGTGGCTGGTGCCGGTTGTTCCTTCCGTATTTAGTCCTTCCTTCAGGAGCTCCTGTAAGGCAGGCCTATGTTGACAAAATCCCTCAGCCTTTGCTTGTCCATAAAGGATTTTATTTCTCCTTTGCATATGAAGCTTAGCTTTGCTGGATATGAAATTCTGGGTTGAAAATCCTTTTCTCTAAAAATGTTGAATATTGGCCTCCACTCTCTTTTTGATTGTAGGGTTTCTGCAGAAAGATCCACTGTTAGTCTGATGGGCTTCTCTTTATGGGTAACCCGAGCTTTCTCTCTGGCTGCCCTTAACATCTTTCCTTCATTTCAACCTTTGTGAATGACTATTATGTATCTTGGGGTTGCTTTTCTCGAGGAGTATCTTTGTGGTGTTCCTTATATTTCCTGAATGTGAATGTTGACCTGTTTTGCTAGGTTGGGGGAGTTCTCCTGGATAATATCCTGAAGAGTGTTTTCCAGCTTGGTTCCATTCTTCCTATAACTTTCAGATATACCAGTCAAACATAGGTTTGCTCTTTTTACATAGTCCTGTCTCACGTGCAGAAATACACATACACTCAAAATAAAGGGATGGAGGACTATTTAGCAAGCAAATGGAAAGAAAAGAAAGGAGGGCTTTCAATCCTAGTCTCTGATAAAACAGACTTTAACCAACAAAGATCAAAGAAGACAAAGAAGGGCATTACATAATGGTAAAGGGATCAATGCAACAAGAATAGCTAACTGTCTTAAATATATATGCGCCCAACATAGGAGCATCTAGATTCATAAAGCAAGTTCTTACACCTACAAAGAGACCTAGACTCCCACACAATAATAGTGGGAGATTTTAACATCCCACTGTCAATATTAGACAGATCAATGAGACAGAAAACAAGGATATCAGGACTTGAACTCAACTCTGGATGAAGTGGACATAATAGACCTCTACAGAACTTTCCACCCTAAATCAACAAAATATACATTCTTCTCAGCACCACATCACACTTATTCTAAAATGGACCATATAATTGGAAGTAAAAAACTCCTCAGAAAATACAAAAGAATGTAAATCATAACAAACAGCCTGTCAGACACACGTGTGATCAAATTAGACTCAAGATTAAGAAACTTACTCAAAACTGCACAACTACGTGGAAACTGAACAACCTGCTCCTGATTGACTACTGGGTAAATAATGAAATGAAGTCAGAAATAAAGAAGTTCTTTGAAATCACTGAGAACAAACACACAACATATTAGATCTCTGGGACCCAGCCAAAGCAGTGTTTAGGTGGAAATTTATAACACTAAATGCCCACAGGAGAAAATGGGAGAAGATCTAAAACCGACACACTAACATCACAGTTGAAAGAACTGGAAAAACAAGAGCAAACAAATTGCAAAGCTAGCAGTAAACAAGAAACAACTAAGATTGTAGCAGAGCAGAAGGAAAGAGATACAGAAAAACCCTTCAAAAAATCAGTGAATCCAGGAGCTGGTTTTCTGAAGATTAATAAAATAGGTGGACCACTAGCAAGACTACTAAAGAAGAAATTCAGAAGAATAAAATAGACACAACAAAAAATTATACATGGCGTATCACCACTGATCCCACAGAAACACAGGTACCATCAGAGAATACTATAAACATCTCTATGGAAATAAACAAGGAAATCTAGAAGAAATGGATAAATTCCTGGACACATACATCTTCCCAGGACTAAACCAGGAAGAAGTCAAATCTCTGAATAGACCAATAACAAGTTCTGAATTTGATGCTGTAATTAATAGCCTATCAACTAAAAAAAGCACAGGACCAGAAGGATTCACAGCTGAATTCCACCAGAGGTACAAAGAATAGCTGGTACCATTCCTTTTGAAACTATTCACAACAACAGAAAAAGAGGGAACCCTCCCTAACTCATTTTATGAGGCTGGCATCATCCTGATACCACAACCTGGCAGAGACACAACAGAAAAATAAAATTTCAGACAAATATCCCTGATGAACATTGGTGTGAAATTTTTCAATAAAATACTGGCAAAGAGAATCCAGCAGCACATCAAAAAGTTTATATACCACGATTGAGTCGACTTCATCAATGGGATGGAAGTCTGAATCAATATATGAAAATCAATAAATGCTGTCCATCACATAAACAGAACCAATGACAAAACCACACATGATTATCTCAATGCAGAAAAGGCCTTTGAAAAAATTCAATACTCCTTCAAGCTAAAAATCCTCAATAAACTAGGTATTAATGGAACGTATCTCTAATAAGAGCTATTTATGACAAAGCCATAGTCAATATCATACTCAGTGGGCAAAAGCTGGAAGCATTCCCTTTGAAAACTGGCACAAGACAAGGATGCCCTCTGTCACCACTCCTATTCAACATAGTATTGGAAGTTCTGGCCAGGGCAATCAGGCAAGAGAAAGAAATAGAGTATATTGAAGTAGGAAGAGAGGAAGTCAAATTGTCTCTGTTTGCAGATGACATGAATGTATATTTAGTAAGCTCCATTGTCTCAGCCCCAAAATTCCCTTAAGCTGATAAGCAACTTTAGCAAAGTCTCAGGATTCAAAATCAAGCTAGAAAAATCACATGCATTCCTATACCCCAGTAATAGACAAACAGAGAGCCATATCATGAGTGAACTTCCATTCACAATTGCTACAAAGAGAATAAAATGCCTAGGAATACAACTTAAAAGGGATGTGAAGGACCTCTCCAAGGAGAGCTACAAACCACTGTTCAAGGAAATAAGAGAGGACACAAACAAATGGAAGAACATTCCATACTCATGGATTTGAAGAATCAATATTGTGAAAATGGCAATAATGCCCCAAGTAATTTATAGAATCAATGCTATCCCCATCAAGCTACCATGACTTTCTTCACAGAATTAGAAAAAACTACCTTAAATTTCATATGGAACCAAAAAAGAGCTTGTGTAGCCAAGACCATCCTAAGCAAAAATAACAAAGTTGGAGGCATCAAGCTACCTGACTTCAAACTATGCTACAAGGCCCCAGTAACCAAAGCATGGTACTGGTACCAAAACTGTGTGTGTGTGTGTGTGTGTGTGTGTGTGTGTGTAAAAAATATATAAATTTTCAATATGTAAATATATAAATACATAAATATATTATATTATATTAATGTGTAAATATATATTCATATATAAAAATATATAAATATATAAATTTGTAGATATATAAATTCTGACATTTAGGTTTCCTTCTTCTTAGGAATTCCACCAAAATTACACGAGTAACACTATACTAAATTTTTACCTACTATCATTAAAAAATAATGACTTACTCAAAGCTCTGACACTCATTAGAGCAGGTTGATATGGTAGAAAATTCTAGCCCTATGCAACTGGAGTGATCTTGATGCTAAGACAATATGACCCAAAACCTTGTCCTTTCCTTTTGGCTATATGAATATTTTCTAACTTTTGTGAACAAAATATGTCTCATTTTCCTCATGATGGTGTTTCAAAATGAATTGATGGGTGTTTTTCAGTTATTAGTGGATAGGAGCTCTCTTAGCTCAGCCCTTCAAAAACTTGTGTTTGATGTTGTAATTTTGTAAATTATCTCAATGTATGCCTATATGCTTACACACATAATCCCCTACCTAAAAGATCAACCTTAGCTTAGAATTTCTTCCTTTTTATTTTTTTCCTCTATTTTTTTTTTTTTTTTTTTTTTTTTGAGACAGGGTCTTGTTCTGTTGCTCAGGTTGGGGTGTAGGAGTACAATCATAGCTCACTGCAGCTTTTGAGCTCCTGGGCTCAGGCGATCTTCCCACCTCACACTTCAGCCTCCCCTGAGAGCACAGGCATGTACCACCACACCCAGTTGATTTAAAATCTATTTTTTTGTACAGATGCAGTTCCTATGTTATTCAGGCTGGTCTCGAACTTCTGGCCTCTAGTAGTCCTCCTGCTTCAACCTCCTCAGAGTACAGGCATGAACCATCATTCCTGGCCCCTTACTATTTCTATATTTTACTTTTAGTATAAGTCTGTGAAAGAAGTATATTTCTCATAGTTTGTTGAACTGCGCAGATGATGATGTTGAAGGATCTGCACGATGGTTATGATGGTTGCTGTCATTGCACTACAGTGCTTTTTAAAAAACTGAAAATATTCATTTCTCACTAGAATAGTCATACAGGCATTTATTTGTTGCTTTAGAATTTGGAAACTTCTTTTTATATTCATAGTTGTATTTCATTCTGCCAGCAGATTAGGCAGATTCATCCTCTCCCACTTTCCAGTGGTAGAAACAGGTGTCCTGAGGCAGTGAAGTAGTTGTTGGAAAATCACTGTGGTTTGCTTTCCAGGGATTTTCTTGTCCTCTGAGTGCGAAAGTATCATAATACATGGCACATTCCCACAGGAAGTTTAGGGTGTGAAAAGTCAATGTATTAATATACATATGGGATCCACTTCCACTCAAAGCAAAACACATTGAGTCAAGTATCAGAGCTCAGTGGGTGTACATGATGGCATTTAATTTTCCTAAATTACTTCATATAATTAATATACACTAAGCCTTTGTTATGATGCTACACATCATTTTTGGAGTCACAAGCTTTCAACCTTCATCTAACTAAAAGATGGATATCTTCATTTTATATTAGGTGGTCTGGAAGCCATAGTAGTGTTAAAGAGCACATAGGGAATGTTTTAGTCCATTCGGATTGCTGTAAGGAAATACAATAGACTGTGTGGCTTATAAATAACAGACATTTATTGCTGAGTTCTGGAGGCTGGGAATTCAAGATCAAGGTGTGGCAGATTCAGTGTCTGGTGAGGACACACATCTTTGTTTGTTGATAGTGCCTTTTCCTTGTATCCTCATGTGGTGGAAGGGATAAGGGAGTTCTCTGAGTTCCCTTTTGTAAGGGCACCAGTCCCATTCATAAGGCTCCAACCTCATGACTTCATCACCTCCCAAGGGCCTCACCTCCTGATACTATCATCTTGGGGGTCATGATTTCAACATAGGAATTTGGAGTGACACAACCATTCAGATCATAGCAGAGAGAGTGAGATGAGACTTGCCGAACTCCATAAAGCCATATGAATATTTTCAGTTCCAGTCCTATTTCCATTTTCAAATGTTGAGTTATGAACTTGATTGATGCCTCCTGGTATTTTTCAAAATGTTCTAGAGCTCTCATGATCAATATTAAACCTTTCCCATTCAAAGGACATGATTATTTTATGTGAGTAATGTGTTGCTATTTGACAAAGGAGTACAACTATAAATAAATCTTGACTATCTTGATGTAGGAAATAAATACACCTGTCAAGATATACTATAATGCTTTTGTAGTCAAAACAATGATGGGGCTAGCATTGTGACTCATGCTTGTAATCCCAGCACTTTGGGAGGCCGAGGGAGGTGGATGACTTGAGGTCAGGAGTTCGAGACTAGCCTGTCCTACATGGTTAAACCGCATCTCTACTAAAAATACAAAAATCAGCCAGGCATGATGGTGCATGCCTGTAATCCCTGATACTCTGGAGGCTGAGGAAAGAGAATCACTTCACTCCAGGATGCAGGGGTTACAGTGAGCCAAGACGGTGTCACTGCACTCTAGCTAGGCACCAGAGTGAGACTCGATCTCAAAAACAAACAAAGAAAAAATGGTGGATAGAATAGGATATTATTTAAATGAAAACTGTAAGGGGAGTTGTATGCTCTCAAATGTCATTATGCACAGTCTAATATGTCCCTTTCACTCTGCCACTCTACCTGCTAATTTGCTTCCTTAATTCAGACTTACCTATTAGGTTATTAGTTATAATATAGGTTGACAATTATGCAGCTTTTCTTCTTTACCAAGACCTGTTCCAAGTGCTTTTTATATTAACTCATTGGTGTCAACCACTCTACCCCATAGTAACCATTAGTATTAGTTTCCTATCTGTGCTGTGGTAACAAGTTACTACAGACCTAGTGGCTTCATACAGTTCTACCACTCAGAAGTCCAAAATGAGACTTAGGAGGCTAAAATCAAGGTATCATCAGGACTTCATTATTTTTGGAAGCTCTGCGAGAGGATACATCTCCCTACCTTTTCAAGATTCTAGAAACTTCCTACTTTCGTTGGCTCATAGGCTCCTTTCTCCACCTTCAATGCCAGTAGACTGAGTCCTTGTTCTGTCATCTTTTTGTTTGTCCCTCTTTTTCCCTTTTCTATGGGCACAGTGGATAACCTGGAATGATCTCCCAATTTCAAGGTCTGCTGACTGGGAATCTTAATTCCACCTGCCTCTTTCATTCAAATCCCTTTTCCATGTAAGACCACACAACCGCGCATATTAACACATGGGCATCTCAGGGGGACCATTATTATGCAGACCACACAGTTGTTATCTTCATTTTATAGCCAAGAAAGACAAACAGAGTTAAATCACTTACTCAGATTGTTGGTCTGCTAAATGGTAGAGCTAGTTAAAATTAGGAGCATACGCAGGGAAGCTAGGCAGTGTTGTGATCAAGGCCCTTGGCCCCCTAAAGTTTCAATGAAAAATCATGGAGATAATCAGTGACTATTACTGTCCACTCAACCGGGTTGCACAGAGGGAGAGAGAGACCAGGAGCCTGGCTGGCTGATGATAATGTCTTACCCTATTGCTAGCAGTGTTGGTTCCTGGGTTCTCTGCACTGTGGCTTTCAAAAGAACAGAGCAGCTTTGGTGACCCCACTTGTTGTGCCATAACTGTAGAGGCCAAGGCTTTTTATCCCCTAAAGTTTTACTGAAAAATTACTGACTAGGCAGACCAATTTACAGGTGAAATGACATACAAACATGCTTAATGCAGATACAAAGGAGCCTTCAGAATGAAGACGCAACCTCCCTGTGAGATCCTGAAGCTTATATACCAACCTGAGTTTACAGAAAGAGTGGGGGCTTGGATCCCAGTAATACAGATGATGGGAGGGGGAGAAGAGGAATTCTGTCGAGGAGATTACTAGAACGGAGATTAACTTGTAAATAACTCTTTTTGAAAATTAAATAATCCTTGAGGACAACCTTGGAAAACTGTCTGTTGAGGTGTGGTGTCATCTTGGTTTTTTTCTGCAGTCGATAAGGATATAACAGGAAGGGGTTAAAAACAATTATTATCCTTGTGGGAGTCTGTGTCTTAGGCAAATAAAGAAACTTCAGCTACTTTGGGAGAGGTAGTGGGAGAGGGGGAGGTTGGACTTCTTCAACTCAGCCTGTCAAAATGCCATATTTTGGGGTATTGTTTTCTGAGCCTCAGCAGGACTCATACAGTATTGTGGGATTTGGGGCTGAGCCATGGTGGGACAGATTTTCCCCTGAGATCCTTATGCATCCAAATCAGTAGGTGCCTGTTCACGTTCAACATGAAAAAACTGACACAAAGCAATGAGTAGGAAATTGGGGGGTAAATGTAATGAAACAAACGTGTGTTAAACAACATTTCTCCATAATATTAAACTAATGTGAAGAATTTAGAGTCAGGAATTTTTCTGGAAAGTGTAGGCTCCAACTTCCTCAGAGTATGATTTGTAGGATGCTCTTCCCCATTCACTACTCCACCCAACATTTCTGACAGTTATCAGAAGAAAGAGACCTGGTATAATTAATCAAACTCAAGACATTTAGGTCATTGTTTGCTTGAGATTCATCAGGAGGTCTTCTAACCATGCTGCAAACACTTTAACTCATCAGGGCTTCACAGATGAATTTACTGATTCCACAAACTTGTAAATTGTATTTCCAGAGCCAATGTGAACTCTCTCAGTTATGGTTTTTGTCTTGAAGACTGTGACTTTCATTTAAAATGTTGTTTCAATGATGCATTTTCTGAACTCAATGAAATTATGAAGGGACAGATTTTAAAGTCCATAACGATTTTGTTTTATTAAAGCTGCCAAATATTTTTAATATGGTGTGAAGAGGCACAAGAAAATGTAAACCCTAGTTACCACTGAGACGTCCCATTGTTTAGTCATTTCAGCACCACTGCATAGACTTCCGTAATATGAGAAAGAGACTTAATATCCTAGTCATGAGGAGCACAGGGTTTAGGGAAAAATACATACACAGATATATCTATATGTTGATATACACACACACATATACATGCACACACACTCACACATACACAATCAGTGACTTCTTATGATGGTTCAACTAATGATTTTCAACCTTATGATGGTGTGAAGGCAATACACATTGTAGATGTCCACAAAATATTTAAAAAGCTTTATTCTGAGCCAAATACCAGTGACCTAGGCCTGTGACACAGCCCCAAGAGATCCGGAGAACATGTGCCTAAGGGGGTTGAGCATGATTTTATACATTTTGTAGGGGAGAGAAGTTACAGGCAGATATTCATCAATTCAAGGTATACATTTGTTTCTTCCAGGAAGGTGGCACAACTTGAAGCAGAGGATTCCCGGTTATAGACAGATTCAGAGGTTTTCAAATTGGCTATTGGTTGAAGGAGTTAAGTTACCTAAAGACCTGGAATCAATAGAAAGGAGTGTCTGGGTTAAGAAAAGGTGTTGTGGAGACCAAGGTCTTATGCAGATAAAGTCTCATAGTTGGCCATCCTTAGAAGCAATAGATGACAAAAGTTTCCCATTCAGACCCTTGAAAGATGCTAGATGCTCATCTAATCACATCAAGATGAGCAAAAGACCAGTCAAGGGAAGTAAACCTGAAAAACTTGTTCACACCACTTTATCCCTCCTTGGATTAGATAGTGTTTGCCTCATGGTTAGAAGATCTCCTGATGAATCTTGAGCAAACAATGCCCTAAATGTCTTGAGTTTGATTAATTATCCCAGGTCTCTTTCTTCTGACAATTCAGGTAAAGAGTAGAATGCAGCTCTTCCTTATAAAAGGCAGCTTTGTGAGGCCATTTCAAAATATATGAAAGAAGTATATTTTGGGGTAAAATGCTTTGATTTCTTTTAGGGCCTGGTATCTATCATGTGATGTTACACCAGAGAGGTTGAAATTTGGTATCTTTTTGTTATCAAGTGTCTGTTTGGTTGGTCTTATGATTTCTGTTTTAATGTTAATTCTGGTCAGTTGTGCCCGAGTTCCAAAGAGAGAAGTGTATAGTGAGGCATGTCCAATCCCCATATCCCCTCATCGCCAGAAGAAGTTTTTCAGGATTAGTTTGGAATGCCCTTGGCAGAGAGGGTTTATATTCAGTTAACTGGGGACTTAGAATTTTAATTTTGGTTTACAGAATTCACTAGAGACTCTACATCCAGTACCCATATAATCATTCTAATTTGCACTTTTGGTACAGGATTCAATAAATTACATGAGATGCTCAACACTTTATTATAAAATAGACTTTCTGTTAGATGCTTTTACCCAACTGTAGGCTAAAGTAAGTGTACTGCACATATTTGAAATAGACTAGGCTATGTTGCATGATATATTTGGTCTATGTGATAAATTTTTGTCTTATGATATTTTGAACATATCATGGGTTTTTCAGATGTAATCGCCATTGCAGTTCCAGGAACATCTGTATGTATTTTATGTGTGTGTGTGTATGTCTGTGTGTGTTTGTGTGTGTGTATGTGTGTTCTTCAACTCCTTGGACAGATCTCAACCTTTCAGAGGCTTCGTTTTCTTCTTTGTAAAATGGGAACAGTGGTATTTCTCTTATGGAATGTCATTGTGGAGTAATTTAGAAAAGCGTAGCATTCAACCGGAAACCTTCATAGCATTTATTGCCTGGAAAATGATGTTGATTTCTAGGGGAGATAAGTACTTTCTTATTTATCACATTTCATAAAAGGAAGGAACCTACTTTTCTTGAATTCTAAAACACATATGTGCATTGGGAATGGGAATGAGAATACACTTAGCAAAATGATCCCTCTGAAGACAATGGCAATGTGTTTGCCAAGGGGATTAATTAGACGTATTTTGCAATACTGTTTATAGAATGGAAAACAAGAAATTGAGAGGAGGTAGTTGGAAGTGTGCACTTCTCTGCAGATCAGCCAACTGGCCTCAGTACTTTAGGTAAGGGATTTTAATTTGTCCTTTGGTTTACAGGACAACGCAGACTTACTGCTGTTTATATTCATCAAACACACATACCTGAGTAGCAGATCTCTACTCTCCCTTTAAATAAGGTAATTCTATGGAACATTTTTGAAAGCCTAGAAAAATGTAATACAGAGGTGATGTGAAAGAAAATTACATCTATTGTCCTGTTATCCCTTGACTTTCTCTGGATATAAATGTTTTCCACATTTTTGCAACCTTTCTCTGCCTAAGCTTTCATTTTGGGGAAAACATAACAGTGTATGATTTTCTGTGTGTTTAATTCTAAAATTGCAAAGTTAATCCCACACCATTGTGGAGATAAACTTTTGAGTTTCTGTTTGAAAATTTGGGGATATGGAAATTGTCAAATACTGCTGATATATATGTTTAAGAGACCCAGGGGCATGAAAACATCTGGATTTTTAAATATATTGTCTGGTAATCATATAATACATCGTCCTACATTGAGAGGTAACTGTTTATTAATCATAGTTTCTCTTCTATATTTTATTATTATACTTTAGGTTCTGGGTTACATGTGCAGAACGTGCACTTTGTAATAAGTATACATGTGCCCTGGTGGTTTGCTGCACCCATCAGTCCATTACCTACATTAAGTATTTCTCCTAATGTTATCCCTCCCTTAGGCCCTACCCATTGACAGGCCCCAGTATGTGATGTTCCCCTCCCTGTCTCCATGTATTCTCATTGTTCAGCTCCCACTAATGAGTAAGAACATGTGTTGTTTGGTTTTCTGTTCTTGTGATAGTTTGCTGAGAATGATGGTTTCCAGCTTCATCCATGTCCTTGCAAAGGACATAAACTCATCCTTTTTTATGTATTCCATGGTGTATATGTGCCATATTTTCTTAATTCAGTCTATCATTGATGGACATTTGGGTTGTTTCCAAGTATTTGCTATTGTGAATAGTGCCTCAATAAACATACGTATGCATGTGTCTTTATTGTAGAATGATTTATAATCTTTGGATATATGCCCAGTAATGGGATTTCTGGGTCAAATGGTATTTCCAGTTCTAGATACTTGAGGAATCACCACACCCTCTTCCGCAATGGTTGAACTAATTTATACTTCCACCAACAGTGTAAAAGTGTTCTTATTTTTCCGTAATGTCTCCGGCATCTATTGTTTCCTGACTTTTTAATGACTGCCATTCTAACTGGCGTGAGATGGTATCTTATTTTGGTTTTGATTTGCATTTCTCTAATGACCAGTGATGATGACTATTATTTCATATGTCTGTTGGCTACATAAATGTCATCCTTTGATAACTCTCTGTTCATATACTTTGACCATTTTTTTGATGGGGTTTCTTTTATTCTTATCAATTTGTTTAAGTGCTTTGTAGATTCTGGATATTAGCCCTTTGTCAGATGGATAGATTTCAAAAATTCTCTCCCATTCTCTAGGTTGGCTGTTCACTTTGATGATAGTTTCTTTTGCTGTGCAGAAGCTCTTTAGTTTATTTACATCCCATTTGTCAATTTGACTTTTGTTGCCATTGCTTGTGGGGTTTTGGACATGAAGTCTTTGCCCATGCCTATGTCCTGAATGGTATTGCCCAGGTTTTCTTTCAGGAATTTTATGGTCCTAGGTCTTACATTTAAATCTTTGATCCATTTTGATTTGATTTTTGTAAAAGATGTAAGAAAGGGGTCCAGTTTCAGTTTTCTGCATAGCTGGCCAGTTTTCCCAACACCATTTATTAAATAGGGAGTCTTTTCCCCACCACTTGTGTGTGACAGCTTTGTCAAAGATCAGATGGTTGTACCTGAGGCCTCCATTCTTTTCCATTGGTCTATATATCTGTTTTGGTACCCATACCATGCTGATTTGTTTACTGTAGCCTTGTAGTATAGTTTGAAGTCAGTTAGCATGATGCCTCTATCTTTGTTCTTCTTGCTCAGGATTGTCTGGACAATCTGGCCCCTTTTTTGGTTCCATATGAAGTTTAAAGTACCTTTTTCCAAGTCTGTGAAAAAGACAGTGGTAGCTTGATGGGGATAGCATTTAAGAAATTACTTTGGGCAGTTTGACCATTTTCAATATATTGATTCTTCCTATCCTTTAGCATGGAATGCTTTTCCATTTGTTTCTGTCCTCTCTTATTTCCTTGAACAGTGGTTTATAGTTATCTTTGAAGAGGTCCTTCACATCCCTTGGAAGTTGTATTCCTAGGTATTTTATTCTCTTTTTCACAATTGTGAATGGGAGTTCACTCATGATTTGGCTCTCTGTTTTTCTGTTATCGGTGTATAGGAATAGTTGTGATTTTTGCACAGGATTTTGTATCCTGAGACTTTGCTGAAGTTGCTTATTAGCTTAGGGAGGTTTTGAGCTGAGACGATGTGGTTTTCTAAATAAACAATCATGTCTGTGCAAACAGAGACAATCTGACTCCCTCTTTTCAAAGTTGAATACTCTTTATTTCTTTCTCTTGCCTGATTGCCCTGGCCAGAATTTCCAATACTATGTTGAACAGAAGTGGTGAGAGAGGGCATCCTTCTCTTGTGACGGTTTTCAAAGGGAATGCTTCCAGCTTTTGCCCTTCAGTATGATATTGGCTGCAGGTTTTTCATAAGTAGCTTTAATTATTTAGAGATATGTTTCATCTTTACTTAGTTTATTGAGAGTTTTTAGCATGAAGTATGTTGACTTTTTTGAAGCCTTTTTCTGCATCTATTGAGATAATCTCATGGTTTTTGTCATTGGCTCTGTTTATGTGATGGATTATGTTATTGATTTCCATATGTTGAATTAGCCTTGCATCCCAGGGATGAAACCATCTCAATCGTATTGGATAAGCTTTTTGATGTGCTGCTGGATTCTGTTTACCAGTATTTTATTGAGGAGTTTCACATTGATGTTCATCAGGGATATTGGTCTGAAAGTTTATTTGTCTGAAGTGTCTGTGCCAGGTTTTGGTATCAAGATGATGCTGGCCTCATAAAATGAGTTAGGGAGGATTCCTTCTTTTTCTGCTGTTTGGAATAGTTTCCAAAGGAATGGCACCAGCTTCTCTTTGTACCTCTGGTAGAACTGGGCTGTGAATATGCCTGGTCCTTTTTTATTTGTTGGTAGGCTATTTATTACTGCCTCAGTTTCAGAACTTGTTATTGGTCTATTCAGGGATTCAACTTCTTCCTGGCTTAGACTTTGGAGGGTATATGTGTCCAGGAATTTATTCATTTCTTATAGAATTACTAGTTTATTTGCATAGAGGTGCTTATAATATTCTCTGATGGTAGTTTGTATTTCTGTGGGATTACTGGTGATATCCCCTATGTCATATTTTATTGAGTCTGTTTGATTCTTCTCTCTTTTCTTCTTTATTAATCTGGCTATTGGTCTATCTATTTTGTTGATCTTTTCAAAAAAACCAGCTACTGGATTCATTAATCTTTTGAAGGATTTTTCATGTCTCGATCTCCTTCAGTTCTGCTCTCATAGCAGTTATTTCATGTCTTCTGCTAGCTTTGGAATTTGTTTGCTCTTGCTTCTCTAGTTGTTTTAATTTTGATGATAGGGTGTCAGTTTTATATCTTTTCTGCTTTCTCTTCTGGACATTAAGTGCTATAAATTTCCCTGTGAACACTGCTTTAAATGTACCCCAAACATTCTGGTACGTTATGTCTTGTTTCTCATTGGTTTCCAAGAACATCTTTATTTCTGCCTTCATTTCTCGAGAGGGGGGCCGAAGCCAGGGAGCTAAGTGGTCTGGATCGGTGGGTCCCAACCTGATAGAGCCCAGGAAACTAAGATTCACTAGCTTGAAATTCTTGCTGCCAGAACAGCAGCAATCTGAGATCCACCTGGGACAGTGGAGCTTAGTTGGGGAGAGGAGTCCACCATTGCTTGAGTAGGTGGTTTTATGGCCACAGTATAAACAAAGCTGCCAGGAAGTTCAAACTTGGTGGAACCCACTGCAACTCAGCAAGTTGGCTGTGCCCAGACTTCCAGATTTCTCTGCTCTGGACAGGGCATCTCTGTAAAAAGGCAGTAGCCCCAGTCAGGGGCTTATAGCCAACTTAAATGTCCCTGTCTGAAGGCTCTGAAGACAGCAGCCAACCTCCCAGCATGGTGTTCAAGCTGTGCTAGGGTCAGTCTGCTTCCTCAAGTGGGTATACTGACTGAAAGACACCTCCCAGTTGGGGCCAAGAGACACCTCATACAGGAGAGCTCTGCAGCGCATCTGGCAGGTTCCCTGCTGGGTCAAAGCTTCCAGAGGAAAGAACAAGCAGCAATCTTTGCTGCTTTGCAGGCTCTGCTGATGACACCCAGGCAATCAGGGTCAGGAGTGGACCTCCAGCAAACTCTAGCATACTGACAGCAGAGCAGCCTGACTGTTAGAAGGAAAAGAAACAAGCAGAAAGGATTAGCATATCCACTCAAAGACCCCATCCAAAGGTCACCAACGTCAAAGACCAATGGTAGATAAATCCACAAAGATGGGGAAAAACCAGCACAAAAAGGCTGAAAATTCCAAAAACCAGGATGCCTCTCCTCCTCCAGAGGATCACAACTCCTCACCAGCAAGGGAACAAAACTGGATGGATAATGAGTTTGATGAACTGACAGAAGTAGGGTTCAGAAGGCGGGTAATAACAAACAACTCTAAGCTAAAGGAGCATATTCTAGTCCAATGCCAGGAAGCTAAGAACCTTGAAAAAAGGTGAGTCTAATTGTTAACTAGAATAACCAGCTTGAGAAGAACATAAACGACATGATGGAGCTGAAAAACACAGCACGAGAATTTCGTGAAGCATACACAAATATCAATTGCTGAATTGATCAAGCAGAAGAAAGAATATCAGTGATTGAAGATCATCTTAATGAAATAAAGAGAGAAGACAAGATTAGAGAAAAAAGGATAAAAAGGAATGACCAAAGCCTTCCAGAAATATGGGACTTTGTGAAAAGACCAAATCTATGCTTGATTGGTGTACCTGATAATGACAGGGAGAATAGAACCAAGCTGGAAAACACCCTTCAAATATTATCCAGTAGAACTTCCCCAATCTAGCAAGATAGTCCAAGATTCCTATTCAGGAAATACAGAGAACACCACAAAGATACTCCTTGAGAAGAGCAACCCCAAGACACATTGTCATCAGATTCACCAAGGTTGAAATGAAGGAAAAAATGTTAAGGGCAGCCAGAGAGAAAGGTCGGGTTACTTATAAAGGGAAGCCCATCAGACTAACAGCAGATCTCTCTGCAGAAACCCTACAAGCCAGAAGAGAGTGGGGGGGTAAATATTCAACATTCTTAAAGGAAAGAATTTTCAACCCAGAATTTCATATCCAGCCAAATTAATCTTCTTAAGCAAAGGAGAAATAAAATCCTTTACAGACAAGCATAGGCTGAGGGATTTTGTGACTACCAGACCTGCCTTACAAGAGTGCCTGAAGGAAGGACAAATAAGGAAAGCAGCAACCAGTACCAGCCACTGCAAAAACATGCCAAATTCTAAAGACCATTGACACTATAAAGAAACTGCATCAATTAATGGGCATAATAACCAGCTAAAATCATAATGATAGGATCAAATTCACACATAACAATATTAACCTTAAATGTAAATGGGCTAAATGTCCTAATTAAAAGACACAGACTGGCAAATTGGATAAAGAGTCAGGACCCATCAGTGTGCTATATTCAGGAAACCCATCTCACGTGCAAAGACACACATAGGCTCAAAATAAAGGGATGGAGGAAGATCTACCAAGCAAATGGAAAACAAAAAAAGGCAGGGGTTGCTATCCTAGTCTCTGATAAAACAGACTTTAAACCAACAAAGATCAAAAGAGACAAAGAAGGGCATTACATAATGGTAAAGGGATCTATGCAGCAAGAAGCACTGACTATCCTACATAGATATGCATCCAATACAGGAGCATCCAGATTCATAAAGTAAGTTCTTAGAGACCGACAAAGAGACTTGCACTCCCACACAATAATAGTGGGAGACTTTAACAGCCCAGTGTCAATATTAGACAGATCAATGAGACAGAAAATTAACAAGGATATTCAGGACTTAACTCAGCTCTGGACCAAGTGGATCTAATAGACATCTACAGAGCTCTCCACCCCAAATCAACAGAATATACATTCTTCTCAGCACCACATCACACTTATTCTATAATGGACCACAGAACTGCAAGTAAAACACTCCTTAGCAAATGCTCTCCATCCCAAATCAACAGAATATACATTCTTCTCAGCACCACATCACACTTATTCTATAATGGACTACAGAACTGCAAGTAAAACACTCCTCAGCAAATGCAGAAGAACAGAAATTAGAGCAAACAGTCTACCAGACCACTGTGCAATCAAATTAGAACTCAGGATTAAGAAACTCACTCAAAACCACACAAATACCTGGAAACTGAACAACCCGCTCCTGAATGTCTTCTATAATTTTGAAAGCCAGCTTCATATTTCCTGCCCTAGGGGGATGAAGTAAAGTAAGCAGTAGATCTAGTTAGATATATGTGTTATTTTGTTTAGCAAGGGTTAATTTGAATTTTGCCATTTTATAACAACTGATTGTGGCTGGGAACATGCTAATGGTTATGGTGACTGTATTCACTCTTTCTTTGCTTTGAATTTTTTTTTTTTTTTTTTTTTTTTTGGGAGATGGAGTTTTGCTCTTGCTGCCCAGGCTGGAGTGCAATGGCACAATCTTGGCTTACTGCAACCACTGCCTCCGGGTTCAAGCAATTCTTCTGCCTCAGCCTCCCCAGTAGCTGGGATTATAGGCATGTACCACCACGCCTGGCAAATTTTTTGTATTTTTAGTAGAGAGAGGTTTCTCCATGTTGAGGCTGGTCTCGAACTCCTGACCTCAGGTGATCCACCCACCTTGGCCTCCCAAAGTGCTCGGATTACAAGTGTGAGCCACCACGCCCAGATTTTTTTTTTTTTTTTTTATTGTAACAGGGTCTCATTCTGTCACCCAGACTGAAGTGCAGTTGTGCCATCTCAGCTCACTGCAGCTTTGACCTTCTGTGCTCAAGCAATCCTCCCACCTCAGCCTCCTGAGTAGCTGGAACTACAGGTATACAAGTGTGTGCCACCATGCTTGGCTAATTTTTTTATTTTTTTGTAGAGATGGGGTTTTGCCATGTTACTCAGCCTAGTCTGGAAATCCTGGGCTTGAGCAATCTGCCCACCTTAGCCTTCCCAAGTGCTGGAAATACAAGTGTGAGCCACTGTGCTCAGCCTTGATTTGAATTTGAGGGATAGTATAGTTCTGTGTTACTACACCTAGTAGAATATTAGCATATTCAGTGACTTTAATTAGACCTTAGTGTAATCCCCAGTAACAATCTGTTGCCTTGGATGTTCTGTTTTCTTTCTTTTTTTTTTTAAATTATACTTTAAGTTTTAGGGTACATGTGCACTACGTGCAGGTTTGTTACATACGTATACATGTGCCATGCTGGTGTGCTACACCCGTTAACTCGTCACTTAACATTAGCTATATCTCCTAATGCTATCCCTCCCCACTCCCTCCACCCCACAACAGGTCCCAGTGAGTGATGTTCCCCTTCATGTGTCCATGTGTTCTCATTGTTCAATTCCCACCTATGAGTGAGAGGATGTTCTGTTTTCTAAAGGTATATACGAGATTCTTGTATTCTTTTCATATTAGAGACCCCTGGCCAGAGTAGGAGCTGTAGAGGCCACAGTGAGCCCTTCAGGAGAATGAGATACAGCAGAGTCACTGCTTGTGTTCTTGAGATGATTGGATGACAAAGAGGGAAATGATAATGTTAACTGAGGAAAGTCTAGAACTGCAGGTTACCATATGTATCCCATATTTTAACCCTCACCTGTTGTTCCATTGTATTTTTCTATGTAAGTTTTTACTTGCAGTCCTATTTCTTTCTTATTTAAAAATCATGTTAATCATTGGTATTAGTAGCATCTTTGCCAGATAAAAAGGAAAAACTAAAGTGAATGCTTTATGACGATATGTGGGAGGAAAGAATGTAATAGCACTTGAGGAATATTGGAACTGATTATATATTACATGGCAGTGGGTAGTGTTTAATAAAATGATTATATTTCATAGAAAGCATTACATCTTCTTTGAGTGAGAAACATAGAGATAATTTCATGCTACCCTCACCCTTTCTTTTAAACATATATATATTTTTTTTAAATTTAAGTTAGAATTTGAGTAATTGTATTACCATATATATATTTTTTAAATTTAAGTTAGAATTTGAGTAATTGTATTACATGTGGTGCTGTTTTTCTCAGAGGAAAAATCAGCAAATTATTTCAAAGATATGGAGGATATGGTGTTTCTCTATATCCAGGTGGGACTGAACAATGTATTAGCCAAGGAAAACCTTCCCTTTCACCCACTGGAGGCTCACTGAAAATCATGTCACAAAAAGCAGATTAATAGTAGAAAAGCGATACATATTTATTAAGTCATAGATCTGTGTAACACAAGAGCCTTCAGAACGAAGACGCAAAGATAAGATGGAGACCATTTTTTTTTCTTAATTTCAACTTTTATTTTAAATTCAGAGGATACAGCCTTGCTACATGAGAATATTTCATGGTGCTGATGTATAAGGTACTGTTGATCCCAATCAATAGTGGTAAGCATAGTGGCCACTAGCTAGCTTTTCAACCCATACCCTGCTTTCTCCCCAGTCTAGTAGTCCCTGTGCCTATTGTTCCCATCTTTCTTTCCAGATTTACTCAAGCTCCCACTTGTAACTGAGAACATACAGTATTTAATTTCCTGTATCCTGTGTTAATTCATTTAGTATGGTGGCCTCCAGCAGTATTCATGTTTCTGCAAAGGACCTGATTTTGTTCGTTTTCATGGTTGCATAGTATTCCACAGTGCATGTATACCACATTTTCTTTATTCCACCACTGATAAGCATCCAGGTTGACTCATGCCTGTTTTTGCTATTGTGAATATTACTGCAGTGAACATACAACTGCATGTGTCTTTTTTGTAGAAAAATTTATTTTCCTCTAGGTATACACCCAGTAATGGGATTGCTGGGCCAAATGGTAGTTTTGTTCTAAGTCCTTTGAGAAATCTCCAAACTACTCTCCATAGTAGCGTAAATATTTTACGTTCTCACCAGGAGTATATAAGCATTCCTTTTTCTCTGCAACCTCACTAGCTTTTGTTGGGTTTTTTTTGTTTTTGTTTTTGACTTTTTAATAGTAGCCATTCTGACTGGTGTGAGATGGTATCTCATTGTGGTTTTGATTTACATTTCCCTAATGAACAGTAATGTGGAGCATTTTTCATATGTTTATTGATACTTATATGTTGAGAAGTATATGTCCATGTTCTTGGCACACCTTTTAATGTGGTTATTCGGAAACTCAATTTTTATGCCAAGATTCAGGAAACTGCACAGCCAGTAGAAATAAGATTGGACAAAAAGGCCCTGATCTAAAGCTAATGGGCTGAGTGGGGAAACCCAGCCAGGCCTGTCTGCCTAGATTCTTCTTGGCCTTTCTGAACAGCACTTTCTTCCTTCTGGATGTGGGATAGGACCCTCTCTGGAATAGGGGTCTTAGGACCTACAATTCACACTGTTAGGACAGAAGATTTCTTTATGGCCAGTGTTTAAGAAAGTCAGGGGGAAAGTTAAGGTCATCTTTTATGGCTGCTTTGATAGAGAAGCGGTCTGGTTTGTATGACCTGCCTTTAGGAGGAGAGGTTCTAGTTTCTTTGGCCAGCCTCTAGGGAGAATGGAATTGAGAGACAGCAGGTCAGGAAAGGGTCAGAGATAAACCTTCTGCCTCTGAGGCTGTTGAAGTCTTCATTTTGTGGTATCATTCTCTGAACCCCAACAACACACATTGTTTTAACTTCATACAAAACACTTAGATCAGTTGGGTCCAAACATGGGTTTATACACTGTGTGGCAAAAGTATGGTCCTTCCCTCTACTCCAAAGGGAACAAATGAAATTTATTATTTATTTATTTATTTATTTATTTTTATTATACTTTAAGTTTTAGGGTACATGTGCACAACGTGCAGGTTTGGTACATATGCATACATGTGCTATGTTAGTGTACTGCACCCATTTACTCTTCATTTAACATTAGGTATATCTCCTAGTGCTATTCCTATCCCCTCCCCCCACCCCACAACAGGCCCCAGTGTGTGATGTTCCCCTTCCTGTGTCCATGTGTTCTCATTGTTCAGTTCCCACCTGTGAGTGAGAACATGTGGTGTTTGGTTTTTTGTCCTTGAGATAGTTTGCTGAGAATCTAACGGTTTCCAGCTTCATCCATGTCTCTACAAAGGACATGAACTCATCATTTTTTATGGCTGCATAGTATTCAGGGGTGTATATGCGCCACATTTTCTTAATCCAGTCTATCATTGTTGGACATTTGGGTTGGTTCCAAGTCTTTGCTATTGTGAATAGTGCAGCAATAAACACACGTGTTCATGTGTCTTTATAGCAGCATGTTTTATAATCCTCTGGGTTTATACCCAGTAATGGGATGGCTGGGTCAAATGTTATTTCTAGTTCTAGATCCCTGAGGAATCACCACACTGACTTCCACAATGGTTGAACTAGTTTATAGTACCACCAACAGTGCAAAAGTGTTCCTATTTCTGCACATCCTCTCCAGCATCTGTTGTTTCTGACTTTTTAATATTCGCCATTCTAATTGTTGTGAGATGGTATCTCATTGTGGTTTTGATTTGCATTTCTCTGATGGCCAGTGATGATGAGCATTTTTTCACGTTTCTGTTGGTGGCATAAATATCTTCTTTTGAGAAGTGTCTGTTCATATTCTTTGCCTACTTTCTGATGGGGTTGTTTGTTTTCTTCTTGTAAATTTGTTTGAGTTCATTGTAGTATCTGGATATTAGCCCTTTGTTAGATGAGTAGATTGCAAAAATTTTCTCCCATTTTGTAGGTTGCCTGTTCACTCTGATGGTAATTTCTTTGGCTGTGCAGAAGTTCTTTAGTTTAATTAGATCCCATTTGTCAATTTTGGCTATTGTTCCCATTGTTTTCAGTGTTTTAGACATGAAGTCCTTGCTCTTGCCTATGTACTGAATGGTATGGCCTAGGATTTCTTCTAGGGTTTTTATGGTTTTAGGTCTAACATTTAGGTCTTTAATCCATCTTGAATTAATTTTTGTATAAGGTATAAGGAAGGGATCTAATTTCAGCTTTCTACATATGGCTAGCCAGTTTTCCCAGCACCATTTATTAAATAGGGAATCCTTTCCCCTTTTCTTGTGTTTGTCAGGTTTGTCAAAGATCAGATAGTTGTATATATGCGACATTATTTCTGACGGCTCTGTTCTGTTCCATTGGTTTATATCTCTGTTTTGGTACCAGTACCATGCTGTTTTGGTTACTGTAGCCTTGTAGTATAGTTTGAAGTCAGGTAGCATGATGTCTGCAGCTTTGTTCTTTTGGCTTAGGATTGACTAGGCAATGCAGGGTCTTTTTTGGTTCCACATGAACTTTAAAGTAGTTTTTTCCAACTCTGTGAAGAAAGTCATTGATAGCTTGATGGGGATGGCATTGAATCTATAAATTACCCTGGACAGTATGGCCATTTTCACGATATTGATTCTTCCTGCCCATGAGCATGGAATGTTCTTCCATTTGTTTATATCCTCTTTTATTTCATTGAGCAGTGGTTTGTAGTTCTCCTTGAAGAGGTCATTCACATCCCTTGTAAGTTGGATTCCTAGGTATTTTATTCTCTTTGAAGCTATTGTGAATGGGAGTTCATTCATGATTTGGCTCTCTGTTTGTCTGTTATTGGTATAAGAATGCTTTTGATTTTTGCACAGTGATTTTGTATCCTGAGACATTGCTGAAGTTGCCTATGAGTTTAAGGAGATTTTGGGCTGAGGATGATGGCGTTTTCTAGATATACAATCATGTCATCTGCAAACAGGAACAATTTAACTTCCTCTTTTCCTAATCGAATACCCTTTATTTCCTTCTCCTGCCTGATTGCCCTGGCCAGAACTTCCAACACTATGTTGAATAGGAGTGGTGAGAGAGGGCATCTTTGTCTTGTGCCAGTTTTCAAAGGGAATGCTTCCAGTTTTTGCCCATTCAGTATGATATTGGCTGTGGGTTTGTCATAGATAGCTCTTATCATTTTGAGATATGTCCCACCAATACCGAATTTATTGAGAGTTTTTAGCATGAAAGTTGTTGAGTTTTGTCAAAGGCCTTTTCTGCATCTATTGAGATAATCATATGATTTTTGTCATTGGTTCTCTTTATATGCTGTATTAGGTTTTTTGATTTGTGCATGTTGAATCAGCCTTGCATCCCAGGGATGAAGCCCACTTGATCATGGTGGATAAATTTTTGATGTGCTGCTAGATTCAGTTTGCCAGTATTTTATTGAGGATTTTTGCCTAGGTGTTCATCAAGGATGTTGGTCTAAAATTCTCTTTTTTTGTTGTGACTCTGCCAGGCTTTGTTGTCAGGATGATGCTGGCCTCATAAAATGAGTTAGGGAGGATTTCCTCTTTTTCTATTGATTGCATTAGTTTCAGAAGCAATGGTAACAGGTCCTCCTTGTACCTGTGGTAGAATTCGGCTGTGAATCCATCTGGTCCTGGACTTTTTTTGCTTGGTAAGCTATTAATAATTGCCGCAATTGCAGAGCCTGTTATTGGTCTATTCAGAGATTCAACTTCTTTCTGGTTTAGTCTTGGGAGGTTGTATGTGTCTAGGAATTTATCCATTTCTTCTAGATTTTCTAATTTATTTGCGTAGAGTTGTTTATGGTATTCTCTGATGGTAGTTTGTATTTCTGTGGGATCGGTGGTGATATCCCCTTTATCATTTTTCATTGCAACTATTTGATTCTTCTCTCTTTTCTTCTTTATTAGTCTTGCTAACGGTCTGTCAGTTTTGTTGATCTTTTCAAAAAACGAGCTCCTGGATTCATTGATTTTTTGAAGGGTTTTTTGTGTCTCTATTTCCTTCAGTTCTGCTCTGATCTTAGTTATTTCTTGCCTTCTGCCAGCTTTTGAATGTGTTTGCTCTTGCTTTTGTAGTTCTTTTAATTGTGATGTTAGGGTGTCAATTTTAGATTTTTCCTGCTTTCTCTTGTGGGCATTTAGTGCTATAAATTTCCCTCTACACACTGCTTTGAATGTGTCCCAGAGATTCTGGTAGGTAGTGTCTTTGTTCTCATTGGTTTCAAAGAACATCTTTATTTCTGCCTTCATTTCCTTATGTACCCAGTAGCCATTCAGGGGCAGGTTGTTCAGTTTCCATGGAGTTGAGCAGCTTTGAGTGAGTTTCTTAATCCTGAGTTATATTTTGATTGCACTGTGGTCTGAGAGACAGTTTGTTATGATTTCTATTCTTTCACATTTTTTGAGGAGTGCTTTACTTCCAACTATGTGGTCAATTTTGGAATAGGTGTGGTGTGGTGCTGAAAATAATGTATATTCTGTTGATTTGGGTTGGAGAGTTCTGTAGATATCTATTAGGTCCACTTGGTACAGAGGTGTGTTCAGTTCCTGGATATCCTGTTTAGTTTCTGTGTGGCTGATCTGTGTAATGTTGACAGTGGGGTGTTAAACTCTCTCATTATTATTGTGTGGGAGTGTAAGTCTCTGTAGGTCTCTAAGGACTTGCTTTATGAATCTGGGTGCCCCTGTATTGGGTGCATATGTATTTAGGATAGTTAGCTCTTCTTGTTGAATTGACCCCTTTACCATTATGTAATGGCCTTCTTCGTCTCTTTTGATTGTGTTGGTTTAAAGTCTGTTTTATCAGAGACTAGGATTGCAACCCCTGGCTTTTTTTGTTTTCCATTTGCTTGGTAGATCTTCCTCCTTCCCTTTGTTTTGAGCCTATCTGTGTCTGTGCACATGAGCTGGGTTTCCTGAATACAGCACACTGATAGGTCTTGACTGTTTATCTAATTTGCCAGTCTGTGTCTTTTAATTGGAGCATTTGGCCCATTTACATTTAAGATTAGCCTTGTTATGTATGAATTTGATCCTGTCATTATGTTAGCTGGTTATTTTGCTCATTAGTTGATGCAGTTTCTTCGTATCCTTGACGGTCTTTACAATTTGGCATGTTTTTGCAGTGGCTGGTACCAGTTGTTCCTTTCCATGTTTAGTGCTTCCTTCAAAAGCTCTTGTAGGGCAGGCCTGGTGGTGACAAAATCTCTCAGCATTTGCTTGTCTATAAAGGTTTTATTTCCCCTTCACTTGTGAAGCTTAGTTTGGCTGGATATGAAATTCTGAGTTGAAAATTCTTTTCTTTAAGGATGTTGAATATTGGCCCCCACTCTCTTCTGGCTTGTAGGGTTTCTGTCAAGAGATCAGCTGTTAGTCTGATGGGCTTCCCTTTGTGGGTAACCCAACCTTTCTCTCTGGCTGCCCTTAACATTTTTCTTTCATTTCAACCTTGGTGAATCTGAAAATTATGTGTCTTGGAGTTGCTCTTCTTGGGGAGTATCTTTGTGGCGTTCTCTGTATTTCCTGAATTTGAATATTGGCCTGCCTTGCTAGATTGGGGAACTTCTCCTGGATAATATCCTGCAGAGTGTTTTCCCACTTGGTTCCATTCTCCCCGTCACTTTCAAGTACATCAATCAGATGTAGATTTGGTCTTTTCACATAGTTCCATATTTCTTGGAGGCTTTTCTCTTTTCTTTTTATTCTTTTTTCTCTAAACTTCTCTTCTGACTTCATTGCATTCATTTGATCTTCCATCACTGATACCCCTTCTTCCAGTTGATCACATCGGCTACTGAGGCTTATGCATTTGTCATGTAGTTCTTGTACTGTGGTTTTCAGCTCCATCAGCTCCTTTAAGGACTTCTCTGCATTGGTTATTCTTGTATCCATTCGTCTATTTTTTTTTCAAGGTTTTTAACTTCTTTGCCATGGGTTCAAACTTTCTCCTTTAGCTCAGAGTAGTTTGATTGTCTGTAGCCTTCTTCTCTCAATTTGTCAAAGTCATTCTCCATCCAGCTTTGTTCCATTGCTGGTGATGTGCTGCATTCCTTCAGAGGAGGAGAGGCACTCTGATTTTTAGAGTTTCCTGTTTTTCTGTTCGGTTTTTTTCCCCATCTTTGTGGTTTTATCTACCTTCGGTCTTTGATGATGGTGACATACAGATGGGGTTTTGGTGTGGATGTCCTTTCTGTTTGTTAGTTTTCCTTCTAACAATCAGGACCCTCAGTAGCAGGCCTGTTGGAATTTGCTGGAGGTCCACTCCAGACCCTGTTTGCCTGAGTATCAGCAGTGGAGGCTGCACAACAGTGGATATTGGTGAACAGCAAATGTTGCTGCCTGATTGTTCCCCTGGAAGTTTTGTCTCAGAAGAGTACCCAGCTATGTGAGGTGTCAGTCTGCCCCTACTAGGGGTTGCCTCCCAGATAGGCTACTCGGGGGTCAGGGACCTACTTAAGAAGGCAGTCTATCCATTCTCAGATCTCCAGCTGGGTGCTGGGAGAACCACTACTCTCTTCCAAGCTGTCAGACAGGGATATTTAAGTCTGCAGAGTTTTGTGCTGCCTTTTGTTTGGCTATGCCCTTCCCCCAGGGGTGGAGTCTGCAGAGACAGGCAGGCCTTCTTGAAGTGTGGTGGGCCCCACCCAGTTCGAGCTTTTTGGCTGCTTTGTTTACCTACTCAAGCCTGAGAAAGCGTGGGTACCCCTCCCCCAGCCTCACTGCCACCTTGTAGTTTGATCTCAGACTGCTGTGCTAGCAATGAGTGAGGACTTTGTGGGTGTAGGACCCTCCGAGCCAGGCGCAGGATATAATCTTCTGGTGTGCTGTTTGCTAAGACCATTGGAAATGCACAGTATTAGGGTGGGAGTGACCTGATTTTCCAGGTGCGGTCTGTCATCCCTTTCTTTGACTAGGAAAGGGAGTTCCCTGACCCCTTGCACTTCCCAGGTGAGGCGATGCCTCACCCTGCTTTGGCTCATGCTCGGTGTGCTGCACCCACTTTCTGACACTCCCCAGTGAGATGAACCCCGTACCTCAGTTGGAAATGCAGTAATCACCCATGTTCTGCATCGCTTATGCTGGAAGCTGTGGACTGGAGCTGTTCCTATTCGGCCATCTTGGCTCCACCCCCCATGAAGTTTATTTTGGAGAAAGTTAACTCAGAACAGAAGGACCTAGGGATATCAGAGAGTTGAGATGGGGCAAGGGCCTGGGCTCCCTGTCTGTCCTGACAAAGTTAGAACAGAAGGACCCAGAGACATCAGAGAGTGGAGTGAGGGTGAGGGCCTAGGCTCCTTGTTTGTAAGGGAATTGTCTACACTGTGCATACTAATGATCATCAGCTTTCTTGTCCTTCCTTCAAAGTTGAAAGTCACCGTACTCCTTCAAGTCCATCCTGGAGGATCCCTTTCTTCATAAACTGAACTGGCCAAGAAAAGTATTCCATAATTGGTATTTAAAGGCCATTTGGGCCTATTACTTATGTACTGTACAATATGTTCACCTGCTGAGGAGGGAACCCTGGCTATCCACACAGACCTGATTCTTAAGTGAGAAAAGACAGTCTTAAATCCTAGATATTCTTGAGAAGGCTTCAATAAGAAACTCATTTTAAAAATTGAAAAAATAATCATCTGGAGGTAGCACACACACCAACCAAGGAAACAGGGACAAAATTAATCTGTAACCTGTAGGAAATACACTGAAGTAGTGACTCATAAAAAAATGGGAATTCTATTAAAATGTAACATATTACACAAATTAAAGTATCCTATTGGAGAGAGAATGTGAGGAGATCTCCAATGGATAAAACTTCAGTTAGAGAGAGTGATAGCAAAGGGAAAGGAACAAATATGGAGACTCTAGGAATCTGACATTCAAAGAGTATTTTCAGGAAGGATGACAGAGAATACAAATAAGCAAAAGTGACTTACATTCAAATAGTGTTTAAAAAGTAATCCCAGCGTTATTGTGTAACAGTGCTGAAATAAATGTATCTGTACATGTGTCTTCATAGTTGAATGATTTATAATCCTTTTTGTATATACCCAGTAATGGGATTGCTGGATCAAATGGTATGTCTCATTCTAGGTCCTTGAGGAATCACCACGTTGTGTTCCACAACAGTTGAACTAATTTATACTCCCACCAGCAGTGTAAAAGCATTCCCATTTCTCCACATCCTCTCTAGCATCTGTTGTTTCCTGACATTTTAATGATCGCCATTCTAACTGGCATGAGATTGTATCTCATTGTGGTTTTGATTTGCATTTATCTAATACACCATGAAATATATGCAGCCATGAAAAAGGATGAGTTCGTGTCCTTTGCAGGGACATAGATGAAGCTGGAAACCATCATTCTCAGCAAACTAATACAAGAACAGAAAACCAAACACCACATGTTCTTACTCATGAGTAGGAGTTGAACAATGAGAACACATGGACACAGGGAGGGGAACATCACACACCAGGGCCTGTCATGTGGTGGGGAGTAGGGGGAGAGATAGTATTAGGAGAAATACCTAGTGTTGATGACGCGTTGATGGGTGCAGCAAGCCACCATACCATATGTATACATATGTAACAATCCTGCACATTCTGCCCATGTACCCCAGAACTTAAAATGATAATAATAATAATTGCCATCATCATCATCATCATCATCATCCCAGCATTGAGGGATCTACACTTCCAGGCTTAGGAAACAACATCAGGGTTCATCACAGTGAAAGAATTGAAACTCCAAACTCCAAAAGCACATTGTGAGATTTCAGAAGAGCAAATATGTGGGAAAGACCATAAGAGCTTGAAGGCTGTATTAGTCCATTCTTGTACTGACACAAATACCCGAGATTGGATAATTTATAAAGAAAAGAGGTTTAATTGGCTCATGGTTTTTTAAACTGCACAGGAAGCATGATAGCGTCTGTGGTGGCCTCAGGAATGTTTCAATCATGGCAGAAAGTGAAAGCAAAGCAGGTTCATCTTATGTGGCTAGAGCAAGAAGAGGAGAGAGACAGAACATGCTACAAAATTTTATACAACCAGATCTCCTGAGAATTCACTTACTATACAGTACCAAGGGGGATATACAGTATCATTCTAGAGAACTCTGCCCTCCATGATGCCATCACCTCCCGCCAGGCACCATCTCCAACACTGGGGATTAGAATTCAATATGAGATTTGGGTGAGGATACAGATGCAAACCGTCTCAAGAATTTGTAATTTCATAGAATGCTTCATGTTTTCACCAAATGTTAAAAATATAGAAACTTTCATTATTCTAAGAAAAAATAATTTTACCACATAGAACTCTTATCTTGGAGCAGCTCTTTGTGGGCAGGCAGAGTCAAAGCATTTACGCTGATGTATCATTTCAAAAAATTTACCTTTCATGCTTCCCTTCTTGGAAAGATGTGTGATCGTGTGTTCCTTCAAACAGTGGAATAAATGATGAATACAAAGATGGAGAATCTAAGAAACAGTGGCCTTCACAGAAGACAGCTGAAGTAATTAAGACATCAGATTATTGCCTGGAGCAGGCTGGGACATCTGACATCCTAGAGTTAAACTTTGAGGAGAATGAACATAAAAGAAAAGGAAGTAAGCCATTTGACCAGGTAGAAATAGTACTCGAGATGGGCTTTAGTCCAGAAAAATTGAACAATATACACACAGACAAGCATGAAATGAAAACCTGAAGCAGTTATTGTCTCCAGATAAAACAGGAGGTGATTCAATGAAGGAGATTTAATTGGGGTAGAAGGCTTAGTTCAGGAGTGATTAGTTCAGGAGTAATTGCACAGTTACAGTAAAGTTGAAGAGAGAAGGCTGGGTACAGTGGATCATACCTGTAGTCCCAGCACTTTGGGCGGCCAAGACAGGCAGATCTCTTTAGCCCAAGACTTGGAGACCAGCCCGGGCAATATGGCAAAACCCCATCTCTACAGAAAAAAAAATGAAAAAATTAGCCAGTATGGTGGCACTTGCCTGTAGTCCTAGTTATGGCAGAGTCTGAGGTGGGAGGATGTTTTGAACCTGGGAAGTCGGGGTTGCAGTGAGTTGTGATTGTACCATTGCACTGCAGCCTGGGCAACAGAGCAAGACCCTGTCTCTAAAAACAACAACAAACAAACAAACAAACACGGGGCAAATAGAGTGGGGGTTGCCCATAGGTAATTAATAGGTAATATCTAAAAACAATATATCAAGAAAAAATAGCATGAACTATTTCTTAGTAATATCAAGAAGATATTTGAAGGAGAGAAGCTAAGAAATCTGAAAGCATTTGCCTTCTAGCAAGTGTGGTCCTGGGATGTCGTATGCTGTGCAAGAAAGTGCTGTTGTGCAAATAACACCTGTAGTAGTTCGACTTTTAAAAATTCATGCATGCGGGACCATCCTGGCTAACACGGTGAAACCCATCTCTACTAAAAATACAAAAAATTAGCTGGGCATGGTGGCAGGAGTCTGTAGTCCCTGCTACTCAGGAGGCTGAGGCAGGAGAATGGCGTGAACCTGGGAGGTGGAGCTTACAGTAAGCAGAGATCGCGCCACTGCCCTCCAGCCTGGGTGACAGAGGGAGACTCCATCACAAAAAAAAACAAAAAACAAAAAACAAAAAAACAAAGAAAAAAAACCAAAAAAAAAAAAAAAAAAAAAAAAAAAACACCTCACGCATGCCTTTCTTTGTTTCCAAAGAAACAAGTAGTTTTATACTACTTACATATTATGGTAGAATGATTTATAATCTTTTGGCTATATACTCAGTAATGGGATTACTTGGTCAAATGGTATTTCTACTATTCTTTGTTTCCAAAGAAAGGCATGGTATGGAAATGGTTTCCAACAGTTGGAGAAACAAATTTTTTTTCCAAAAGAAAAATGATAAGGCCAAGATTGAATGGTATGTGAATGTGAATATGATAGTTAAAAGCATTATTTCTCAAATGTACCTTCCCATTGGAATCAGCTGGAGAATGTAATAAGTATTAATGCCTGTGCTATGGTCCTCCAGAGATACTGACTTGCTTGGTCTGCAATGCAGACCGGGCAGTGAGATTTTTTTCAGTTCTTCTTAGGGATTGTGAGATACAGCAGAGTTTAGGAAGCATGGATCTAGGTTTGCTCAGATTCTTACTTTCATTTAAAAATCTGTATCTGGGCACAATGGGTCATACCTGCAATCCCAGAACATTGTACTGGGTGGAGGTGGCAGGATCATTTGTATCCAAGAGCTCCAGACAAGCCTGGGCAACATAGTGAAACCCCATCTGTATGGAAAAAAAAAAAAAAAAAAAAAAAAAAAGAAAAAGAAAAAAATTAGCCAAGTGTAATAGTTCATGCCTATGTTCTCAGCTATTCAGGAGGCTAAGGTAGGAGGATCACTTGAGCCTTGGAGGTCATGGCTGCAGTCAGCTGAGATCACACCACCACACTCTAGCCTGTACAACAGAGTGAGACCCTGTCTCAAACAAACAAACAAAAATTACGCAGTGTACTCTTCAACAAGATAAAGTGGTTTCAGTAATAAACTACTAATAATATGATGATTTAGATTGAGCAAACTTCACTTAGTCATTTCTTTTTTATTATCTGATATGTTCTTTATAAAAAGTTTTAATTGCTTAAAAATGACCTAATGCTTCTCCCAAGCTTCCTTTTTTTTTTCTCTCTCTCTTAACTGAAGTCACAGAATGTTCTCCTTTGTGGAGTGCTAAACAACATTAAGAAATTATTAGCTTTAAGGACATTCTAAGAGTAAGGTTATAAACCTAAAACCCCTAAAAGGTAAAAGAAAATTGAAGAGGCAGTACAAAGACTGTCCTCTCTCAAAGGGTCCCTTCTCATGGAAATAGGCTGCTATTCCAGGTCAGTGGGAGGTGATCCTATGGGAAGCCCATTGTGTATGGCCCATGGCACCATTCCAGCTTAATTGTTCCAATTCCTCCTGTTTCTCTGACTGCACATGAGGTTAAATTAAATATAATTTTCTCAGTTTGCATTTCCCAGGCAGTCATCCTAAGTGGCTTCTTGAAGGCGGTCTGTGCATTCCGCTATCTAATTCTGTGATGTCCTTTAACTCGAGGGCCAGTGACATGATTATCAGCTCTAGAAGTTCATTCTGTGGTCAGAGATGCTTGTGCAGTGGCCATTTTCTTTCATTATGATCTGGCCTTTCCCAAGCTTCAGAAGTGAAGAGAATTGACTTTCCTACTAATGAGCATTGGCACTTAGGAAGTGAATACTTTATCTTTTGCAGCTAGTGTGTTCTACATTTCTTCAGTGTACCTCCTGCCTGGTAAATATCAGATTATTTGTTGACCATCTCTCAGGGTATAGTTCTTTGTGTTATTAAATGAGAACCTAGTGGCTTACAAAGCATTGGCTTTTGAGGAGCCACTTTTATCCTAGATGATAACTCAAATCCATACAGTGCTGATATTTACAGCTGGGAGATGACATTGTCTTATCTTTGGGTCTATTGCTCAAATTTCTGATTTCAGCAGGACTTACTCACTGGCTGCCTTCTGTCTTGGGGATGCCTTTGATCTGTCTTGCCTTGGGGGACCCTCCCTCTGACCTGGATTAGCAGCCTATTTCCACAAGAATGGACCCTCTGAGAGAGGACAGTCTTCGTACTGGCTCTTCCGATTTTCCTTTATCTGTTATGGGTTTTGGGTTTATAAATTTACTCTTAGAATGTCCTTAAAGCTAATAATTTTTTAACGTTCTTTAGCATATTACTAAAAGCTATTCATCTGCTTGAGAGACTGAGGAAGGAGTGTTGCTTGAGCCTGAAAGATTGAGGCTGCAGTGAGCTGTGATCCTGCCACTGCACTCCAGTCTGGGTGACAGAGAAAGACCTTGTCTCAAAAAAATAAAAAGGACAGGTACAATAGCTCATGCATGTAATCCCAGTACTTTGAGGGGCTGAGGCAGGAGGATTGCTTTAGGCCAGAGTTCTAGACCAGCCTGCAACATAGGGAGATCCATCTCTTCAAAACATAAAAAATTAATTAGACATGATGGCACATGCCTGTAGTCCCAGCTTCTTGAGGGGTTGAGACCAGCAGGAGGATTTCTAGGGCCTAGGAGTTCCAGGATGCAATGAGCAATACTTATGTGGTTAATACATATTGAAACCAGTTGTTGGAGAATTAGTATGTGTTCTCCCACAAATTCAGTATGTTTTTGTAATGGTCCAACTAATTCAAATGGTATAAACATAATATAAGCAAATTATTTTATGTTGTTTGTTTAAAAACCTTTTTGACTGAATCAGTCTATGACGCTTTAGTATTTGAAGTTGTGGGCAGAACTTAGTCTTAAGATAGCACTCACCTTGGTGATAGATTTCCATGGAGGGAATTTTTGCCAGATGTTAATTTAGCCTGAAGATGTTATAGATGTGGACAGTCACGCCCTCTAAGTCTGGGGTGGGCTAATTGAAAAGAACATGCAGGAACCAGGCTTGTTAAGGGATAAACATAGGGGAAATGGAACAATTATGGCAGAGATTGAATTGGGTTTAATTGGGTTAGGAAGAGTGAAAGAATAGATTTTAATAAGAGGTCTGGAAATAGCCAAGAAACCCACTTATTGTAGAAAATGTGTGACATCTGATTACCGTAGTGAAAGAAAGATCCCCCTTCAAAAATCCTATCTATACAGAAAGAAGTGGTAGGTAAAAGGAAATCTTCCCATGGATGTATTTAAGAAAAACAGTGGGGAGGTCTGAGATTTCAAAGGGCCATGGTTCAGATTATAATTCAAAAGAGAGGCAAGTGATAGTTCCCCTCTTCTTGGGTTTCAGGAAGGGGGAAGATTTGGCCACTTGTGAAATAATTTTGGAGCTTCTATAACCTTGAGCCTTTCTTCTTATTTTTTCCTGGACTTGAGACATAAGGGGATTGATAAGATGGGACCAGAGAAAAAGCAGGTTTTGAAATGCCTTTTTTGATTCTGTTCATTTCTGGAATTCTTCATCATGGTCCTTAAAGAGTACATATTTGTTCCTGATACACAACATGCAGTGGTCTATTAATGAAGCTTTATTTCCTCAGCTAGGTTGCCTCCTCCATTAATTTGTGGGATTTTAGATGAAAACTTACTTGAACTGTGGTTTTCTCTGTGTTTGTGAATGGAAGGACATGTTTGTCTTTGACCTTCCTTTAGTTTCACATCTTAGTCTTAATATTTAAGTAGCTTTGTTTCAGACAGAGAAGGACCATGCGTTCAGTTGCTGGGACTGCTCTCTAGGTTAGAGGCTTTCTGGTCTTGGGGAAGATTCCCCACAAACTAAGCAAGTGGCATAGATGCTTAATATTCTAAGTGAGAGAAGCACTAGAGTTTTTTATTCATTACTTGTGAGCGCAGATGTGGCCTCTGGGGAAGCTCAGCTGAGGTGGTCTCATGTTCCACCAAAGGTCACCAGAGAGAGATGGCCAGGAAGACAGGAAGACTTGTCTCACCTGGGAGGGTATGGCAACAGCTATGCAAGACCTCTTGTTGGAGATATGTGACATTCATTCATTTATTTATTTTTTGAAACATAGTTTCATTCTTTCACCCAGGCTGAAGTACAGTGGCACGATCAGGGCTCACTGCAACTTCCCTGTCTCGAGCTCAAGCCATTCTCCCACCTCAGCCTCCTGAGTAGCTAGGACAGCAGGCAGGTACCACTCTGTCCAGGTAATTTTTAAAATCTTTTTAGAAACAAGGTATTGCCATGTTGCCCAGGCTGGTCTGGAACTCCTAGGCTCCACTCCCGCATTGGCCTCCAAAAGTGCTGGTATTGCAGGGATGAGCCTTGGTGCCTGGCCCATTTATTCTTAAGTACTTATGCTCAGGGCAGGTCTTCCAAGGGAAGAAAAGAACAGCCAGATAAGACTCGTATGAGATAGCTGAGGAGGCGGCATTTCATCCTTCTATGCATATCCTCCTTATCCACAAGCAGAATGCTGTCCTACAACCATTGCTGTCCCCATTAGGTCATGATAGGTAGACATGCAGGTGATGACCACAGACTGGCAGTTAGCCAAGGATTCTCAGTGTTGCACGTTGCATGGGTGAGTGTGTGTGACGGATGCCTCTGGCAGTTTGGTGGAAAATTGGTACGTTTTGTAAAAATGATATGTTTAAGTCTTCTAATAAGGTAAATACTCATAAGAGGAAGTCAGTTTTATTGAAATAGTTAGCACATATATTAATATTAATATTTAAGGCCAGGTGCATTGACTCATTCTTGTAAATCCCAGCATTTGGGGATGCTGAGGTGAGAAGATCTCTTGAGGCCAGGAGTTCAAGTTGCCAGCCTGGACAACAAAGGGAGACTATTTCTACAAACAATAAAATAAAAAAAAATAAAAGATATATTTAAACTGGGCTGTAGTAATACATGTGTATCTTTATTGTATATTAAGTAGCTGGATCTACTTATGAGGTTCATACTAGTCACAATTTCTTAGTACAATTGAGTTTAAACAATATTTTGGGGTATTTGTCCTACCAACATTGATAATGGAAGAAAATACTAAATTTCAGTGCACGGTAATGAAACTAAACATGTAATTCCTTTTTCCCATTGCAGTTAGTAGAACCCATAGAATGTATCTAAAGACACCTAGGTGGCAAAAGGTAAATGCTTGAGGGTATGATACCCCATTCTCCATGATGTGATTGCATACCTGTATCAAAATATCTCATGTACCTCATAAATATATATACATGCTGTGTACCCACAAAAATAAATAAAGAGGAAACTTGGATGGGATTGGGATTTTTGATGTTAGGGTGGAGAACGTCTGCATTGAGGATTGTGTAGAGGGAAGAGTTTTGATTTATTATACCCGTTTCTTTAAAAAAACAAAACAAAACCAAAAAAAACCTGCATGTGATGTGAGGAATTTTGCCAGAGGTGGGGAACGTGAAACTCACTAGTTGAAAACATTCTATACTGAGGTAATTTTTTTATGTCAAAAAGAAAGTGAAGAGTGTGGCAGATTAAAATCTTCATGTTATTTGCATTTTACAAGCTTGGAAGTCTCAATATCAATTATTATTGACTGCTATTTACTGCAATTTTTGACACAAAACATACTTCATTTTAATGAACTTTGCCTTGTTTGAATGTTCGTAAGACTTTGGAGGGAGTTTTAGAAAGAGATAGTTGCCTTTGATCCCTGAAGTATATTATTTGGTCTATCCTGATTCTGTCTCTTGACTTTGCACTTGTCTTTCCTGAACTCTGTTTAAAAGAAGCTTTTTTTTATGCCTCTTTTCTTCCTTCCTATTCTAATATGAGATACAGAGGTTTTTATGGGTAACATCTTGTCTATATGCCAGATTGTGGAAGCCTTGGTTGTTACCCAGGGATGGAAGGTCTGATCTCAGTTAAGTTCTGACCCTAGGATAAGAAGCCCCTCTGGAGTAACTGACTCAGTGGGGTAGAGCCTATTTTCACAAATTAATATTCCTGTCTGGGGATGGCAGTGAAAACATTTTGGGCAGTGGGTGGAAATGATAATGTTCAAGCCTGAAGATGAAGTTTGCCTTTTCTCGGAGCTTGTACAGTGTCATACTCCGGAAATAAACTGTGTGGGAAAGGTGGTGTTTAGTAACCTAGAGCTGTACACCTTGCAAGGCCCTCATCTTGTCATTCTGCACTGTAAGAAGCACATGAAGAAAGAGTGTAGGCTGTCAGAGAGAGCGTCACACTGAAGTAGGCACTTCTTACATACAGCTGTCTGCCTAAAATAGAGTAACTTTAGCAAATAGGATCTGTGATATAGAAATTGGAAACTCTAGCCAGGGTTGTGAAAAATGGAGCTGGGGTCACAGGTGGTGGACTGGAAAACGTTCTGAAGAAACTCAGCTTTTTGGATATTGTACAGTTCATTAGGGGAGCTATGAGAAGCAGTTATGAAGCTCCTTATGAACGAAACGTAGAGGCCGGGTGCATTGGCTCACACCTGTAATCCCAGCGCTTTCGGAGGCTGAGGCGGGCAGATCATGAGGTCAGGTGATTGAGACCATCCTGGCCAACATGGTGAAGCCCCGGCTCTACTAAAAACACAAAAATTAGCTGGGAGTGGTGTTGCATGCCTGTAATCACAGCTACACAGAAGGCTGAGGCAGGAGAATCGCTTGAACCAGGGAGTTAGTAGTTGCAGTGAACCGAGATCACACCACTGCATTCCAGCCTAGCAACAGAGGAAATCTCTGTCTTAAAAAAAGAAACAAAGAAACAAAAACAAAGAAAGAGACATAGAAACATACCCATCAGTGTTACTCAGGAGGGTTCTGGTTCCTGTTTTGCACTTGGCAGTACACACTTGTTCTTGTCCACATTATCCTCCATCTGTCCACATGATCAACCATCTGCAGTCCCACCACCAGCCAAGGGTCGTGCCAGGTCAGAAGTACTACTCCAGGTCAAACTGTGTTATTTTGAAATGGAGTTATTTGTTATTGTTGTTCTTACTCAAACTAGCAGTTTTCCTTTGTAGAAGAACTCGGTTTCCACTCTGGGTTAAATATTTCGTTTATGTGATCAAGATTATCTCTGTCCATCAGATACAGCAGTGAGAAACCCTTTTATAGGAAATGGGGTTAAAAGTGACAGGATATCTATAATTGTTTATTTTGTTTGCTAAATTGCAGGTAAATATATTCGCAGAACTAGTTTTGATAACCTTTTTAAAAATAGGCTTATTTGACGTTGGCTGAAACTAAGACTCTAGAACTTTACTGCTACATCAATGAATGACAAGTCTCTCTATTCAGCATGAAATCCCTGCAGACAAAAACCACAGGGACTACATCATGAAGGCTATGAGAATTTTATGGTGGAAACCTGAGTGAAGCAGGTGGTAGAAGAATCTAATGTAGTACCATGCCCACAGGAGATGATCTAAGAATGCCCTCACACCTAACCTTGCAAGTTTTCTACCTTCTGTGTCTTGGTTTCCTCTAATTTCTTTGTCTCTTTTCTCCCTTTTAATTTAATAGGGTTTGCTGAAGACTTTCTCTCTTCCAAGGTCAAGTGTTAGTCATCTCTGGGCTTTGCCGTTAGATACTCATCATAGTCTAACAATGAATGTAAGCACTGAGGAAGTAAGTAATGGTGACAATGTGGATGTTCCTTTTGGTATCATTTTTCTCATGCTCTGTAAATCTTGGTGGTCTCATATTCATATTATTGAATACCAATGCTTAACCCCTCTCTGCCGTCTTTACAGAAGTCCCCTGGTCTACCTCTCTCTACGTGTCTAAAATTGTAGAATTGTCTTCTAGACACTCTATTGCAAATTCCCTTCTGCACAAGCCCAACATTTCACAGAAGGAGCAGGTGGGGGGCAATGAAAGAGAGCATGGCTCAATTGTAGCAATTGAAAGGCAAGCTTTGTCTCATCAGCTGCAGTGTTTACTACTTGAGGATGGGAATTTGATTGGTGTATCTTTACATTTTATCAAAGTGGGTTTCACCATGGAAGCATTCAGTGGTACCTCAGTGAATAATTATAATTAGCTAGGATTTCTTTGGAGGATATTTATTGTTCTAAATTTGTATATATTTATATGTACATACTGTATTAGTTCATTTTCATGCTGCTGATAAAGACATAACTGAGACTGGGTAATTTATAAAGTAAAAGAGGTTTAATAAACTCATAGTTCTTTGTGGTTGGGAGGCCTCACAGTCCTGGCAAAAGGCAAGGGAAGAACAAAGGCACATCTTACATGGCAACAGGCAAAAAGAGAGAGCTTGTGCAGGGGAACTCCTCTTTAAAAAACCATCAGATCTTGTGACCTCATAGTTCACATGAGAACATGACAATGAATAAGTCATGGGTGGAAACTGCCCCCATGTTTCAATTATCTCCCACTGGGTCCCTCCCCTTACATGTGGGAATTATGAGAGCTACAATTCTAGATGAGATTTGTGTGGAGACACAGCCAAACCATGTCACATACATATGCATATCTTTATGTAGGGGATCTTTATGTAAGGTATGTGAATACAGGTGTGTATATTCATATACTCTTGTACTTTCTCAAACACATACCATAGAATGTGTAATAATGTGTCTGGAATTGGTGGGTTCTTGGTCTCACTGACTTCAAGAATGAAGCTGCGGACCCTCGCGGTGAGTGTTATAGCTCTTAAGGTGGCGCGTCTGGAGTCTGTCCCTTCTGATGTTCAGATGTGTTCAGAGTTTCTTCCTTCTGGTGGGTTCGTGGTCTCGCTGGCTCAGGAGTGAAGCTGCAGACCTTCGCGGTGAGTGTTACAGCTCTTAAGATAGTGCATCTGGAGTTGTTCATTACTCCTGGTGGGCTCGTGGTCTTGCTGGGCTCAGGAGTGAAGCTGCAGATCTTCACAGTGAGTGTTACAGCTCATAAAAGCAGCGTGGACCCAAAGAGTGAGCAGTAGCAAGATTTATTGCAAAGAGCAAAAGAGCAAAGCTTCCACAGTGTGGAAGGGGACCCGAGTGGGTTGCCAATGCTGGCTCAGGCAGCCTGCTTTTATTCTCTTATCTGGCCCCACCCACATCCTGCTAATTGTAGAGCCGAGTGGCCTGTTTTGTCAGGGCGCTGATTGGTGCATTTACAGTGCCTGAGCTAGATACAAAGGTTCTCCATGTCCCCATCAGATTAGTTAGATACAGAGTTTCGACACACAGGTTCTCCAAGGCCCCACCAGAGCAGCTAGATACAGAGTGTCGATTGGTTCATTCACAAACCTTGAGCTAAACACAGGGTGCTGATTGGTGTATTTACAATCCTCGAGCTAGATACAGAGTGCCGATTGGTGTATTTACAATCCCTGAGCTAGACATAAAGGTTCTCCACGTCCTCACCAGAGCAGCTAGATACAGAGTGTCGACTGGTGCACTCACAAACCTTGAGCTAAACACAGGGTGCTGATTGGTGTATTTACAATCCCTGAGCTAGATATAAAGACTCTCCACGTCCTCACAAGAGCAGCTAGATACAGTGTCGATTGGTGCACTCACAAACCTTGAGCTAAACACAGGGTGCTGACTGATGTATTTACAATCCCTGAGCTACATATAAAGATTCTCCACGTCCCCACCAGACTCAGGAACCCAGCTGGCTTCACCTAGTGGATCCCACACCGAGGCTGCAGGTGGAGCTCCCTGCCAGTCCTGCACCATGCGCTCACATTCCTCAGCCCTTGGGTGGTCGATGGGACTAGGCGCTGTGGAGCATGGGGTGGTGCTCCTTGGGGAGGCTCGGGCCGCACAGGAGCCCATGGAGTGGGTGGGAGGCTCAGACATGGTGGGCTGCAGGTCCTGAGCCCTGCCGCATGGGAAGGCAGCTGAGGCCCAGCTAGAAATTGAGTGCAGCGCCAGTGGGCCAGCACTGCTGGGGGACTCAGTACACCCTCTGCTGCCACTGGCCCGAGTGCTAAGTCCCCCATTGCCCGGGGCCAGCAGCGCTGGCCGGCTGCTCCGAGTGCGGGGCCCGCCAAGCCCACGCCCACCCGGAACTCCAGCTGGCCCACAAGTGCTGCACGCAGCCCCAGTTCCTGCTCACTCCTCTCCCTCCACACCTCCCTGCAAGCTGAAGGAGTGGGCTCCAGCCTTGGCCAGCCCAGAAAAGGGCTCCCACAGTGCAGTGGAGGGGCTGAAGGGCCCCTCAAATGCCACCAAAGTGGGAGCCCAGGCAGGGGAGGTGACGAGAGCCAGCGAGGGCTCTGAGGACTGCCAGCATGCTGTCACCTCTCAATCCCCCCTCTAAACAGGACACCCCAACTGCTGTTGGGAATTTGGCCAATGACCGCTTTGGCTACTTCCTGCTGCATAGGGGTGAAGAAGGGGCCCTGAAGTTGTGGTATCCTTCAGAGGGGAACTCTCTAGGCCAGGGGAAGTGCCAGCAAGTCGGTCCAGGGGTCCTCGGTAGAAGTTGTTAGTTGAACTCATTTGGGGTTCCATTTGTAAGACCATCTGTAGCTTGATGGCCTCAATTCTAGAGGAAACAAACTTGACAAGAAGGTTAAAAATACAGGGCCCAAAGGCGAGTAACAGCAAGATGGCTGCCACAGGACCTAGAAAGGGGAGAAGCCATGTTGCCCAACTCCAGAGGTTGGTATAAGAATTTGAAAGGCGTTGTCTGATTTCAGAAGCCTTTTCCAGTAAACGCCGGGCAGCATCTCGTACTATCCCTGATTAGTTAGTGTAAAAACAACACTCTTCCCCTAAGAAGGTGCAGAGTCCTCCTTTCTCAGCAGTGAGGCAGTCTAGACCTCGGCGGTTTTGGAGAGTCACTGCTGCCAAAGAGTCTATTTGGGATTGTAAAGTAAGAAGATTTTGTTATTTCTTGCAAACTATCTGACAAATCGTTTGAGAGTGTGTGGTAGTAGGATAATGAAGTTGATAGACCAGCTATTCTGGTTCCTGTAGCAGTAGCCATTCCTAACACTATAAGTAGGGGTATTAGTTGTACGGCTCTGCGCTGACGGACTTGAGCTTTGAGGGGTACTGATAAGGTCTGATTTCCTGGGACAATGTTAATGTTAGGACTTAGAAAGACTAAGGTGCATGTGCCTGTCCAGTTAGTGGGGAGGCAGATATAGGTTGACATTCCACATAAGAAGAATATGCCTTGGCTGGGTAGACAGAACTGGTTATGTATGTTAAAAAAGGTGTGTGAGTTTGTTGTTTTCATTTTCCCATACTCCTAGAGTACTTGCCAAGGTACCTCCAGTGAGCAGCTGGAAAGGGGTGTTGGGAGAAAACTGAGTGGCTCCCTGTGTTCTATTTTCCCATCGGAGAAAAAAATGTTTTGTATCCACTAGGAACCATCTGATAGAGTGATTGAAAGAGGGGATGAGAAGGCATTCACTAGTGGTAGGGGCGCTGTTGCAGGGAGTCCAGGGGTGATTGGTCATGCAGGGAGTATGTTTGCCATTGCAAAACCTGGACTGTTTGTTCACCAGGGAGGAGGTGATGATTTTGGGGGGCACTGAGAAGCAGAGAAGGCATCAGAATGGAGCTGTTTGGGTGACTCAAAAGTTACTATGATCATTTGGAGCTTGAAGTTGTAAGGTGTAATTACACTGATGCGTTGGTAGGTGCCGCAGAGGCAGGCCTGATAACAGGTTGCATTGGATGCATAAAGGGGCTTGGAAAGTTAAGATAGTGTTCGTGGTTACAAGGCTTTTCATTGCTTGTGTAATAGGTGAGGTTGGAAATGTAAGAACATAAAATTTGGGTTGCACGTCCTGTTAGGGTACTTTTGGTCCCATCAGATATTGGGAAGTCAGCCAATGATTGCATATTTAGAAGTTGGAAAGGGTCTTTTCCTTCGTAACGAGGGTGGAAGGTCAAGTTGGTAAAGACCCAGTTTTTTGCAGGAATGGGAGTGGCAACGTAGGCAGAGGTTGATAGAGAGATACACAGCCAACAGTCATTTGCCAGGGAAGTATTGGACTGGTTTAACAGAGTGTGAGTTAAGTTGAGAGTCTTGTAGAGGTAATTAGGAGCTAGTGAAAGGGGAGGGGTGATTGTATGAGGTTTCCAAGGAAGCAGGAGGGATACACAGGCAAAGAGCAAATAGGAAGGTAAAGAGGGTGCTCCAGAAAATGAGATCATTTTATCTAGTCTGAGTTAGAGGTAGGAGTAAATTACTGTCAAAAGGAAGGAAGATAGAAAGGAGGTTGATGTGATTAGGATTTTCATTCTGGCAGGAGCTAGAGTATATTGTCCTATCACAAAGAGTATGGTTAGTGTGCTGTTTTCACTTATCTTTTTTAAGGAGGAAGAGGTCTTTCCTCAGGATCAGTGGTAGGAGCCTTTTTAGTCTGGGATGTTTCCTTCTGAAATAAGAGGTGCAAGTCCTCCAACGGTTCGCAGGTGTATCGAAGCTGGTCTGGCTGATCTTGGGACTCCTGAGCTGATGATCCAGCAGGTTCCTCAGGAGATGTCCAAAGTTTAACTCGGGTGTGGTGAATCCAAGTTTCCACTCCTGCCATGTTAACTGCAATGGGAGTAGAGAGGATTATAGAGTATGGTCCTTCCCACAAAGAGTCCATAGATGGGGAGGTAGAGGGAAGAGATTTGACCAACACTAGATCTCCTGGTTGAAACAACTCTGTTCCCTGTTCTCTGTGACATCCTTCAGGTAGATTTTTAAGGTTTTGTTGATATTTTGCCAAAGTTATATCTTTGACAAAGTTGGCCATTTCCTGATTGAGTAGGAGGTCATTTGTGAGAAAAGGTCGCCCATACAGCATTTCATATGGACTGAGCCCTATTTTGTGGGGAGAATTTCGAATTCTCAACAAGGCCATGGGCAAAAGAGTAGGCCATGGGAGGTGAGTTTCTTGTGTTAGTTTCCTTAAGTGCCTCTTGAGTGTTTGATTTGCCTTCTCAACCTTCCCAGAGGATTGTGGCCTCCAGGAGCAATGAAGGCGATATTGTATCCCTAGTGCCTTGGAGATTCCCTGAGTTATCGTGGCTTTAAAAGCTGGAACATTCTCACTCTGTAAGCTTTGGGGAAGCCTGAATCTAGGAATTATTAGGACTTTAATCACTTCCTGAGCCTTCTCTGTCTTGTAAGAGAAAGCTTCTATCCAATTTGTAAAGGTATCAACACAGACCAACAAGTATTGAAATCCCTTTGACTTAGGCATATGGGAGAAGTCTAACTGCCAGTCCTCTCCGGGATAGTGACCTATTCTTTGTTCCCCCACAGGGGCCTTATGATATACCAAGGGATAATTCTTTTGGCACACCTCACAGGCTTTGACTACCTGTCAGATGGTCTGGAGGAGATTTGGCCCTGTAAATAGGGATTTGGCCATTTGATTAGTGTTTTCAATACCCATATGAAAAGTTTGGTGGAGGGTCTTAAGTATTTTCCACTGGCTGCCTTCCGGTATAAGTACCTTTCCTTCTTCTGTCACCAACCACCCTGAAGGGAGAAAACTATGCCCCCATGAAAGTCCCCATTCTGTTTCAGTCCGGGAATACTGGGGCTTCATCTCCTGGAGGGGGTTGTTCCATACCAAGGGTCCTTCCATAGGCATTTCTAATGGGACATTCCTCCTGGCAGCAGCTTTGACCTCAGCATCTGCCTGATGGTTTCCTTCTGCCTTTTCTCCTTCACCTTTCTGATGGCTTTGTCAGTGTAAGATTCCCACCTCTTTGTGTTTTTTCACTGTGTGACTGGGCGGGCATTTTTTTGCCCTTTCAGATTGTCCTTCCAATGCCCAGACTTCAGGGTTGATTCCCTCCTCAAGTAGGGGACAACAAATGGGTAAATTGTTCCCCATATTCATGTAGATAATAGCTCCAGCCTTGGCTAATATATCCCTCCCTAATAAGGGTGTGGGACTTTCAGGCATAACAAGAAAGGCATGTGAAAAGAGCAGAGTCTCCCAATTACAACTGAGGAGATGGGAGAAATACCTGATTACAGGCTGCCCCAGGATTCCTCAGATGGTAACTGACCTTGAGGACAGTCGTCCAGGACAGGAGATTAACACTGAGAAGGCTGTGCCAGTATCCAGGAGGAAGTCAATTTCCTGGTCATCAATAGTTAAACATACCTGGGGCTCAGTGAGGGTGATGACATGAGCTGGTGCTAGCCCCTGGCACCCTCATTCCTTCTGTTGGATCATCTGGTTGGGGGCTTCTGACCCAGGGAAACTTCATCCTCTGGGGCAGTGCACCTTCCAGTGATTGCCTCGGCATAGTGGACACGGACGAGGGGGCAGCTTGTTTCTTATTGGACAATCTTTTTTAAAATGTCGTAGTAAACCGCACTGATAACAAGCCCTACCAGGTGATTGGCCTGCTCCATTTTCTGACCTCTCTGAACCACCAAAGTTTGTTTGTCTGAGGGCCATGACTAAGGCTGTGGCCTTTCTCTGATCTCGCTTTTCCTTTTGGGCCTGTTCTTCTTGGTCCCTATTATAGAACACTGAGGTTGCCAGGTTTAATAATGTCTCTAGATTTTGTTCAGGGCCCAGGGCTTGCTTTTGGAGCTTTCTCCTGATATCTGCAGCTGATGGATTGGGTAATAAACATATCTTTTAGAATCAATTGACCCTCAAGTGATTCAGGTGACAGGGGAGTATATTTTCTTAAGGCCTCTCGTAGCCGCTCGAGGAAGGCAGAAGGTTTTTCTTCCTTTCCCTGGGTTATGGTAGATATCATTGAATAATTCATGGGCTTTTTTCTAATTCTCCTTAGTCCTTCCAGAACACAGGTCAATAGATGTTTACAACTCCAGTCCCCATGATCTGAGTCAAGGTCCCAGTGGGGATCCGTACTGGGGATGGCTTGCTGACCAGTAGGGAATTTGTCCCTTTCTTCAGCTGTCATTCTATCATTTACTTGACTAAGACACCAGGTATCTCCAAACTCCTAGGCTGCAGCTAAAGCCGCATTCTTTTCATTAAAGGCCAGGGTTTGAACTATCAGTAGCATGACATCTCTCCAAGTGAGGTCAAAGGTTTGCCCTAGATGCTGTAGGACATCTATGTACCTATCAGGATCATCTGAAAACTTCCCCAGGTCTGCCTTGATCTGCTTTAAATCAGAGAGGGAGAAGGGGACATATACCCGGGTTGGGCCAAATTCCCCTCCTGCTACAGATTGAAGGGGACATAACCGACAGCCCGGGGGTTTTTGTGGTCCTTTGGAGATTTCTTTGCTTGTTTCCTTCCGGGCAGGGGAGATTAGAGGAGGAGTATCAATAATAGGAAGGGGAGCTATAGGGAGGCTAGGATATAGGGGTAAGCTGAGGGGTCCTCCTCTGGGATGTAAATTGCAAGCTTTGCATAGTTGTGTATTCTCCCTCAATGAAAAGAAAGCTCGGACATAAGGCATTTCACTCCATTTGCCTTCCCTCTTACAGAAAAGATCAAGCTGCAGGATAGTATTGTAATTTGTACTTCCCTCAGGTGGCCATTTTTCCCCATCAGAAAGAGAATATTGGGGCCAGGCCGCAGTGCAGAAAAAAAATGAGCTGCCTCTTTTTCAGGGTTTGTGGGTCAAATTGGTCCCAATGGCTTAGGATGCATTTCAAGGGTGAGCCTGTTGATGCCTGAGTGTTTCCCATCTGAAAGACAAAATTACCCGCAGTTTTGGTTTGTTTTGTTTCTCTCCCTGTCCAAGAACCCGCAACGGTCCCTGGACCCTGCTGATCGGAATAGTTGCACTCACTGACGCAGCAACAGAAACACTAGTTTTCCTCCCAGACCACATGGAGGACCGAGGAAGGTCGGATTTAGTGGTCCTTACTGACGCAATGTTGAAAACCTGCACCCTTGCTTGTCCTCCTAGACCACAAGGAGGACCGACTGAGAAAAATCGGATTTAGTGGCCCTTACCAACGCATCCTCAAAAACCTGTTAGAGTCCTAAGCGTTCTCCTGTTAGTATTAGGACTTTACCCCTGTCCTATAAAGATGTTATGCCCCAAAAATGAAATGGAGGGCCATACCCTGAGGGAGGGAAGGGATCTTCATGGTTGGAAGAGTGACACCTTTTGTCCTCACTTATAGGAAGGATACAATTTCTGAGGCTCCCCATATCCTAGCTTCAGGAATAACTTTTGTTAGGCCTGTTAGTCTGAGGAGGGATCCTAAAATTCCAGGTAGTCCCCACTATGATGGGGCCTTGGGCAAAAACTGTATCTTTCTGATTGGTGAGCCCGGGTGCCTAAAGAAGATAACAGAGTCCTGGAGTTTATACTAGAAGTCATTCTTATAGGAGAAACAAGAAAAGCACCAGAGGCAGGTAGCAATTTTTAGAAGCGGGTCTAGACTCAGAAGAGAGGCGAGAGGAAGTTTGTCTGGCAGGCATTGGGACCCAGAGGGCAAGGGTCAGTATAGATAGGATAGATAGGCGAGTCTCGCTTGGGCGACATGCTTGAGAGTTCCGCTCATGGCTGCAGGGTCAACCAACATGTTGTTGGGACCCCGGAGATGCATGGCTTTCCTCTCTGTCGACCCTCGGCTCAGCCCAGAAGTACAGAAAAAGCAGAAGCTGGTTCTAGGTAAAACAACGGTCCCAACTCCAAAGAGTTGGGGGTTGTTAGAGAGCCCTTTCCCAGAAAGCCTGACACCCGCGTCTTTAGTCTGGCAGCCACACTAGTTGCCTTTAACTGGCTGACAGGTGCCTGGTATTTAGCCCCCGAATTCTAAGGAAAGATAGGACAATATAGCAAGCGAAAGGGGTCCAATGGTACTCACTGCTTGGCGATAGGTGATGGTCTCACCGCTTGGCGATTGTCTCACCGCTTGGCAATAGGCGATGGTCTCACTGCTTGGCGATAGGCAAAAGTCCCTTCGTGGTCACCAAAATGTGTCTGGAATTGCTGGGTTCTTGGTCTCACTGACTTCAAGAATGAAGCTGCGGACCCTCATGGTGAGTGTTACAGCTCTTAAGGTGGCACGTCTGGAGTCTGTCCCTTCTGATGTTCAGATGTGTTCAGAGTTTCTTCCTTCTGGTGGGTTCGTGGTCTCGCTGGCTCAGGAGTGAAGCTGCAGACCTTCGCAGTGAATGTTACAGCTCTTAAGGTAGCGCGTCTGGAGTTGTTCGTTTCTCCCGGTGGGCTCGTGGTCTCGCTGGGCTCAGGAGTGAAGCTGCAGATCTTCTTCACGGTGAGTGTTACAGCTCACAAAAGCAGCGTGGACCCAAAGAGTGAGCAGTAGCAAGATTTATTGCAAAGAGCGAAAAAACTAACCTTCCACAGTGTGGAAGAGGACCGGAGCGAGTTGCCAATGCTGGCTCGGGCAGCCTGCTTTTATTCTCTTATCTGGCCCCATCCACATCCTGCTGATTGGTAGAGCCGAGTGGCCTGTTTTGTCAGGGTGCTGCTTGGCGCGTTTACAATCCCTGAGCTAGATACAAATGTTCTCCACGTCCCCATCAGATTAGTTAGATACAGAGTTTCGACACACATGTTCTCCAAGGCCCCACCAGAGCAGCTAGATACAGAGTGTCGATTGCTTCATTCACAAACCTTGAGCTAAACAGAGGGTGCTGATTGGTGTATTTACAATCCTTGAGCTAGATAGAGAGTGCCGATTGGTGTATTTACAATCCCTGAGCTAGATACAGAGTGCCGATTGGTGTATTTACAATCCCTGAGCTAGACATAAAGGTTCTCCACGTCCTCACCAGAGCAGCTAGATACAGAGTGTTGATTGGTGAACTCACAAACCTTGAGCTAAACACAGGGTGCTGATTGGTGTATTTACAATCCCTGAGCTAGATATAAAGACTCTCCACGTCCTCACCGGAGCAGCTAGATACAGAGTTTCGATTGGTGCACTCAAATCTTGAGCTAAACACAGGGTGCTGACTGGTGTATTTACAATCCCTGAGCTAGATATAAAGACTCTCCACGTCCTCACAAGAGCAGCTAGATACAGTGTCGATTGGTGCACTCACAAACCTTGAGCTAAACACAGGGTGCTGACTGATGTATTTACAATCCCTGATCTAGATATACAGATTCTCCACGTCCCCACCAGACTCAGGAGCCCAGCTGGCTTCACCTAGTGGATCCCGCACTGGGGCTACACGTGGAGCTGACTGCCAGTCCTGCGCCATGCGCTGGCATTCCTCAGCCCTTGGGTGGTCAATGGGACTGGGTGCCGTGGAGCAGGGTTGGTGCTCGTCGGGGAGGCTCGGGCCACACAGGAGCCCATGGAGTGGGTGGGAGGCTCAGACATGGCGGGCTGCAGGTCCCGAGCCCTGCCCCGTGGGAAGGCAGCTGAGGCCTGGCTAGAAATCCAGCGCAGCGCCGGTGGGCCAGCGCTGCTGGGGTACTCAGTATACCCTCCACAGCCACTGGCCCAGATGCTAAGTCCCCCATTGCCTGGGGCCAGCAGGGCTGGCCGGCTGCTCCGAGTGCGGGGCCAGCCAAGCCCACGCCCACCCAGAACTCCAGCTGGCCTGCAAGCACAGCAGGCAGCCCCGGTTCCCGCTCACGCCTCTCCCTCCACACCTCCCTACAAGCTGAAGGAGTGGGCTCCAGCCTTGTCCAGCCCAGAAAAGGGCTCCCACAGTGCAGTGGGGGTACTGAAGGGCTCCTCAAATGCCACCAAAGTGGGAGCCCAGGCAGGGGAGGTGCCAAGAGCAAGCAACGGCTCTAAGGACTGCCAGCAATGCTGTCACCTCTCAATAATATCCCTGAATTACATCTGCTACTCCGCTGCTCTACCCATCTAACAAGTAAGTGATGGAGACATTGATGGTTCTATTAGTCAGGGTTCTCTGGAGGGACAGAACTAATAGGAGATGTATATATATATATATATATATATATATATCGCTAACCCTTACCATAACATATATATGTGTGTGTGTGTGTCTGTGTGTGTAAAGGATATACAAATATACATACAACTAATAGGATATATGTATGTGTGTTTATATAGATAATATCTATGTTTTTATATAAATATATATAAATTATGTATATGAATATAACAAAATATATATTTATATATAGTATATATAAACACACACACAGATATATATCCTATTAGTGATAAGTGATAAAGAGTAGTGTTTATATATATACATATATAATAAATTCTTCTTTATATATATATACACATCTATATTTGTGTGTGTGTGTGTCCATATATATATATAAGTTTATTAAGCAGTATGAACTCACGGGATCTCAAGGTCCCACACAGTAGACGATCTGCAAGCTGAGGAGCGAGGAAGCCAGTTAGAGTTCCAAAGCTGAAGAATTTGGAGTCTGATGTTCCAGGGCAGGAAGAATCAAGCACAGGACAGATGTAGACTTGGAGGGTAAGGCAGTCTTGTCTTTTCACGTTTTTCTGCCTGCTTTATAATTTCTGGCAGCTGATGAGATGGTGCCTACCCGCTTGAGTGTGGGTCTGCCTTCCCCAGCCCACTGACTCAAATGTTAATTTCCTTTGACAACACCCTCACAGAGACACCTGGGATCAGTACTGTGCATCCATCAATCCAATCAAGTTGACACTCAGCATTAACCATCACAATGGTGTACAACTGACTGGAGTTAAAGTGAGAGTCAGGCTTTGAATCATAGTCGTAAAACTGCACAAATTCTCTGCCCCATACTACCTCCCAGACACATAATACATGCAGGAGTAGGTGTTTTTGTGCCTGTTATAGTGCATTTGAGCCTGTTGTTCTTTACTTTGCTCTTGTGTCAGACCATCTCTCCAAAAACAGATGATCAGCATCATACACAACTGGTAGTATTGATTATCTGCAGCATAAAGCATGGAACATGGGATTTTCAGGGAATGGAGTAGGAAAAATTCCTGAACCTAAGCAGCTTAATACCTTAATATTTCACTTGGTTAGTTTGAATACATATACTTCTACACACACACACATGAAATTACATGGATAATATAAGCTTTAATGTATTGTATATATAATATAAATCTCTCTAACCTCCAAAAATGTATATATCCAAACTATTTGTCAATTTCTCTCTCTCTTTCCCCCCTCTTGCTCTTTCCACATATTTATGTATAAAACAGTTTTTCAAACTAACCAACTGAAATATTAAGCTCCTATGTTATATATATAATATATATTTCTGCAAATAACCAAAATATCAAAGCAATTAAGCTCCTGTTTCATGTATCTATTGTATATAGATATATGTGTGTGTGTGTACATGTATACAGTATTTCTCCAAACTAAGCAACTGAAAAATATTAAGCTCCTATGTCTTACATATATAAAATATTTATTCAAATAAGCAAGCAAAATATTAGGCTATTAAGCTCCTATGAATAATGTTTTATTTTATTCTATATAAATAGAATAATATGAATATGTTTCATATTATTCTGTATATTATATATATATACACAGCAGGTTAGTTTGAAGACATGTATGCATATATTAAAATCTACTTTATAATTTGATATATAATAAGTTAAGTACAAACTTTCATGAAATATGTATGAGAAGAAGGAAGACTATTTTTATAGTACGATTAGTACAGTGAATTCTGGGGAAAAAGTAAATACTCATTTCAAATCCTCATGTACAATTCAAATAAACAAAAATCTGGTGGCATGTTTACAGCCTGCTAATATAGATTATGTGGTGTTGGAAAACATTTTATTTTTACAAGTACCTAGTAGGTGTATATATTTGTGGGTTATATGAGCTATTTCAATATAGGCATACAATGATAAAAATCACATTAAAATAAATGGGGTACACATCACCTCAAGCATTTATCGTTTATTTGTTTTACAGGCTTTCATTTATACTTTTAGTTATTTAAAAATATGCAGTAAATTAGTGTTGACTGCAGATACCCTATTGTGCTATGAAATACTAGATCTTCTTCATTCTGTCTCACTATATTTTTGTGCCTATTAACCATCCCCACTTCTCTATCCCTCCCATTACTCTCCCCAGCCTATGGTAACCATCATTCTATTCTCTGTCTCCCTGAAGGCAACTGGAAGGCTATTTTTCTTTTTTTCTTTTTCTTTTTTTTTTTGAGACAGAGTCTCCCTCTGTCACCCAGAATGATGTCGCCCAGTGATGCAGTCTAGGTTCCCTGCAACCTGCCCCTTGTGGGTTCAAGTGTTTTTCCAGTCTCAGCCTCCCAAGCAGCTGGGATTACAGGTGCACACCACCTCGCCCACCTAATTTTTGGTGGTTTTTTTTTGTAGACACAGGGTTTCACCATGTTGGCCAGGCTGGTCTCGAACTCCTTACCTCGTGATCCACCCACCTAGGCCTCCCAAAGTGCTGGAATTACAGGCGTGAGCCACCACACCTGGCCTGAAAGACATATTTTTAAAGGATAGGCTGGAAGGTTGCATTGACTTTCGCTGTTTCTGGCTCACTAAATCCTGCTATTTTCTGCAGTAGGGATTGCTACACTTACGTTATGCTTTCCTACTGCAGAGAAGGACATTCTGTTCCCACTGGGCTCCTATACTGCCTCTACAGTCGGCTTTGGAGATAACAGCCTGAGGCGTCAGAGCGTCTTGGTGGTGAAAGCATCTTAAGATGTCACTGGCACGGCTGGGTGCTGTGGCTCACGCCTGTAATGCTAGCATTTTGGAAGGCTGAGGCGGGCGGATCACGAAGTCAAGAGATTGAGACCATCCTGGCCAACATGGTGAAACCCCATCTCTACCAAAAATACAAAAATTAGCTCGGCAGTGCCTGTAGTCCCAGCTACTCGGGAGGCTGAGGCAGGAGAATTGCTTTAACCTGGGAGCAGAGGTTGCAGTAAGCCGAGATCGAGCAACTGCACTTCAGTCTGGCGACTGAGCTAGACTCGGTCTCAAATAAGGGGGTTAAAAAAAAAAGAGGTCACTGGTACAAGCCCTTGTTTTGCAGTGGAAGGAGATGAAGTCCAGGCCACTATATGATGGGCCAGAGAGCACGTGGCTTATTAGTGACCACGGCTATAGTGGCTCAAGTTCCCTGGCTGCTGGCCATGGCTGGCAGGATCCCGGGGCTTTTCTGCCTAATACGTGGGTCTGTTGCCTTGGGTGTGTTGCATTGGGCTTGTCGCATAATCATGGAGAAATAGATTTTCTCTTCAATTTTTAAATCCAAGATATTTTGGCAGCACATGGGAAAATAAAGTCATTGAGTAAGAAAACCTATACAGATGAGCATCTTTTGATTAAATTTTCATTATAAAATAATCACAGTCACAAAACCTGAATCAAAACGTATACACAGATAATCATCTTAAAGAGTAAAAAATAATCAGGTACATAGTATTGTACTCACTGACAGACCAGGAAAGAGCATTCCCACTGTTTTTGTATATCAGTGTGAGTTTGCTTCCTGTCTCCTACCTCGCAGAGAAATGTACTTCCTCAGGATTCGGTTTTCAGAATGCCCTTGCTATGTTATTTCAGGACAAACATAGTTCTGAGCAATATATTGTTTAGTTTTACCCTTATGTAAATGAAAATCACACTATTTGTAGTGTTTTATGGCTTGGCTTTTATGTTTGAGGTTTTCCCATTTTGGTCCATATATCTGTATTTTATTCATTTTTTACTGTTGTGTAAAGCTTTCTGCTTTAATATGCCAACATTTATTTATTCATTGTCCTATTTATGGATATCTGGATTGTCGTAACTTTTTTTGCAATTACAATTTGGGTTGCATTGTCCCCAGCAAACTAATGCAGGGACAGAAAACCAAACACTGCATGTTCTCACTTATAAGTGGCAGCTCAACGATGATAACATGTGAACACATGTGGGTGGAGAACAACACATAATGTGGCCTGTCTGGGGATTTGGGAGGAGGGAGAACATCAGGAAGAATAACTAATGGATGCTGGGATTAATACCTAGGTGATGGGTTGATTCGTGCAGCAAATAAACATGGCACATGTTTACCTGTGTAACAAACCTACAAATCCTGCACATTTACCATGAAAATTAAAATAAAAGTTGAAGAAAAAATATTGGGGCTGCAATGGACATTTCTGTACATATTTTCTGATGCAAATATTTTAGAAACCCTATAGAGGATGGATGTGTGTGTGTGTGTGCGTGGTGTGTGTGTGTGTGTGTGTCTACTTTCACCATAGGATTCTGTATCTTCTACTTTCTAATGTGATTTAAAATTGTTTTGCAGTGGGGTTGCACAGAGGCTCAGCATCATTGCATGGGAGTTCTAGTTGCTCCAGATCTTTCTTCAGTAGTTGATATCATTGTATCAAATTTTTATTAATACTATTCTGATTTCATCTGCATTTCACCAATAATGAATGGCATTGAGCCTCTTGTCCTATGTTGAGGCTATCTGTAGATGTGAGGACTTCTTCCTTGATACGGATTTATGGTGGAGGAATCAATCACCAAAGATGGCTCTGAGTGTAGGCTGAATGACTAAAAATATAATGATCTAGTTATCTAAATATAAAACAAAATTGTTTAAGCAATTTGGGGGATTGGAGAATGAGAGTTTTAGGAGAACCATAAGATATCTATCTGACTATATTCTTCAAGACAAGATAGTCATGGCAGTACAGGCATGGTGGCACATAACATTTTGTCACCTGGCACTACACGAGTGTGCTTCCATGACCTTGAGGATATATATGACTTTGAGTTTGGTGAGACAGATGAACACAAAGCCCAGAGAATCTGCAAATTATTTGACTTAGATTTAGATATTGTGTTTGGAAAACATTTGACACAGAAAATCAAGCATTAGCAAGCATTTATTATTTGCTTGTGTTAGCTTTAGTTATGCAGATGATGAATAATAAGAAAAAAAGCATCACAGGTAGGGATAGATACTGTCATGAAAATTTAAGCTTCTCATGGGCAGGAACTCATTCTTAACCCCACTATGTGCCCTTACTAAGCGCAGTGATCTTTATGGGATACTTCTATGATCTGAAGACTTGTGTCCTTCCAGAATCCACATGTTGACATTGTAAACCCAAAGTGATGGTGCTAGGAGGTAGGGGCTTTGGAGCTGCCGAGATGTTGAGAGTGGATGCCACGTGAATGGCATTAATGACATTTTAAAAGATACCCCAGGGACATTACTTGCTCCTCCCCTCTTTTCCAAAGTCATAAGGAAAAGTCAGCCCTCTAGGCATTGGGCCCTCACCATACACTGAATCTACCATATCTTGATTTCGGATTTCCAGTCTCCAGAACTGTGAGCAATGAATCTCTATGGTGTATAAGCCCCACCACCACCCGCCCCAACGACACTCACCCCAGGCTATGATATTTTGTTACAGCAGCCTGAATGGACTAACCCAACTTCTGTGCTTTGCTGTTGTCTTATTTCTTTGGTCAGTGTAGGATCTTGCTGTCCGCATAGTTTGCTCTAGAAAGATGGATGCTCTATTCCTAATGGTGTATTTGGCCTTCCTATCTATGGAATATTCTCCTATCCAATCAGTCTTGGTAACATATAAATGATTAACTCTACCCTTGGGTATAGTTTTGGTTCTGCTAAGTCCCCTGCTGAAAATTCTGGTTTCTACCATTATGGCTCATGCATGTTCCTGACCCATTAAACTTCAGTGGAAGAATAGAAATGGAGAGGGAGGTGATGGAGTTGATATCTTAAACTGCAATATGGTGCAAGCCCATCTTGCAGATAATATATTTGGTGTCTTCCTTATCTTTTTAAGAGCGGCCTTGCTATGTTGCCTAGCCTAAAATCAAACTCCTGGGCAAGTGATGCTTGTGGCTCAGCCTCCCAATTACCTGGCATTACAGACATGTACCACCATGCCTGGCCACGTTTTTACTCTCCAATTACTTAATATATAGTAAAGCTAATGGTTCACAGTGGTTCATTTTTTTGTGTGTATTCCAATAACATTTTATTTATTTATTACCTTGAACATATTCAATATTTATTTGACAAGTTTTTATAATTTTAACATTTTTTTTTAATTCATGTGGTATGAGTGTAAGTTTTTTTCTCTGGGTGTATTGGATGGTGCTGAGGTTTGAGGTGCAGATGATTCTGTCATACACCTATGGAGCATGGTACACAATAGGTAGTTTTCCAACTTTACCCTCTCTGTCACCCCTATTTAGTAGTCCTGAGTTTCTGTTATTGCTTTATGTTCATGAGTATCCAATGTTTAGTTCCCACTTATAAGTGAGAACATGTGGTATTTAACTTTCTGTTTCTGCATTAATTTACTTAGGATAATGGCTTCCAGCTGCATCCATGTTCCTGCAGAGGACATGATTTTGTTTGTTTTTATGGCTGAATAGTATTCCATGGTATGTATGTATCACATATTCTTTATTCAAACCACCATTGATGGGCACTTAGGTTGATTCCATGTCTGCTATTGTGAATAGTGCTGTAATTAGCATACGTGTGCATTTGTCTTTTTTGTTAGAATGATTTATTTTCATTTATATATATATATAAAACAATTAATGGGATTGCTAGGTCTGTGGTAGTTCCTCTTAAGTTCCTTGAGAAATCTCCATACTGTTTTACACAATGGCTAATTCACATTCTCACCAACAGTATATGTAGCCTTCTCTTCTCTGCAGCCTCAAAGACACCTGTTGTTTTTGATGTTTTATGAACAGCCTTTCTGACTGGTGTGAGTTTTTGATTTGCATTTCTCTGGTACAAAATGGTGGATTTTGAAATGAGATTTGATTTCTAAATTTTATAGAAACTGCATAGATGACTGCAAAGAACTCTTTAAGATATGACAAAAGACAAATTAGATTGTAATCTCCTTTATACAGGACAAGAAATAAAGAGGAGAATATTAAAATATGTACACATACAAAAGTAGATGAATTGGCGATTGTTGGTGTTGGATGCATGTTAAGCAGGGTGAAGGAGGTGTGTGTGCATGCATTCGTGGCCATGTGTTGAGAGTGGGCATCCATGTAGGTAACAGCAGAGAGCTTTGGGGTTCAGAAAAAAAGATAAGTCACATCCCACTCAGGTACCCTAAAATGTTGTCTTCTCTAGAAATGAAAGAAGAGGGAAGCCAGAGATGTCTGTAGCTTGCATAGTTTTGGGAATAGCTATTCTAGACTTTGTCAGTGAACAGCATAGAAGGATTGTTGTTCAAGCCCAGTTATTTGGGCAAGGATCAGATTCTGTTGCTTTTGTTTTCTGGATGCTCCATAATGAATGTGAGATAGAAGCAGATGTCTCAAGTGCTTCTTGTTCTCAGAAACCTCCTGACAGCAGACATCTCAGTGGGCCCAGACCTTCAGTGTGTCTGTAAGTAAAACACAGGGGAGGGTGCTCTTTCTGATTTATCTTACTATTTTAATGCAATTACAAAGCTTCCTATTTTCTAATATATTCCAAGCCTTTGAAAGACAAGGCCATAAACACCCAGGATATCTGATTTTATTCATGATAAGACCCAAATACCAAAATACCTATGATCAGGGCTCACCTTAATTAAGTATGTATCTTAAAATTAAACCAATCTCAGTTTGAGGAATTCATACTTTTGGAAGAAATTTATTACAGTTTTTGTTCTGAACATTATATTATGATAGGCTTGAATAGTGTGAGCCTTGCTATAATTACAACCTGAGTCACAATAACTTCCCTGCAGAGGATGATTTAAAATACCCAATCAATTTATGAACTGGTCAAAAATGCCATTCTGAGGTATTTTTTTTTATGCAGTCTTTGCAGAGAAGACATGCCATATAGTCCTTCTTCATTCCCAAAGCATATATATATATACGTATATACACACACACATATACATATACATATAAATATACAGTGAAGTTAGTTTTTACCTTTGTTATCAATATTTTTTATCCATCAAAAATTTTATAAATGATTTGTGGCATCCCCTTTTTATCTTAGGAAAATTAAAAATCTCTCTATCAACTTATCTATGAATAACCACATTTCATCCCTTGTGAAATCCATTTTAGTTTGTGAAACTCACATGGGAGATCTTTTATTTTTTGCCCGCAAGGATGTAGGCTGGTTAAATTTACAGAGATTCTTTAATGATGATAATGTACATTTGACTGATATCAATAAGAAATATTGATATTATTAATATCAACATTTTTTGCAATGCTAAAAATTTACAAGTTGTCGAATTATTTAATTATTTATTTTTATTATACATTAAGTTCTGGGATACATGTGCAGAATATGCAGGTTTGTTACATAGGTATACATGTACCGTGGTAGTTTACTGCACCTTTCAACCCATCATCTAGGTTTTAAGCCTTTAAAACCTTTAAGCATTTGGTACTTGTCCCAGTGCTATCTTTACCTTGCACCCCATCCCCCAAGAAGCCCCGGTGTGTGATGTTCCACTTCTCCATGTTCATGTGTTCTCATTGTTCAACTCCCATTTATGAGTGAGAACATGTGGTTTTTGCTTTTCTGATCCTCTGTTTGCTGAGAATAATCATTTCCAGCTTCATCCATGTCCCTGCAAAGGACATTAACTCATTCTTATTTATGGCTGCATAGTATTCCATGGTGTATGTGTGCCACATTTTCTGTATCCAGTCTATCATTGATGGGCATTTGGTTTGGTTCCATGACTTTGCTATTGTAAATAGGAATGCAATAAATGTGCATGTACATGTGTCTTTATAATAGAATGATCAATAATCCTTTGGGTATGTACCCAGTAATGGGATTGCTCAGTTAAATGGTATTTCCAGTTCTAGATCCTTGAGGAATCGCGACACTGTCTTCTACAACGGTTGAATTAATCGACACTACCACCAACAGTGTAAAACATTCTATTTCTCCACATCCTCTCCAACATCTGTTGTTTCCTGACTTTGAATGATTGCCATTCTAACTGGGGTGAGATGGTATCTCATTGTGGTTTTGATTTGCATTTCTCTAATGACCAGTGATGATAAGCTTTTTTTCGTATGTTTGTTGACTGCACAAATGTCCTCTTTTGAGAAGTATCTGTTCATAAACCTTACACTTTTTGATGGGGTTGTTTGTTTTCTTCTTGTAAATTTGTTAAAGTTTCTTGTAGATTCTGGATATTAGCCCTTTGTCAGATGGCTAGATTGCAAAAACTTTCTCCCATTGCCTGTTAACTCTGATGATAGTTCCTTTTGCTGTGCAGAGGCTCTTTAATTAGATCTCATTTGTCAATTTTTGCTTTGTTTCAATTGTTTTTGGTGTTTTAGTCATGAAGTCTTTGCCCATGCCTATGTCCTGAATGGTATTGCCTACATTTTCTTCTAGTTTTATGATTTTTTCTCTTATGGTTAGGTCTTTAATCCATCTTGAGTTAATTTTTGTATAAGGTGTTAAGAAAGGGTTCAGTTTTAGTTTTCTGCATATGGCTAGCCAGTTTTCCCAATACCATTTATTAAATAGGACATCCTTTCTTCATTGCTTGTTTTTTTTCAGATTTGTTGAAGTTCAGATGGTTGTAGATGTGGGTGTTATTTCTGAGGCCTCTGTTCTGTTCCATTGGTCTATATATTTGTTTTCTTACCAGTACCGTGCTGTTTTGGTTACTGTACCCTTGTAGTGCAGTTTGAAGTCAGGTAGCATGATGCCTCTAGCTTTGTTCTTTTTGCTTAGGACTTTCTTGGCCATATAAGCTCTTTTTTAGTTCCACCCGAAATTTATGGTGTTTTTCTCCTTTTTTTTTAATACTGTGAAGAAAGTCACTGTTCGCTTGATGAGAATAGCGTTGAATTTAAAAACTACTTTGGGCAGTTTGGCCATTTTCACAATATTGATTCCTCCTATCCATGAGCATGTAATGTTTTTCCATTTGTGGGTGTCCTTTCTTATTTTCTTGAGCAGTGGTTTGTAGTTCTCTTTGAAGAGGTCCTTCACTTCCCTTGTAAGTTGTTTTCCTGGGTACTTTATTCTCTTTGTAGCAACTGTGAATGGGAGTTCACTCATGATTTGTCTCTCTGATTGTCCATTATTGGTGTATAGGAATGCTTGTGATTTTTGCACATTGATTTTGTATCCTGAGATTTTGCTGAAGTTGCTTACCAGCTTAAGGGGATTTGGGGCTGAGACAATGCAATTTTCTAAATATTCAATCATGTTATCTGGAAACAGAGATAATTTGACTTCCTCTCCTGCTATTTGGATATCCTTTATTTTTTCTCTTGCCTGACTGCCCTGGCCAGAACTTTCAATACTATGTTGAATAAGAGTGGTGAGAGAGGGCATCCTTGTTTGTGCTGATTTTCCAAGGGAATGCTTCCAGCTTTTACCAATTCAGTATGATGTTGGCTATGGGTTTGTCATAAATAGCACTCATTATTTTGATATATGTTCCATCAATACCTAGTTTATTGAGTGTTTTTAGCATGACGTTGTGTTGAAATTTATTGAAGGCCTTTTCTGCATCTATTGGGATAATCACATGTTTTTTTGTCATTGTTTCTGTTTATGTGATGGATTATGTTGATTGATTTGCTTATGTTGAACCAGCCTTGTATCCCAAGGGATGAACCCGACTTGATCATGGTGGATAAACCTTTTGATGTGCTGCTGGATTTGGTTTGCCAGCATTTTATTGAGGATTTTTGCACTGATGTTCATCAGGAATATTTGCATGAAATTTCATTTTTCTGTTGTATCTTTGTCAGTTCATGGTATTAGGATGATGCTGGCCTCATAAAATGAGTTAGGGAGGAGTCCCTGTTTTTCTATTGTTTGGAATCATTTCAGAAGAAATGGTACCAGCTCCTGTTTGTATTGTTGGTAGAATTCAGCTGTGAATCTGTCTGGTCCTGGGCTTTTTCCACTTGGTAGTCTATTAATTACCGCCTTAATTTCAGAACTTGTTATTGGTCTATTCAGGGATTCAGCTTCTTCCTGGTTTATTCTTGGGAGAGTGTATGTGTCCAGGAATTTATCCATTTCTTTTGGTATTTCCGTAGAGGTGTTTATAGTATTCTGTGTTGGTAGTTTGCATTTCTGTGCGATCAGTAGTGATATCCCCTTTAATGTTTTTATTGTGTCTATTTGATACTTTTCTCTTTTATTTTTTATTAGTCTGGCTAGCAATACATCTATTTTGTTAATTTTTTCCAAAAATCAGCTTTTTGATTCACTGATTTTCTTGAAGGATTTTTTTTATGTCTTTATCTTCTTCAGTTCTGCTCCAGTCTTAGTTCTTTCTTGTCTTCCACTAGGTTTTAAATTTGTTTACTCTTGCTTGAATAGTTCTTTTAATTGCAATGTTAGGGGGTTGATTTTACATCTTTCTTGCTTTCTCTTGTGGTCATTTAGTGCTCTAAATTTCCATTTGAACACTGCTTTAAATGTGTCTTAGAGATTCTGGTACATTGTATCTTTGTTCTTATCAGTTTCAAAGAACTTATTTATTTCTGCTTTAATTTCCTTATTTACCCGGTAGTCATTCAGGAGCAAGTTGTTCAGTTTCCATGTAGTTGTGTGGGTTTGAGTAAGTATCTTAATCCTGGGTTCGAATTTGATTACACTGTTGTCTGAGAGATGGTTCGTTATGGTTTTCATTCTCTTGCATTTGCGAGGAGTGTTTTACTTCCAATTTTGTAGTCCACTTTAGAATAAGTGTGATGTGGTGCTGAGAAGAATGTATATTCTGTTGATTGGGGTGAAGAGTTACATAGGTGTCTCTTAGGTCTGCTTGGTCCGGAGCTGAGTTCAAGTCCTGAATATATTTGTTAATTTTTTGTCTCATTGATCTGTCTAATATTGACAGTGTTGTGGTAAAATCTCCCACTATTATTGTGTTGGAGTATACTTAAACACAATATTATTGTGTTTGTAGGTCTCTAAGAACTTGTTTTATGAATCTGGGTGCTCCTGTATTGGGTGCATATATATTTATGATAGTTAGCTCTTCTTGTTGCATTGATCCATTTACCATTATTTGATGCCCTTCTTTGTCTCTTTTGATCTCTGTTGTCTTAAAGTCTGTTTTATCAGAGGCTAGGATTACTACCCCTGCTTTTCTTTGCTTTCCGTTTGCTTGGTAAATATTCCTTCATTCTGTTATTCTGAGCCTATGTTTTACTTTGCCTGTCAGATTGGTCTCCTAAATACAATACACCAAAGGGTCTTGACCCATTATTCAATTTGCCAGTCTGTGTCTTTTAATTGGGGCATTTAGCCCATTTACATGTAATTTTAATCTTGTTATGTGTGAATTTGATCCTGTCATTATGATGATAGCTGATTATCTTGCATATTAGTTGATGCTGTTTCTTTATAGTGTCATTAGTCTTTACATTTTGGGAGTTTTTGCAGTGGTATTTTGGTAGTTTTTGCAGTAGCTGATATCTTTTTTTTTTTCTTTTTTTTTTTTTGCCCCATATTTAGTACATCCTTCAGGAGCTCTTAAAGGCAGTCCTGGTGGTCAGAAAATCCCTCAACATTTGCTTTTCTGTAAAGGATTTTATTTCTCCCTCAATTATGAAACTTAGTTTGTCTGGATGTGAAATTCTGTTTGTTTGTTTGTTTATTTATTTATTTATTTATTTATTTATTTATTTATTTTAAGAATGGTGAATATTGGCCTGCACTCTCTTCTGGCTTGTAGGGTTTCTGCAGTGATATCTGCTGTTAGTTTGATAGGCTCTCTTTTGTAGGTAGCCTGCTCTTTCTCTCGGGATGCTGTTAACATTTTTTCCTTTGTTTCAACCTTGGTGAATCTGACTATTATTTGTCTTGGAGTTGCTCTTCTCAAGGAGTATCTTTGTGGTGTTTTCTTTATTTCCTGAATTTCAATGTTGGACTTCTTGCTAGGCTGGACAAGTTCTCCTGGATAATATCCTGAAGTGTGTTTTCTAACTGGTTCCATTCTCCTACTCACTTTCAAGTACACCAGTCAAACATAGGTTTGATGTTTTCACATAGTCCCGTATTTCTTGGAGGCTTTGTTAATTCCTTTTCATTCATTTTTTCTGTAATCTTGTCTTCACATTTTATTTTATTAAGTTGATCATCAATCTCTGATATACTTTCTTTCCCTTGATCGATTCAGCTATTGGTACTTGTGTATGCCTCAGGAAGTTCTCGTGCTTTGTTTTTCAGCTATATCATGTCATTTATATTCTTCTCTAAACTGGTTATTCTAGCTAGAAGTTCTTGTAACCTTTTATGAAGATTCTTAGCTTCCTTACATGGGGTTAGAACATGCTCCCTTAGCTCAGAGGAGTTTGTTATTTCACACCATCTGAAGCCTACTTCAGTCAGTTTGTCAAACTCATTCTCTGTTCGGTTTTGTTCTCTTGCTGGTGAGGAGTGATGATCCTTTGGAAGAGAAGAGGGATTCTGGTTTTTGGAATTTTCAGAATTTTTGAACTGTTTTATTTTTCATCTTCATGAATTTATCTAACTTTGATCTTTGATGTTGGTGACCCTCAGATGGGATTTTTGCATGGGTGTCTTTTTTGTTGATGTTGATGTTATTGCTTTCTGTTCGTTTGTTTTCTTTCTAACAGTCAGGCCGCTCTGCTGCAGGTCAGCTGGAGTTTATTGAAGGTCCACTCCAGACCCTGTTTTCCTGGCTATCACCAGCAGAAGCTGCAGAACAGCAAAGATTGCTGTCTTCTCCTTCCTCTGGAAGCTTCTTCCCAGAGGGGTAGCCACCTGATGTCAACCAGAGCTCTCCTATATGAGGTGTCCATTGAACCCAGCTGGGAGGTGTCTCTCAGTCAGGAAGCACCTGGGTTAGGGACCCACTTGAGCAGGCAGTCTGTCCCTTAGTAGAGCACAAGTTCTGTGCTGGGAGATCTTCTGCTCTCTTTCAAGCCATAGGTAGGCACATTTAAGTTTGCTGAAGCTGCACCCATAGCCATCCCTTACTCCAGGTGCTGTGTCCCAGGGAGATGGGAATTTTATCTATAAGCCCCTAACTGGTGCTGCTGCCTTTCTTTCAGAGATGCCCTGCCCAGAGAAGAGGAGTATAGAGAGCCAGTCTGGCTACAGCAGCTTTGCTGAGCTGTGGTGGGTTCCACCCGGTTTGAACTTCTCGGAGGCTTATTTACACTATGAGGGGAATACTGCCTACTGAAGCCTCAGTGATGCCAGACACCCCTCCCTGCACCACATTCAAGTGTCCCAGGTCAACTTCAGACTGCTGTGCTAGCAGTGAGAATTTCAAGCCATTGGATCTTAGCTTACTGGGCTCCGAGAGGGTGAGATCAGCTGAGCAAGACAACTTGGCTCCCTGACCTCAGCCCCCTTTTTAGGGGAGAGAACAGTTCTGTCTCACTGCGGTTCCAGGCAGAACTGGGGCATGGAAGAAACAAAAACAAAAACAAAAACAAAAAAAACTCCTGCTGCTAGCTCAGTGTCTGCCCAAATGGCTGCCCAGTTTGTTTGTTTGTTTGTTTGTTTATTTATTTATTTATTTTACTTTAAGTTCTAGGGTACATGTGCACAACATGCAGGTTTGATACATGGGTATATATGTGCCACATTGGCTTGCTGCACCCATCAATTCATCCTTTACATTAGGTATTTCTCCTAATGCTATCCCTCCCCAAGCCCCTCAGTGCCTGACAGGCCTCCATGTGTGACGTTCCCCACCCTGTGCCCAAATGATCTCATTGTTCAGTTTCCACCTATGAATGAGAACATGTGGTGTTTGGTGTTCTGTTCTTGTGACAGTTTACTGAGGATGATGGTTTCCAGCTTCATCTACGTCCCTGCAAAGGACATGATCTCATCCTTTTTTATGGCTGCATAGTATTCCATGGTGTATAAGTCCCACATTTTCTTAATCCGTCTATCATTGATGGACATTTGGGTTGGTTCCAAGTCTTTGCTATTGTGAATTCTGCTGCAATAAACATATGTGTTCATGTGTCTTTATAGGAGCATGATTTATAATCCTTTGGGTATATACCTAGTAATGGGATTGCTGGGTCAAATGGTAAATCTAGTTCTTGATCTTTGAGGAATCATCACACTGTCTTCCACAATGGTTGAAATAATTTACGCTCCCACCAACAGTGTAAAATGTTACTATTACTCCACATCCTCTCCAGCATCTGTTGTTCACTGACGTTTTAATGACTGCCATTCTAACTGGTGTGAATGGTATCTCATTGTGGTTTTGATTTGTGTTTCTCTAATGACCAGTGAAGATGAGCATTTTTTCATGTGCCTGTTGCTATATAGATGTATTCTTTTGAGAAGTGTCTGTTCATATCCTTTGCCCACTTTTTGTTGGGGTTGTTTGCTTTTTCTTGTAAATTTGACTTTGAGTTGTTTGTAGATTCTGGATATTAACCCTTTGTCAGATGGGTAGATTGCAACAATTTTCTCCCATTCTGTAGGTTGCCTGTTCTCTGTGGTGGTAGTTTCTTTTGCCATGCAGAAGCTCTTTAGTTTAATTAGATCCCATTTGTCTATTTTGGGTTTTGTTGCCATTGCTTTTGGTATTTTAGTCGTGAAGTCCTTGCCCATGCCTTTGTCCTCAATGGCATTGTCTAGGATTCTTCTAGGATTTTTATGGTTTTAGGTTAACATTTAAGTCTTTAATCCATTTTGAATTAATTTTTGTGTAAGGTGTAAGGAAGGGATCCAGTTTCAGCTTTCTACATATGGCTAGCCAGTTTTCCTACCACTGTTTGTTAAATAGGGAATCTTTTTCCCATTTCTTGTTTTTGTCAGGTTTGTCAAACATTAGATGGTTGTAGATGTGTGTGTTATTTCTGAGGCCTCTGTTCTGTTCCATTGGTCTATATATCTGTTTTGTACCAGTACCATGCCATTTTGGTTACTGTAGGATTGTAGTATAGTTTGAAGTCAGGTAGTGTGATGCCTCCACCTTCATTCTTTTTGCTTAGGATTGTCTTGGCAATGCAGGCTCTTTTTTGGTTTCATATGTACTTTAAAGCAGTTTTTTTGTTTCCAATTCTGTGAAGAAAGTCATTGGCAGCTTGATGGGGATGGCATTGAATCTATAAATTACTTTCGGCAATATGGCCATTTTCATGATATTTATTCTTCCTATCCATGAGCATGGAATATTCTTCCATTTGTCTTTGTCCTCTTTTATTTCATTGAGCAGTGGTTTGTAGTTCTCCTTGAACAGGTCCTTCACATCCCTTTTAAGTTGTATTCCTAGGTATTTTATTCTTTTTGTGGCAATTGTGAATGGGAGTTCACGCATGATTTGGCTCTCTGTTTGTCTGTGAATGGTGTATGTAATTGATTTTGTATCCTGAGACTTTGCTGAAATTGCTTATCAGCTTAAGGAGACTTGGCTTTGAGATAATGGGGTTTTCTAAATATATGATCATGTCATCTCCAAACAGGTACAATTTGACTTCCTCATTTCCTAATTGAATATCCTTTATTTCTCTCTCTTGCCTGATTGCCCTGGCCAGAACTTCCAACACTATATTGAATAGGAGTGGTGAGAGAGGGCATCCTTGTTTGTGCTGGTTTTCAAAGGAATGCTTCCAGTTTTTGCCCATTCAGTATGATATTGATTGTGGGTTTGTAAAAAAATAGCTCTTATTATCTTGAGATATGTTTCATCAATACCTCGTTATTATTTTGAGATATGTTTCATCAATATCTAGCTTATTGAGAATTTTTAGCTTGAAGGCTGTTGAATTTTGTCAAAGGCCTTTTATGCATCTATTGAGATAATCATGTGCTTTTGACATCGGTTCTGTTTATGTGATGGATGACGTTCAATGTATATGTTGAACCAGCCTTACATCCCAGGGATGAAGCCAACTAGATTGTGGTGGATAAGCTTTTTGATGTGCTGCTGGATTCAGTTTGCCAGTATTTTACTGAGGATATTCACATTAAAGTTCATCAGGGATATTGGTCTAAAATTCTCTTTTTTGTTGTTGTGCCTCTGCCAGGCTTTGCTATCAGGAAGTTCTTGGCCTCATAAAATAAGATAGGGAGAATTCCCTCTTTTTCTATTGATTGGAATAGTTTCAGAAGGAATTGTACCAGCTTCTCTTTGTACCTCTGGTAGAATTCAGCTGTGAATCTGTCTGGTCCTGGACTTTTTTTGGTTGGTAGGCTATTAATTGTTGCCTCAATTTCAGAGCCTGTTATTGGTCTATTCAGATTCCATTTCTTCCTGGTTTAGTCTTGGGAGGGTGTATGTGTCCAGGAATTTATCTATTTCTTCTAGATTTTCTAACTTATTTGTGTGGAGGTGTTTACAGTATTCTCTGATGGTAGTTTGTATTTCTGTGGGATCAGTGGTGACGTCCTTTTTATCTTTTTTTATTGCATCTATTTGATTCTTCTCTCTTTTTTTCTTTATTAGTCTTGCTATCAGTCTATCAATTTTGTTGATCTTTTCAAAAAACCAGTTCCTGGATTCATTCATTTTTTGAAGGATTTTTTGTGTCTTTATCTCTTTCAATTCTGCTTGGATCTTAGTTATTTCTTGCCTTCTGCTAGCTTTTGAATTTGTTCTTGCTTCTCTAGTTCTTTTAATTCTGATGTTAGGGTGTCGATTTTAGATCTTTCCTGCTTTCCCTTGTGGGCATTTAGTGCTATAAATTTCCCTCTACACACCATTTTAAATGTTTCCCACAGATTCTGGTACATTGTGTCTTTGTTCTCACTAGTTTCAAATAACATCCTTATTTCTGCCTTCATTTCATTATTTACCCAGTAGTCATTCAGGAGCAAGTTGTTCAATTCCCAAATAGTTGTGCAGTTTCAAGTGAGTTTCTTAATCCTGAGTTCTAATTTGATTGCAATGTGGTATGAGAAACAGTTTATTGTGATTTCTGTTGTTCTGCATTTGCTGAGGAGTGCTGTACTTCCAATTATGTGGTGAATTTTAGAATAAGTATGATGTGGTGCTGAGAAGAATAGACATTTTGTTGATTTGGAGTGTAGAGTTCTGTAGATGTCTATTAGGTCTGGTTTTTGCAGAGCTGAGTTCGGTTCCTGGATATCCTTGTTAACCTCCTGTTTCATTGATCTGTCTAATATTGACAGTGGGGTGTTAAAGTCTCCCATTAACATTGTGTGGGAGTCTAAGTCTCTTTGTAGGTCTCTAAGGACTTGCTTTACGAATCTGGGTGCTCTTGTATTGGGTGTATATATATTTACGATAGTTAGCTCTTCTTGTTGAATTGATCCCTTTACCATTATATAATGGCCTTCTTTGTCTCTTTTGATCTTTGTTGGTTTCAAGTCTGTTTTATCATAGACTAGGATTGCAACCCCTGCTTTTTTCTTCTTCTTCTTTACGTTTTTTTTTTTTTTTTTTTTTTGCTTTCTATTTGCTTGGTAGATCTTCCTCCATCTTTTTATTTTGAGTCTATTTGAGTCTTTGCACGTGAGATGGGTCTCCTGGATCCACTCCAGACGCTGTGTGCCTGAGTATCACTAGGAGAGGCTGCAGAACAGCAAATAATTCTGCCTGATTCTTCCTCTGGAAGCTTTGTTTCAGAGGGGCACAAGCCAGATGCCAGTTGGAGCTCTTCTGTATAAAGTGTCTGTCGACCCATCCTGGGAGGTGTCTCCCAGTCAGGAGGCAAGGGGGTCAGGGACCCACTTGAGAAGGCAGTCTCTTCCTTAGCATAGCTCAAATGCTGTGCCTGGAGATCCACTGCTCTCCTCAGAGCAGTTTAATTCTGCTGAAGCTATGCCCAAAGCTGTCCCTTTCCCTAGGTGCTCTGTTTCAGAGAGATGGATGTTTTTTTCTATAAGTCCCTGACTGGTGCTGCTGCCTTTCTTTCAGAGTTGCCCTGCCAGTGAGGAACAATCTAGAGAGGCAGTCTGGCCACAGATGCTTTGCTGCACTCTGGTGGGTTCTGATGAAATTTCGGGCTGCTTTTTTTTAATCTGTGAGGGGAAAACCTCCTACTGGAGCCTCAGTAATGGCAGACAACCCTCCCCCTACCAAGCTTGAGTGTCTCAGGTGGACTTCAGAGTAGTGTGCTGCCAGGGAGAATTTCAAGACATTGGATCTTAGCTTGCTGGGCTCCATGAGGGTGGAATCTGCTGAACAAGACCACTTGGCTTCCTGGCTTCAGCCCCCATTCCAGGGGAATGAAAGGTTCTGTCTCACTGGATTATGAAAAAAAAAAAAAAAAACTCCTGCAGCTAGCTCAGTGTTGGCCCAAATGATCGCCCAGTTTCGTGCTTGAAAACAAGGGCCTTGGTGGTATAGGCACCTTAGGGAATCTCCCGGTCTACAGGTTGTAAAAACTGTGGGAAAAACATAGTATCTGGGCTATGTCACAGTCCCTCATGGTTTCCATTTGCTAGGGGAGGAAGGTACCTGTCGCCGTGCACTTCCCAGGTGAGTCAGTGCCCCATCCTACTTCTGCTCACCCTCCATGGGACACATCCACTCTCTAACCAGTTCCAATGAGATGAACTGAGTACCTCAGTTGGAAATGCAGAAATCACCTGCCTTCTGATTTGTCTCACTAGAAGCTGCAGAATAGAGCTGTTCATATGTGGCCATCCTGCCAGATCCTCCCTAATTTATATGTTAGTATATTTTCACACACACTCACACACATACACACATACATGGCAGCACTAAATTATATTCTCTAAATGTACCTACAGATACTTAATCATTTGCACAGCCACTATCATTTTATGCTTGATGGCTTAGACAAGTAACTCTCACTTGTGGGTGGTTTTGGCCACCAGGGGTCATTCAGCACTGTCTGGAGACATTTTCCACAGTTAAAACTGGGTAGGAGGTGCCACCATCATCTAGTGAGTTGAAACTGGGAATGCTGCAAAATACCATACAGTTTAGAGGCGGCATCTCTACAACAAAGAATCATATGGTTCACAAATCATTATCATTGTGCTGAGATGCGGCAATGCTGAGCTTCAGACTATAGCAATTTTTTGCAAATTTGCTAAATTTCAAAAAATGAAGGAATAAAAAAAGATAGCTCTCAACCTGTGGGTATTGTGAATGCCTAACTTAGACTTAGGAAGCGTACAGGTGCCCTTGGGCTTGTCTTCTTTGTCTGCTGCTAGTTTATAATTGTTCACTGCCCATCAGGACCTTGTGGGTTATAGATTTAGATAGAGGAAGGATTTGATCATACAGGTGGGTCAGTCATAACCAATATGTGAGTCACAGTCTCACTCACATTGAGTTTGAGAATTTAAGGCATGGGCTGGAATTCCTCATGGAACTGACATTATAAACCTGGGAAGAAATCTACCCACTGAATTCCACTTGAGCTGTCTGTTTCAGCAACTGTTCAATACTTTGAGGTTACATACTATCTCATTTAATCCCAACCTGGGATAGTGTGTAATACCAAATTCTTTACAGCTACATGGGATTAAATTAGGTAGTATGTGAAATTCCAAATAGTAAATTGGTAAAGTGATGCCTAATGAATTTGAATGAGCTGCTGCCAGCCTACTTAGTACTAACAGTGAGCTAATAGCACCTTGTGTCCCTGTACCCAGAAGTCTTTCTTGCAGGACTGTAGCGAACATGTCAGCATGTTGTCTACGTTGACTGGACATCTTCTGTTCTCTTCAGCCTTTGCCTGTGTATGCTCCTGTCCTGCTCTGCACAATTTAATGAAGCAGGTGGGACACACTAGTTTACCCTTTTAGTAGTCTGCATAGATTGACTTGCTTCCCTCAGTTCACAGAGATAGCTTCCCAGGATACAGATTTATCTGAATTACAAGTTGATGGCTTCATTGTTCACAATAGCAAAGACATGGAATCAACCTAAATGCCCATCAGCGGCAGACTGGATAAAGAAAATGTGGTTCATATGTACCATGGAATAGTATGTAGTCATAATAAAAGAATGAGATTATGTCCTTTGAAGGAATATGGATGGAACTCGAGGCTATTATCCTTAGCAAATTAATGCAGAAACAGTAAACCACATACTTCATATTCTCTCTTATAAGTTGGAGCTAGAAATGAGAACTTACGAACACAAAGAAGGAAACAATAGAAAAAGGAGCATATTGGAGGGTGGGCAGTGGTAGGAGGTAGAAGATTAGGAAAAATATTTATTGGGAATGAGGCCTTGTATCTGGGTGATGAAATAATCAGTACAACTAATGCCTGTGACATAAGTTTACCTGTATGGCAAACTTGCACACCTACCCCTGAAGCCAAAATAAAAGTTATAAAAAAGGTGATGGTCTCACCTATTCTCTTGGGGAAGGCTCCAAAAGTAACAGCTACCTCTAGTTAAAAATCTTCTGGTTAAAAAAAGAAGCAACCAAACACGACATCACTCTTTGTTTTTCTTGTCTGTCTCTTAATTATTCAGAAATGGGATTGCTGCATGGCAGACATCCGAATGTTGTCTACAGTACAATTCAGAGTTAGTAGCAAACACCTAAATCAGCCATTTGATGAGATGCTATTTGTCACTTTCAAAGTTACAATCCAGATTTTCAGTGCATTTTCATCCAACTCTGTTGAACTTTTCCCAGGATGTCATGTACTATGGAATTTCCCCCCAGTAGGTATTATTGTTCTGTGATAGATCCAGTTCCAATATGTTTTATTAAAAAGAAAAAGCCATGTGATGTATTTTGTTCAATTGATTACTTAAATGAAATGGATAACTATTTTCTGATGCAAATGCTCTGAGTAACCCACAAATTCCTCAGAAACACATTTGCATACTTTGAGATGAAGAACACTCTAAATGCACCCTCCTTGTGACACCTAGTGAAACGTTTTCTGTCCCTAGAGGATCATTTGACATACTGTCCATTGCTGCACAACATTCTTTTATTGTCACAGGAGCAGCGATTTCCCTAGGGATAGTCATATTATCCTTGTAGGGACCAATTGAGGTGGTGACCCTTTAAAAGTTGACTCCAGTCTTAATGGGAAAGTAACTCAAATGTAGCCTTAGATTTTTAAATGGGATACAGGGTGAAGAGGATACCCTCTCAGGCATGCAGCAGCTTACTGCAAAGTCAGGATAATTGCATCAACACTTTTAGTTATGAAAGAAGTCTTCAAGAGACCAGCACTGAAGCATGTACTTGAAATGCACCATCTTGTACAGTTTTTTTTTTTTTTACAAGAAACTGAGATTCAGAACAGTGAAGTATGTAGCCTAAATATATATGTGCACTTGAGTAGAACAAGGAAAATTCGTGTCCAAAGTCTACACTCTTTTCATTTGATGATTTTCCCCTTGTGGCCTGATAAATATCCACATCACAATGACAGGATGGCCTGGATGCATGCTTCTATTTTGCTCCTACTGGAAAACTTTTAGATCTGCATGCATATCCCCTTAGGAAAGAGTGAAAATTGCCTTAAACATTTGAGAAAAAGTTCTTTTGATAACCCGTCTGGTAAACAATAGTGAAATTGGTAGGTGTCATTATTATCACTTGCATAACCTGTACAATTCTTGAACGTCGGTTTGTTCATTCAACATAGATGTGATGAGTGTTTTCTAAATGTCAGGCATTGTTTCTGGTGATAGGATATACAGCCAGGATTAAGAAAAGTGATGGACACTAGGCATGGTGACTGACGCGTGTTATCCCAACACTTTGAAAGTTTGATTGAGGAGGATCTCTTTAGGCCAGCCTGGATAACATAGAGACACCTATGTCTACAAAAATTCCAATGAATTGCCCGGACATACTGGTGCATGCTTGTAGTCCCAGCTACTCGGGAGGCTGAGGTGGGAGGTTGGCTTTAGCCCAGGAGTTGGAGGCTGCAGTGAGCTGTGATAGCACCACTGCCCTGCAGCTTTGGCAATATGGCAAGACACCATCTGTAAAAAAAAATAATAATAATAAAGACAAGTTATGTTTTTGCTATTGTCGACTATGTGGAGATGGCACTATACACATTCATATACAAATGAATAGGAATTTCATAGAGAGATGTTGTGGATTTCATGGAAGAGCCAGCCAGTGTTCTAGGTGATCATTGTGTGGCTTCATTATTCTTGTCTGCTTTCTCCCTCCTTTAGGTTGCATTGGAGTTTTCGAAAGACTTATCTTTCTGCAGGCTCGCCTCTGAGCTTTGTCTCCTTGGAGCCACCTCACTTAGACAGCTTCGGATGTGGATGCAGATTTGAACCATGTTGCGTCCCCAGGGACTGCTATGGCTCCCTTTGTTGTTCACCTCTGTCTGTGTCATGTTAAACTCCAATGTTCTTCTGTGGATAACTGCTCTTGCCATCAAGTTCACCCTCATTGACAGCCAAGCACAGTATCCAGTTGTCAACACAAATTATGGTAAAATCCAGGGCCTAAGAACACCATTACCCAGTGAGATCTTGGGTCCAGTGGAGCAGTACTTAGGGGTCCCCTATGCCTCACCCCCAACTGGAGAGAGGCGGTTTCAGCCACCAGAATCCCCATCCTCCTGGACTGGCATCCGAAATGCTACTCAGTTTTCTGCTGTGTGCCCCCAGCACCTGGATGAAAGATTCTTATTGCATGACATGCTGCCCATCTGGTTTACCACCAGTTTGGATACTTTGATGACCTATGTTCAAGATCAAAATGAAGACTGCCTTTACTTAAACATCTATGTGCCCATGGAAGATGGTGAGTACCTCACTGGAACAGAAAACAATACTTCTTGTGCAGTGTGTGGAGAGATTTACCAGGAGGGTTTTATAATGTCTCTTGCATGATCTTTTCTATAACCTGTTTATTTTATTTTAATTTATTTTTCATATTCCAAATGCAATTCTTGCAGCAGCTTACCACATGTTCCACTTGTATATATTGGGACATCTACTGGATGGACAAAACTATAAATAATGACTTTATTTTCATATATTACCTAATTAATGTTTTATAATTTTATTTGCAGATGAAAATTAACATGAGCATATAGTGTTGCATGTTATACCTGAATCATCTGTAAAGGAATGAATCCATAGAAAAAATAATAGAATTAAGTACACTACCATGCTCCAGTTTACAAACTGAAAGATAGAGAAAATGGTTCTTTCTGCCATAATGACTTGAGATATTAGCACCTTTTTTGAGTTTTGAAAGAAAAACTTTATTTTTTTTAATATACAAGCATGAGGTAGTTCATACAATGATAGGATTTCATTGTTTAGAATCCATTTTCTTAATGTAAATTTGGACTTTGTTTTCTTCCAAGATCCACTACGATCAAATGACAAAATATAGTCAGATGATTCTAGCTACATTAGACGTGATGTGTTTATATTTTTAAAAATTTCCTCTTTTTTCTATAAAACACCAATGAAAGTCTGTAAACACAAAAACATTTAATATATTAACCTAATGTTAGTAAAACATGAATAGTTTTATGTCTGTATAGATTTCAAATTCAGATTTCCTCGAAGAATAACCAAAGTTATGCCACAGTGGTATCATATTTCCCGGTTAGCATTTCCATATGCCATTTTTAGATGAGGAGAAAGGACAACAGAGAACAAAATATACCTGGAAAGAAAGGAAATAATTTGTGAGAATAATAGACATATCTAATGTAGAAACTAGAGCTTGTCTTTTGCATAAAGCTCTTCGTGGAGAATGTGATAAATTTCTTTTATGGAGAATTTTTTTCTTCTCATTGTTCTTTACACTTTAATACCTGGAAAATATTTTTCAGTAAAATTTGGCTGAAAGTATTAAATAAACAATTACATTAATTCATTGATCTCCAAAATTATATTGCATCTGTCAGATTACTCTCTCTCCAGGTAATTGCTAGTTAGTCTAAGTAGAGCGTCATTAAAAACTAGACCAGGGTTGTGTGCCATTGAGATTACAAATTGCCATTGAGATTACAAGGAACAGTTCAGAGTAAAAAAGTAAAGGACCCTGCTTCATCATATTAGTGGTTTCTAGAATATTGCCCTTGTCATTAGGGTGACAGATCTCCCAATCATCTCATAAAATCCAGGTCTGAATGTGACTGAAGGAGTCAAACTGACGTTTGGATGCTGTACTTCCATGGGGTGTTCTGTGCTGTCTCTGTGCCTAATAGTCCCCTTTGTGCATGTGTGTGATGAGAAAGAGCTGTCAAAATCTATTAGGGTTCTCATTTGAGCAGCCACCTGGGTTGAGATCTTTCTCATAAAGGAACTATTCAAACCAAAAGTAAAAAGAATGGAATACAAAAATTCAGAGAAAAACCCCAAACAGGACAAAGTATTACAATTGCTTTTATAATACATTGGATATGCTAGAGTCTAGGACCTGGTGATTTTATAGAGCTAGCCTTGGCAACAATGAATGCACTTCAAATAGGATGCCTCCTCATATAGGATGTTGGATGGAATGAGACCACCCATGAAAAAAATCAATAGCTTCCATGACAGCAGAGCCCTGTAGGTACAATTGTGTGGATGGAGACCACAAACAGGGTGGACGTTTCATTGTGATTCAGTATTGAATTGTAATTTGGGGAGTATAACTCTGTGAAAAATGCTATTCAGTGAAAAAGTAATCCAAATTTCATAATAAACCCAGTTCCACTTCTATTCTTTAGTCTTTTTGAAGCAATATGCGCATACGATCTTGAAAAGGGAATCAGAAATTTAATAGTGACTGAAAAGGTAGAATAAATCTCCCCACAATGTGTAAACTTTAAAATTTTGCTTGTGAGAGTTCAAAGCTACAGCCCTGCATGTTTACACAAACCACAAGTCACAGACTATCGAGTTAGGAGGGTTTTTTGTTTGTTTCCTCGGTTGTTTTTGTATCTCTATCAACTCGATAGGCAATACAAAGACTTAGATATTTAATTATTGTTCATTCACTAAGTGAATGAACTCTGCATTCATAACAACCTACTGAAATGTTGGCATCACGCTGATTCTCTCCAAAGGCCTTCTCTTAGGCAGTATCTGAATTCATATCAGTGCTTTTGTTTAGCAGGATAGAAATATTATTATCTGGAATTCAGAATTCTACTCTGACCACTTAGAATCTCTACTTTTTTTGTTTAGCTTTGTCTTTCTGCCTTGATCATATTTGCTAAAACTTTCACATTCTTAATTTCATAAAATGTGTACATTTATTAAAAATGCAAAAACAGACTTTATTTCAGTTAAGTACTTATTCTTAAATTTAAGAAATAACTTGGATGAGAAGTGTTGGACATTTCTTTGTAGTACAATAGTTTCATGAAACATAAATTGTTTTTCGGTAGAAAGCAGTATTTTTTATAATTCCCTTCAAATAAATCACATCTTGCTGAAGTTGAGTCTTTTCGTTCAAATTGTCATCATGATCTACTAAGCTTAGTCTTGAGTCTTTATACCTAATTACAAATTTCTATATTTGTAATTAGCTATGCCATACAAATTTATTTAGATTTTATATATTATAAATTTCTTTATTGTCTAGATGACAGGTTAATTAACTTAAATTGCATATTTAACATTTTGATAGGTGCTCAAGTAAGGTCAAAATCAAAGCCAGTCAGAAGCTCTAGTAGGACACATGGGATATTGCTCACAAGGAAGAGTTGGAGACCGCATCCGCATGGTGTGTGTGTATGTGTGTGTGTGTTTGAGAGTTTGTGTCTACATGTGTCAGAGAGAAAGAGCCAGAGGAAAAGAGGGGGTAACTGAGTGACTATTTTGAAGAAGCAGTGCAGAATATGGCTTGGTAGCTTGATTAAACAAAACTGATGAAAGTCAAGCTGAGAAGTTCCAATCTCACATACTAAGTTCATGTCAGTTCATACATGAGAGCATGGCACTACAATTTGAGACTTCTCTTGGTCACCAAGGAGACTGAACACAGAAAGACAAGCTATGGAAACGCTTCAGGTTTTTAATGAGAACCCTTGGTATTGAAGTGAGGTTAAAAAGTAACGGAAAAATAAAAGACACATTTTGAAGTAGTTGCTCACACAAGATATTGTATTAAATATAAAGCTTGGAAGAGAAAAAGCCGTAAGTTGAGTCCAGGGTGTCTTGGGGAATGGACAGAGCCAAGGAACCACTTCCGGAGTGATTTACACCTGTGCTTTCTCTCTGTATCCTTGGACATACATCTTAAGGTCTTATTCTTGAATGATTTCAGGGCAAAAAGCCCTTCCATTCTTCATAAAGGTGTGTCCGGAATTGGTGGGTTCTTGGTCTCACTGACTTCACGAATGAAGCTGCCGACCCTCGCGGTGAGTGTTACAACTCTTAAAGATGGTGTGTCCAGAGTTTGTTCCTTCAGATACTCAGATGTGTCTGGAATTTCTTCCTTCTGGTGGGTTCGTGGTCTTGCTGACTTCAGGAATGAAGCTGCAGACCTTCGTGGTGAGTGTTACAGCTCTTAGAGGCAGCGCGTCTGGAGTTGTTGGTTCCTTCCGGAGTAGTTCATCCCTCCCGGTGGGTTCCTGGTCTCACTGGCTTCAGCAGTGAAGCTGCAGACCTTCCCAGTGAGTGTCACAACTCTTAAAGGCAGCGCGTCTGCAGTTCTTCATTCCTTCCTGTGAGTTCGTGGTCTCGCTGACCTCGGGAGTGAAGCTGCAGACCTTTGTGAAGGTGAGTGTTACATCTCATAAAGCTGCGGGACCCACAAAAAGTGAGCAGCAGCAAGATTTATTGCAAACAGCAAAACGACCTTCCACCGTGTGGAAAAGGACACCAGCAGATTGGCGCTGTGTGCTTTGGGCAGCCTGCTTCCATTCCCTTATCTGGCCCCACCCACATTCTGCTGATTGGTCCATTTTACAGAGAGCTGATTGGTCCATTTTGACAGAGTGGTGCATGTACAATCCCTGAGCTAGACACAGAGTGCTGATTGGTGCATTTACAATCCTCTAGCTAGGCATAAAAGTTCTCCAAGTCCCCACCAGATTAGCTAGATATAGAGTGCCGATTGCTGCACATACAATCCTCCAGCTAGACGTAAAAGTTCTCCAATTCCCAGTCAGCCTGGTGTCTCAGCCTGTGATCCCAGCACTTTGGGAAGCGAGGTGGGCGGATCACGAGGTCAGGAGAGGAGACCATCCTGGCCAACACATTGAAACCCCGTTTCTACTAAAAATACAAAAAAATTAGCCGGGTATGGTGGCACGCGCCTGTAGTCCCAGCTACTCGGGAGGCTGAGGCAGGAGAATGGTGTTAACCTAGGAGGCTGAGTTTGCAGTAAGCCGAGATCTCGCCACAGCACTCCAGCTTGGGTGATAGAGAGCAAGGCTCAATCTTAAGAAAAAAAAAAAAAAAAAGTTCTGCAATTCCCCAGCCGACTCAGGAGCCCAGCTGGCTTTACCTAGTGGATCCCGCGCTGGGGCCTGCCAGTCCCGTGCCCCGCGCCTGCACTCCTCAGCCCTTGGGCTGTCAATGGGAGTGGGCCCTGCAGAGCAGGGGGCGGTGCCCGTTGGGGAGGCTGGGGCTGCGCAGGAGCCCACCGTTGGGGGGGCTAGGGCATGGCGGGCTGCAGATCCTGAGCCCTGTCCCACAGGGAGGTGGCTGAGGCCTAGGGATAATTGGAGCTCCAAGCGGGCGGGCCGGCAGTGCTGGGGGACCCAGCGCAACCTCCGCTGCTCCTGGCCCGAGTGCTAAGCCCCTTTCTGCCCTGGCCTGCCACTCCGAGTGCTGCCCGCGGAGTGGGGGCCCGCCGAGCCCGGGCCCACCCAGAACTCGCGCTGGCCCGCAAGCGCCGCGCACAGCCCAGTTCCTGCCCACACCTCTTGACCTCTCCTTCCACGCCTCACCGCAAGCAGAGTGAGCGGGCTCCCGCCTGGGCCAGTCCAGAGAGGGGCTTTCATAGTGTGGTGTGGGCTGAAGGGCTCCTCAAGCGCAGCTGGAATGGACGCCGAGGCCTAGGAGGTGCGAGGGAGGGCTGCTAGCACGTTGTCACCTCTCAATGGGACTGAAAACCCTGGGAAATATAAAGAAAAAATATAAATGGAAGTCATTATTGCCCAGGTGCGGTGGCTCATACCTCTAATCTTTAGTAGGCGGAGGTGAGTGGATCACTTAAGGTCAGGAGTTTCTGATCAGCCTGGCCTCAGGAGGCTGAGACAGCGGAATTGCTTGAACCTGAGAGGCAGAGGGAGGTTGCAGTGACCCAAGATTACACCACTGCACTCCAGCCTTCGTGACATAGTGAGACACTGTCTCAAAAAAAGAAAACAGAAAAGAAGGAAAGTCACTATCATTGTCTTTTCATTGTAGGATAACAGCAAATGCCATTGTGATTTCTAGAGAAGTGAAATTCTGTTTTTGTTTGTTTGTTTGTTTTGCTAGCAATACAATCGAAAAAGGAAGCTATTTAAAAAAGAGCAGATAATTGAATGCAAGGTGTCCCTATCATCTTTTTTCCCCAAGATGAAACCTGCGACTTTGAATTCTATTACTTAAGTAAACATGCCACGATTAGTGATTGAAGACCTATTCGGTGAAGCTTGGAGCTTTATGATGAAATATAAACAGACGTGACATGGACATTGACCTGTAGAAATTTGGACAGTTAGTAAACGTAGAGGTAGATGATAAGCCACAGCATCCTAGTGAAGGAACAAAGAAAGTTCTGTGACAGCTCAGGGACAAGTTATGTTTTGAGGAAATCTTGATGGAATCTATAAATGGTTGAGCTGTGTCCTGAAGAATATTTGGGCTATAGAAGGGATTCATCTATTAAGCATCTGTTGACTGGAACTTTTGAACACACAAATCTATGTTAAGCAGCTTGGCGCCAATCGTTGCTGTTGTTACTACTTGGGTGTTAAGTGTGGCATGGTAACAGAAGCTCTGCTTTACCACGTGCTCTTTCTGTCAGTGCCATATAATAAAAGTTATTTTATTTTTATTCTTATTTTTTTTTATTTAGAGACAGGGTCTTGCTCTGTCACCCAGGCTGAAGTGCAGTGGTGCAATCGTAGCTCACTGCAGCCTCGACTTTCTGGGTTCAAAGAATTCTTTCATCTCAGATTTCTGAGTAGCTGGGACTACAGGTGCACTCCACCACACCTGGCTAATATTTTGATTTTTTATTTTGTATAAATAAAAAATTTATACAAATTGTTGCTCTGGCTGGTCTTGGGCTCAAGTGCTCTCCCACCTCGGCCTGCCAAAATGCTGGAACTACTGGCATAAGCCATTGGACTGGGACCATAAATGTTTTTATGTTATCCATAGCTGCTCACCATGGCACTTTGTGGGGTAGACAAGCTACCTAAGATGAAAGGGTGGCAGATGAACGACAGGGAAAGAAGCTAGAAAGTCAACTGGCTTTGCTAGTGTTTTTACAAAAAAATGCATTCGCTTCCCTTGTAGACAGCACTGGATGTAATTCAAGATATAATTTATAGCACGGTTTTCATCCTTGAATATCTCCCATCTTTTCAGGAAGTCGTACAAACTTTTCTGGCATTCTGCGTTAGTGAAAGGGTGTTGGACTATGTCCAGCTGGTAGAAAATAACCTAGCCTCAATCTGGCATTGAGGGAAAAATTGAAATTTATTAGAAGGGTGGTGAGATATCCAAATTTACTGCAAAAGTCGAGAAATCAGATTGGGAGAAGGGCAGATATGCAGCTAGACTTTAGAGGCACCTGGAAGAAATGAGTTAAAGGACATCACCAATCTTATGTCTGGTTCTTTGCTTCTTTCTGGAAATAGACTTGCTTTACGTGGTGAGTGAGAGGGTTCTCTGCAGTTTTCACTACATGCATTTTGTTTTTCTCAGTACCACCAGTGAAGGACAAAGTTCCATAATTCCATACTAAAAATCCCTGGGCAGAGTTTTAATTGGCTCAGTTGACGCAATAGTAAGAAGTGATAAAACTGGGCTGCTCCTGGGTATAACAGTTGGCAGGGGGAGAAGGACAGTTCTTACCACAAGGTGTCTGGAATGAGCAGGCACTGCTTCACTTCACTGTCCAAAATATTTTTGAGGAGCAGTTATATGCCAGGCAAGCTTTAGAGGCTGAGATTTCAAGTTTACAAGCATTTCTAATTTTGAGTGATAGGTACTTGTAGGCAGAAGAATCATGGTCCTTGAGAGATGTGCATGGCCTTCCTCCTCCCTTCACCTGTCATTGCTGGAACCTCGGAATAGGTTGCTAGGCATGGCACCTGACTTCTTCAATACTCTGCCTTAAGTATTGACTTCAAATGGCAAAGGGGAATTAAGGTTGTAGACGGAATTATGTTTGCTAACCAGCAGACCTTCCAATAGAGAGAATTATCCTCAGTTACATAACTGAGCACGGTATATTAACAGAAGCCCTCCAATGTGGATGCAGAAGGCTCAAGAGGAGATCAGAGTTGGAGTAAAGCAGCATGTAAAAGAGATACCTGGACATTGCTGGCTTTGAGTATGAGAGAGCCAGGAGAAAGGAATGTAGGCAGCAGCGTTTGGAAGCTAGAGAGGCAGGGAAACTGATTCTTCCTTAGCGCTTCCAGAAAGGAGCCCAACAGCCCTGCTGACACCTCAATTCTATCCCCATGGAAGAAACTGTCTCTTGGAAGAAACTTTACCTCTGGAAGAAACCCTAGCCCCATAGAAGAAACTCTGAAGAAACTGTAAAAGAATAAATGTTTGTTGTTCCAAGCTTACTAAATTTGTGGAGATTTGTGATAGTGGTAATAGAAAACTAAGGAAGAGTTTTATCACCCTTTAATATGATTTGAAATTCATAATGAAGTATTACTCTGAAAACGAAGTTCAGAGTCACTGAAGTCATTAGGTTTTGAGCCTTCTGACCCCAAGTCCGTTCTGGGATTCTACTTCCAATAATTTCTAGTTGAAAACACTCTTGGGCACTTGGAGCTTTCTGTCTTCCTCAAGAATGTCGAGGAGACAATACAGATGACTCTTTTAGGGCAGATATTTTTCAGATTTTTAAAAAATTTCTCTTCTAAACTTTGAGTGAGAGTTACCCTGTCCCTGAGCGGGATCTTGCACTGTTACCCAGGCTCTAGTGCAGTGGCACAGAAGCTCACTGCATCCTCAAATTCCTGGGCACAAGTGATTCTACCACCTCAGCCTCATGAGTGTCTGGGACTACAGGCTGATACTGTATTAAGCTTCAGAGAAGAAGCATGTCCAGGTTCCTGCAAATTAGAAAATGGTAGCAGATATATATATTTTTTTTTCAAGAAGGAGTTTTGCTCTTATTGCCCAGGTTGGGGTACAGTGGTGTGATCTCCACTCACAGCAACCTCTGCCTCCCAGGTTGAAGTGATTCTCCTGCCTCAGCCTCCTGAGTTGCTGGGATTACAGGCATGTGCCACCATGCCCAGCTAATTTTTGTAGAGATGAGGTTTCACCATGTTAGTCAGGCTGGTCTCAAACTGCTGACCTCAAGTGATCCACAAAGAAACAATGAAAAAAAAATCCCCTATTAGATTTACATTACAATTTTCAGCCACCATGACTGGCTAGTTTTTAAATTTTTTTAAAGAGTTGTAGCCTTCCAGGCTGGTCTGGAACTCCTAGCCTCAAGTGATCCTCCCATCTCAGGCTCCAGAATTCTGGGATTACAGACATAAGCCACCATGCTCAGGGACATTCTGCAAATTTGACATTTTGCATTAGGTTAATATAGCCCCAAGGCAAATTGTCCTAAACAGCATATTCCACAGATACACTATTTTGACACAGGAAAGTAATAAAGGGTCATTTAAATTTTTTTTCAGACAGCTATGACAGATTTCCAGAGATGATGGCTTTGAATGACTTATAACAAAATACCCAAATGGTTCTTTCATCATCTGCCTCCATAGAGTTTCACTTGTGATGGTGGCTGCACCTTTACATTTCTTATTTTCCTACTTACAAACACTGCTGACAAAATCTTCTGAGCTCTCCATTCCTTCCAGCTACAACTTAACCTGTGGTCTCTGCTGGGCAAAGTGACTCACCTTTTGAATGTACGCCTTGTTTACTCCTCCAGCCAAAACTTGTTTGCTGGAGTTGGAATGCCAGTTTATCCCCTTAGCAGATCATTATGGGCAAGTGACTCAGCTTTCATGGGACACAGTGCCCTTATGTCTAAAATAGAGGTAGCTGAGAGGTTTAAGGTTATAATCCATATAAAATGCTTAGTATCCAGCACATACAAGCACCCTGTAATCTGATGTTAGTGCAATATCAGTAATAATAGAAAACAGAACTTGACAATTTCAGCAAAATTGCATGTGCATAGTGGGTCTGGTATGTGTATTAATCCAGGCATAATAAATGCTGATCATCTGTGACATAGCTGTTTACTGTTGTAGTGGAGGGGTAAGCTGAAGAGGTAAGACCAACAGCCCATTATTTCTGGTGGTTTCTAGTATGGTTTTAACAAATGGGAATTTCAGGAAAAGTAACACTTTTTAAAAGAGCTGACTGTTATCATTCTGCTTTATTCCTGATTTTAGTCTTTTTGAGCTCCTGTTGTCAAATGGATTTTGAGCATATGTGAATTAGATAAATTATTCACCATGAAAGGATTAGAATAACATTTTGGAAAATGCCCTTAAACTATCAAGTGGCAATAACACTACTCTTTGTGTGTGATATTAAAGAGAAATTAATTCTCATTTTCTTGTTGTCTAGACACACAAAGTCCAATTGTATGCATGTAATCACAAAATCTAGGTGAAAATTGAAAACTATGTTAACAGAGTGAGACCGATGTTTTAACCAATCAACATCGACATGCAACTAGGTGACAATTATTAAATTACTCCAGTTTTCATCTGTCAGTTTGATGTTTGACATTGTGTAGACATAGCTTGCCAGTAAAGATAATTATGAAAGATTATTAAATAAAGATCTCCCTGACATGGATTAATTGAAAAGTATTTAGTATTTTTTTTAAGCACAGTTAAACTGGGGTGGATTTCTGATAGCATGTTTCTCTCCCAGCACAAAAAGCTTTCAGCAATTTGAATATTGAGTAATAATCTTATTGAGGGTTTGGAAATTATGTGTGTTTTGAATAATATTATTGGTAGTATTTGGTAGTATGAATTATGCCTGTTTGAATAATTAAGAAGTAGCTTTTCCTAATGAAGAACATTTTCCATTACATACATAATCTTCCAGTACATGAATTTTAATTCAATTTACAATTTAGATTCTTGTCATAATTTGAACAATAGATTACCTAGAATATAATAAAAATCAAATTTTCATATAGTACATATCATAATTTTTATCTTAGAAATTGTCAGAGATAGAAACTTTAGGTACATCTAGTCCATTGGAATATTTGGCCATTTAAAACAATTAGCTTTTTATTTATTTGTGGAGTCTTGCTTCCTAAGATGTTGTAGTCTAATTTTTGTCAATTAATATTGCTGATTTGAATACTGTTATTTATTTTGGATACTACTTTAGCCAAGCTATTTACTATTTATTCATTTTTTATTTTGGAGACATAGTCTTGCTCTGTTGCCCAAGTTGGAGTGCAGTGTGGTGCAGTATCCACAACCTCTGTCTCCCAGGTTCAAGAGATTCTCCTGCCTCAGCCTCCCACGTAGCTGGGACTACAGGTATCTGCCACCACGTCCAGCAAATTTTTGTATTTTTAGTAGAGATGGGTTTCACCGTGTTGGCCAGGCTTGTTTTGAACTTCTGACCTCAGGTAATCAGCCCACCTTGGCCTCCCAGAGTGCTGGGATTACAGGTATGAGCCACCATGCCTTGCCTAGCCAAGCCATTTAAACTTTTAAATATTTAGTGTCATCACTTATTAAAAATAAGACTAATATGATTATAGGTCCTCTGATTTTTTTTTAGAATTATAGTGATATGGGAGTAAATAAATATATACGAAATAATTATAAAATAGAAAAGATTAGTGCATTCTTAGAACTTTAATGTCATGTTAATTGAATGTTAATCCAATGACTTTATCTTTCATTTCAAGATTCCTTGCCTGAATGAAGTAGTGGAAGCCCTTGTTGACAATAGGTCCTATCTTCCTATTCCGCTTTTTGGTTTTCCTAAACCAGGTTGTTTACATAATGACTAAGTTTAACATTTTCTCTTTATGTTTAAGCATCTCTTTCCTTGGTGCAATCACAGCCAAACTGCAGTGAAAACAAACAGAAATTGAGAGGTTGTGAGCTCCAGATTTCAGAGCCACAGAGAGTTTGTGAGATCAAAAAATAAATTTATTGTGAGGTCAATAAATAAATTAGACCTACCTAAATCACACAGTCAGTTTAAGGCAATGGAACCAGAGGGAAAGACTCCAAAAGAGTGACCTATCTATGGAATAGCTACTGGTAAAATGAAGCAACAATGAGACAGTGTAGTCTCCACCTTATTATTTCAATCTAATGTTCTGTATTGAGGTTCAGAGAAGCAGGTCCAGGTTTCCACAAATTAAAAAGTGGAGGATTGCTCCTGTAATCCCAGTACTTTGGGAGCCTAGGTTGGGGCTTCGCTTGAGCCCAGGAGTTTAGGCCAGCCTGGGCAACATGACTAAACCCTGTCCCTACCAGAAAAATGAAAAGAGTTGGGCATGGTGGCACTGGCCTGTAGTCCTAGCTACTTACAGGGCTGAGGTGGGAGGATCACTTGAGGCTAGGAGATCAAGGCTGCAGTGAGCCAAGACCACAGCAGGGCACTCCAGCCTGGGTGACACAGTAAGACCCTGTATCTAAAAAAGAAATAAAGGAAAAATATTTCCCTGTTAGATTTTACATACCTGATGATGACTTTAATGGTGAAGGTAAGCATTGGTGTGTGTGTTTGTTTGTGTTTGTGTGTGTGTGAATGGTGTTGAAGGAAGCCCATAGGAAAAGTACCCATAATTTATTCAAGATCAAGTATGTTACAGTTTTCTTGGCAAATGCCAAGTTATAAAACACATAAACCACTCTACAACCTCTTCTTCCCTAAAACCCCAAACATCTTGAAGTCTCCTTCAAGCCAGATATCCTCTTGGTCCTCTGTGCAAGTTGTCTGCACAGTCCTCAGGTTTGTCTTTGGGTAAGTCCCTGTTGCCATCACAAAGAAAGAACACAGCAGGTATTGATTTGTCTCAGACAAAGGAGCTCTTCTGGTGGGTTTCAACAAGATATGAAAATTCTAGGTTCATGAACACTCCCTTTTTCTTCCTTAAAAATAATATTTTTAGCTACATTCTACTCCACTCTGTCTTTTATGACATAATCATTCACTCAACCAGGGAACACCCACTATTTGCCTAACATCCTATCTGCCTATCACATATGGACTTTAGCCTCCAGTTAGACCAATGATGCTATTGATCTCCTAATCCCAATGTATACTCTTTGGATATTTTCATCTCTTTTCCATTGCTTATTATCTTTAGAGACATTTTAGGTAGCTCATTTAAAAATTATTAATAAATAAATCATTATTTGCAATTAGCATAGACAAGGACTTAGGTGAGTGTTAAGTGGGTATGCAGAGAGATCTAACCCCACTGCTGGAAAAAGTGAGTGGGAAAGTCCCATTGATATGTGACCCAACTAAACCAACATTCTATAAAAAGCACAAAGCCTTCAGCGACTGCTTTAGGATTTCAGGGGAAGGAAAATGGAGGCAAATGTGAAAGTTGAGTTGATGTCTTCATTTCTTTTTCTTTTCTTTTCTTTTCTTTTTTTTTGTTTTATTTATTTATTTATTTATTTATTTATTTATTTATTTATTTTTTGAGACAGAGTCTCACTCTTGATAACCAGGCTGGAGTGCAATGGGATGATCTCAGCTCACTGAAACCTCCACCTCCTGGGTTCAAGCGATTCTGCTGCCTCAGCCTCCTGAGTAACCGGGACTACAAGCCTCTGCCACCATGCCCTGCTAATTTTTGTATTTTTAGTAGAGATGGGGTTTCACCATGTTGGCCCAGCTGGTCTCGAACTCCTGACCTCAGGCAATCCACCCACCTCAGCCTCCCAAAGTGCTGGGATTACAGGCGTGAACTACCACACCTGGCCGAAAGTGGATGTTTTCTGTGGCGGTTCCTTGATAGAAAGGTTTTCATCCAGTCTTGAGATGAATATACAGAGTGTAAACACATGGTTGTGCAGTGAGGAAATGCTGTCTATGTTTCCTAAAACTGAGGTTCTTGTTTATTGCTTCTTTAGCTGCACAAAGACATAACACATGCAAAATTGGGGAGAAAGGAGAGATAAAACTATGACAAAGCTGGAGGCAATGTGCAATGATGTTGTAATTTAACATGCAAAGTACTCACTTTAGTATTTTTTACATTGTTACACTGTGACATTGCAGGATTCATAAGTGGAATTTCATCCAAATTTATTCTAATGCATATTTTTTTCTACTTAGCAGACTATACAATATGGTTAAATCAAAGAACATGAGGTTTTGTTCTTACCAAATTCAAAAATACTTTTTATCACCTGTTGTTTAAATCATTAACACAAAAGATTTCAGTCTCCCACAAATTTCTAATGTAGTAAAATCCTTTCATAATTTTATATTCAAAATATATTAATTCAGATGACTAGTATGAAATCAATGAAATCAAGTTATAATTTGCATGTTTCTAAAATGTTTAAATTTAAAAATGGAAAAGTAAGCCCTAAAAAACTGCAGGTTTCTCAAGAATATTAAAATGTTAACAAATTATTTAATTTTGAGCTAAAATCAGATAATAATGGGAACAGATTTCACCACTGCACATTCTACAGGGATGTTTGCATTTTATACTTGTTTTGTTTTGTTTTATAGGAGGAGATTTTGGTATATTAAATATAATACTAGACATTTACCTGGACATAAATGGTAGAATCAACTTAGACTCTAATCACAGAATGATAACATCTTCCAAGTAGAAGGAGCTTTTGGGGTCATTTAACCAAAACTCTTTCACCTTACACTATTTCCATGTTCATGTTAACCTTTTGGTACTCTAAGAAGAGATGAACTATCATTTCTTAAGTTCTAGAAGTTGAATTTAATTATGATTTTACAAATCTGCCATCTCCAGTAGATGGTAAATGCTTTGAAGACCCAGAGCATTTTTGAGATAAAATAATGAGTTATATATTTTATTGCATGAAACAAATGAATGAACCTGTAATGCCTGGCCACCACCTATTTTTTTTGAACCTGAACAATGAAGATGTTTGCGGCTTTTTCTCTTCATTATGGGTTGAGAGGGTAGGGGAGGGATATAATTAGGAGAAATACCTAATGTAGGTGAAGGATTCATGGGTGCAGCAAACCACCAGGGCACATATATACCTATGCAGCAAAACTGCACGTTCTGCACATGTAACCCAGAATTAAAAGTATAATTGAAAAAAGGCATTAAAGAAAGGGAAAGGTTGGTGATGTTTACCTGAGCACTCTCACAAACAGAGATGAAGCAGTTTTGAATGTTACCTTCCTCTTCTAACATATAGTTCTGAAAGTCTTAGAAAACATGTTATTTTATTCCTTCCAGGTAGTCTTTTGCAAGCATCCTCCTCAGTGTCAAGCATTTATTCTCATGCATCCCATTATGTGTTATGAATACACCCAGAGTTTATGTGAAATTTTTTTATTTTTTATTTTTTGGCAAATGTATTAAACTCTTGGTTTGTATATTTTGAACTGGAAGCCACATTTTTGTAATACTTTAAAAGCAAAATATTTTATAATATGCTTTAGAAATTAAAAGAAAATAGGATACCTCCATTTCCTATGACAAACTCTCAGCATACAGCAAGGCAAAGCTATTTGCTGCTGAAGCTCAATTTTTCCCTGCAGATGCTGAATGTACAAGAATTAACAGCCAAGCCAGGACCCTGTTTACCTTATGTTTCCCTGAAATGCCAAGCCCATGAGGTGTTACAAGGAGGGAAGACAGCATACAAACATGATAGAATGACTAATAAGCTAATTGGTTTATAGTTTTGAGAAAGCAGTTGGTTGCCTATGTTTTTTTTTTTTTTTTGTGTGTGTGTGTGTGTGTGTGTGGTGAAGAAATATTTGTATTTCATTTAAGTGCAACTAATTTCTATTTAAATTTAAGCTGCCATATGTATCTACTGGCTATAGCATTAGAGTGTTTAGCCTTAGCAACCTCCTTATTACTATATACTTTTTCTTTTTCTTTCTAACACTTTTTAAAATATACTTTAAGTTATGGGATCCATGTACAGAACATACAGGTTTGTTACAAGGCCATAAGCCTGCCATGGTGGTTTGCTGCACCCATCAACACGTCATCTACATTAGGTATTTCTTCTGATGCTATCCCTCCCGTAGCCCCCCATACACCAACAGGCCTCAGTGTGGGATGTTCCTCTCCCTGTGTCCATGTGTTCTCATTGTTCAGTTCCTACTTATGAGTGAGAACATGCAGTGTTTGGTTTTCTGTTCTTGTGTTAGTTTGCTGAGAATGATGGTTTCCAGCTTCATCCATGTCCCTGCAAAGGACATGAAATTATCCTTTTTTATGGCTGCACAGTATTCCATGGTGTATATGTGTCACATTTTCTTTATCTAATCTATCATTGATGGACATTTGGATTGCCTATTTTTAAATGCAGTGAGCTATAATTTGATTGAATGCAGAAGGAATCATTTCCAAGAAATTAAAGTTCGAAGGTTGGAAAATAACCGAGTTCATCGTTAGGGAAAGCTTATTCTAAAACTTCGGATAAAATGAGCTTCCTCTTACATTTTATTCAACTTAAGATCTTGTAGTTACTTATAATCATCATTATCATCATCAAAAACATCATCAGAATCATCACCATCATCATTATCTAAATTTGAGTAGCCATCAGAAGATATTGTGAGTTCCTGACTTGAGAAGGATTAATTTCTTTGAGATTTTATACTGTTATTTTAAGACTGTGGAGCATGGGTTAGATCTGTGTTTTAAAAACTTTGACAGACCACATTATTGGTAATAGTTTTCTCTTAGCATGGGTTTTGAGTTGACTTGTGTTACAGTTGAATTGTGCGTCTCAAAAAAAAGTTATGTTGATATCTTAACATCTGGTTCCTAGGAAATTCACCTTATTTGGAAATATGGTTTCTGCAAATGCAGTCAAGTTCAGATGAGTTCATACTGTGTTAGGGAAGATTCTAAACCCAATATGATTAGCGTCCTTGTAAGAAGAGACAGACACAGGAAAGGCAGAGCCACGCGCGGGCCCAGCCCTGCAAATCTCTAGAAGGTGACGATATTCTTTAAAACACTTCGAAATCATTGGAAGAAAATTACAACTGGGCTCTGCCTCCTGGCCTGGGGATGTAATTAGCTGTATAGAAAACACTGTGATAACCTACTAAGGAGAGTAGCCTATCAAGAAGCTCAGGTGTTTGGCAATCAACTCATTTCTCCAAATGCACAAGTGAAGAAGGCAACTGTTTTTCTCAATCCTGCAGCTTGCAAAGGCAAAGCCAGAACTTGATTTGAAAAAAATGCTGCCCTGATTTTACATATATCCAGGATGGATATGTCTATTATTAGGGCAGGTTATGAGGGATAAGTCAAGGAACTCCTGGAACTGATGTTAAACACAGTTGTGATCATTGTTGTAAGAGGAGATGGGACACTGAAGGAGGATGTTACTGGAGTTCTTCAAAGAACAGATGAGGCTACCTTCAGTAAGATTCCCATTGGATTTATCCCACTGGGACGGACCAGTAGTTTGAGTCATACCCTCTTTGCTGAACGTGGAAACAAAGTCCAACATATAACTGATGCCACATTTGCCATTGTGAAAGGAAAGACAGTTCCACTTGATGTCTTGCAGATGCAAGGTGAAAAGGAATAGCCTGTGTTTGCAGTGACTGGCCTTCGATGGGGACCCTTCAGAGATGTTGGCATCAAAGTTAGCAAGTACTGGTATCTTGCGCCTCTAAAAATCAAAGCAGCTCACTTTTTCAGCACTCTCAAAGAGTGGCCTCAGACTCACCAAGCCTATATTTTACACACGGCACCTACAGAGAGATCTCCCAGTGAACCAGAATAGACCCCTGTGCAAAGGCCTTCTTTTTACAGAAGAATATTACAAAGTCTTACATCCTACTGGGCACAACCGGAGCATGCCCTTTCCCAAGATGTGAGCCCAGAGATCTGGAAAGATGTGCAGCTGTCCACCATTGAACTATCCATCACAACACAGAAAAATCAGCTTGACCTGCCAAGCGAAGAAGATTTTATGAACATCTGAATTGAACGAACACCATCAGCAAAGGAGACTTTATAACTACAGGAACTCGAAAGGTTTGAAACCGCAAGCTGCACATCGAAGGCACAGTGTCTCCAAGCCAGCCAGTGCACTTTGCTTGTTGCCAATGGAGCTGGGGGCTCTTTTGGCATAGACAGTGAAGAGTGTGATGTGAAGCCTGTGGAGGTGAAACTGCTCCCCAGGAAGCTGCAGCTTTTCTATGATCCCAGGAAGAGAGAATAGATGCTGGCAAGCCCCACCCAGAAAGCAGGCAGAAGACAAGTGCTCTGAGACCATACTTTAGGCCACCAGCAGGACCAAAAGGGAACAGATGCCTCAACCATCCCAACAGTGTTGTCAGAGTGTCCCAAGGGCTTTTTCATGGCAAGTAGCCTCTGGCCTTCTCCAGCAGTGCTTCCCAAAGTATACTCTGTCACCTGTTTTGCAATCAGGTTTTGTTAGGGCATATTTTATTTTGGTGTGATGGTTGACCCTCCTAAACACGGACTTTCCTCAGACTGGTTCAAGATGGAAAAGGACTTTCTTCTGTTTTCTCCCAAAGTGCAACCACAGTGCAGAGCCCACAGTGGGCTTAGGCTGCCTGGGCCTTTCCATTCTGGTTCTGTCTTTTGACCATGCTCAGAATTCTGGGGAAAATGCCTTCCTTCCCTGGTGACCTTTTCCTGTTTCTAGGCTTCTCCACAAGTGCTGCTATTTTGTGAGCTCTGGCTCCTGTTTAGCTTTTATATCAGTTCTATCCTCAGTCCAGAAATGTATATGAGGTTGTGTCCCCCTTCAGCCATGGCAACAATATTGTAAAATGCTAGTTTTTATTTTTTTAGGTAGTGCTTTCTAAATGGTTTGCATGAGAGCTACCTGGGGTACATGTTGAAAATTGATTTATTTGGAGTCCACACCAAATCTAATAACTCATTTTGGGGATAAGGCCCAGGAATCTGCATTTTTTAAAAGTTGGCCACCCTTTCCAGGTGATTCTGTAAGTTGTCCCTCAATGCACTTGGAGAAATAGTGTTTTAAAGCAGTGGTCCACAAAGTATTCTGCTTGTGTGCCCCCAGAAGTATTTTGAAAAATCATGTATTCCCTTACCCATCTAAGTTGATATCTAAGATTGTTCATGGGACATTAAATAGTTGACATAATTTGTATTTGCTGCTTTCACGTAAATATTGGTATTTTAAAATAAAAACTGTTATATCAAAAAAAAAGAAGAAGATATGCAACGACAAAGACAAAAACAAGGAGAACACCATGTGAGGATGGAAGTAAAGATTGAAGTGATTCATCCCTAAACTAGGGAGCACTGTTGAAAACTATGAGGAACTAAGAACAGAAGCATGAAGCATGAAGCACAATCCAAGACAGAAGCATGAAATGGATTTTCCTTCAGAGCCTCTGAAAGGAAGCATCTTAATTTTGGACTCTGCTCCAGAACAGTGAGAGACTATAAGTTTTTGTTGTTTCAAGTCAGCAAGTTTGTGGTAATTAGTTACAAAGTCCCAGAAATGAATGCAGTCTGGATTAGGTATATTCTGTATATATAAGCTGCCTAAGAATGCCAGAAGCCAGAAGAGGTGGTGTCTGCATTTCTGGTTCCTAAAATCCTCTCTCAGTACCCACTGTTCTGTCCGTGGCAAAGCTCTCCTGACACATTTTTAGCCTTTAGGCTATGTCCTATTTCCCCTGTCCACTAGGGAAGTAGTTCTTGAATTCCCGCCTCCCAAGGCTGGCATTTTACCAAGTGAAAGACACTGCCTTTGTGCAACTCCCTCCCCTTTGAGTGTAGGGAGGAAATAGGATTTCCTTCTGTCTCATGGAATATGATAGAGGTAATGGAACACCACTTCCATGATTACGTTATATAAGCATATAAATGTGTCTTCCTAGCATACCCTTTCTGTTGCATTCTTGGTTTCCATGCTTTGATGAAATGAGCAACCATGTTGAACAGGTGCAAATGTCAAGAAGCTGACAGCTGCCTCTGAACAACAGCCTGCAAGGAACAGAGGCATTCAGTCCAGCAGTCCACAGGACATTGAACTCTGCAAACAAGCGTGTATGTTTGGAAGTGAATCTTCCTATGTCAGCTTTAAAATGAGACCCCAGCTCAGGCCAACACCTTCATCAGTAAGAGACTTCAAAGCAGTGGGTCCAGCTGAGCTAGTGCCTAGATTCCCAATAAGCAAAAACTGTGATAAAGTAAATACATTAATTTGAAGCTGTTTAAGCCTACTGGCCCCACCCAGTCTCTTCCCAACCCTGGAGAGTACATTTCAATCTAGGTGTCTCTTTCCACTGGATATAGACATTGGTTGGCATGCAGCTAAAATCAGGCCAATATGCATAGTTGCATATTAATTAAATTTGTGGTTATTTGTTAGAAAGTAGTCAATAACTGTGGCATAATAAGCAAAAAGTGGATTTCAGCTGAGTACAGTAGCTTGCACCTGTAATCTCAGCTACTTGGGAGGCTCAGGTGGGAGAATTGCTTGAGGCCAGGAGGTTGAGGCTGCAGTGAGCTATGGTAGCGCCAATGCAATCATAGTTCACTGAAGCTATGAGCCTGGGAGACAAAGCAAGACCTTCTATTTAAAAAAATACATGGATTTCAAAAGTTGGACAGATTGTAACCCAAATTCTACATAGATACCATGTCTCCAATGGAGGGATATATATTTTTAGGTTTTGCAATCTTAGGAATAGTTGGCAAGTGAAAGAAATTCTGGTTAAATTGACTTAAGGGAAAAGAAGAGATTTTCAGCCTCCCTTTACTAGCAGTACATTTAATTTAGAAAATAGTGTCCTCAGGTTTAATCATTGCCGTTAGGAACCTGGCACTTTGGTGCCATGTTTCTTCTTTTGGCTTTCTCAGAGACGCTGTCTTTGTGTGGTGGTAGGCAGTCAACAGCATTTCCTTGTATGCCATTGTTTCCTCAGAAAGCAAATTGGCCCAGTAACTGTGCATATTGGCCTAATTTTAGTTGCATGCCAACCAATGTCTATATCCAATGGAAAGAGACACTTAGATTGAAATGGCCTCTCCAGGGTTGGGAAGAGACCGGGTGGGTCCAGTAGGCTTAAGCTGGATGCAAGTAAGATTGCTCCCCAGAGGAAAATTGAATGCTAGGTAAGCAAAACTCATTGATGTCCATTGTCATTGCTCAAACTGCAAATAGTCCCAAGGAAGAAAGAATGGCATGGGTGCTTCATGGACGAGACTAACTTGGGGGAAAAATCTTACCTAGGATGTTTCTTTTTTTTTAGCTGAAAAGAAGCACTTGGACATTCAGAAATGAGAAAACTTGTTTATTAGCTGCTGTTGTTGGTTTGTAAACAGCTGTAGCTTTTAGTGACATATAGAAATAACATGACAGGAACAGATGAGGATATTTCTATTATGATGTTATACAGGCAGTTCTATGTTGGGAGTCATCCTCCTGGGGCAATCCTGGATCTGGAAGCTGTCAGCTGGTGGCAAATTAGAGATAGCTTGAGATTTAATGCCAGATGGGAAACATGACCTCAAATGAATTAGGGTCTTTAGTCCTGGGTGTAATATGCTGTGCCTGACATCTCTTTTAAGAGTTCTAACTGAAAGTTTAGGTTTACTGTAGAATAAGCCAATTTGGGGAGCTCATCTTGTGAACATGAAAATGAATTTGGACAAATTTCAACCTAAGCCTTTAGCACAGTTAAAGTTTGGAAAGAGTTTCATTGTAGAGCGTTAGGCAATTGGCTGACAAAAGAGCATCCAGTTTTTTCTCAAGGAATTCTGCAAAAAGCAAAGGAGGTCCTACTCAGCCATCCTCCTTTTTCAGCTTAGTGGACTTGTTTGTGAGATTGTGCTGTGAATGGGTTCTCAGGCTGGTGATAAAACCTCATCTTCAATTCTTGTGCAGCTTTGTATAAGTCCAAAGAGGCACCACTATATCCTTACTACATGAAGTGTCATTGGGTTGTTTGTTAATGTTTGTTTCCATATGGGCCCCAGGCATTAGCAAACATGTAGTTTATTCATTTATTTATTCACTCAGTGAATATTTATTGAACCTAATCTAATTTTCAGGCCATTTTGCTAAATGACATCCTATCACTTTTATTGAAAGCCATAGAGGGGAAATTGCACAACTAACTGGAACCATTTAGTATAATCATTGCAATTATGCAGCAAGCTGGGGAGGTATGAGAACATCTGGGAGGAGTATGTATCCGAGACTGAGAGAGTGAAAATGCAGTAAGGAGAAATTTGACGAATGAGTCACTGACCAAATTGCTGGGAGGAAGGTCATTTCAGGCAAAGAGAAGAGTGTGTTCAAAGCTGAAGTCTAGAGCCTGACATTAATATCGATTCTCTTAGCTAAGTTGTTTATGAAACTGAAGTTTGTGAATTTGAAGCCTGAAATGTCTGAAGTGTAGTCAATGTATGGTCAGTTAATCTCAGAGCACATCCTTCAGTCATCAGTGGAACTAGAGATAATATATTGACATATGTGCTCTAATGAAAGCTGAGAAGCTCAACCGGGACAAGTGTTTATCTAAAAGGGGGTCTGACCTCCTTTTAGAAATGGGAAGCAAGTGTGGACAGCATAACCCATAGACCAAATCATTCACACTTTCTGTCGGTTTTTACCAAAGGGTTTAATGGAACACAAATACACCCATTTATTTACGTAGTGTCTGTGACTGTTTTCACACTACAAAGGCAAAGTTGAGTTGTTGCAAGAGACCATGTGGCCTGCAAAGTCTACAATACATACAATCTTACCCTTTATTTTAAAAAGTGTTCTGACACCTGATGTAAAGGACTGGCTTCATGAAGTCAAGTGGAGATCTTCTAAGTTACCATATAGACATGAAAGGAAGAGTACAGAAGTTCCATGATGTACAGCAGTGGTTTACAAATTGGCTATGAATGTTTTCCAAATGCAGATTCCTGGGCTCTATCCAGGCTTCCAGTGAATCACAAAATCTGAGGATAGGGCCCAACAATTTGCATTGTAGTGGCCTTGTAGGTGATATTGATGGCAAAAATTTGAAAATTGGACCTGAATTTTTTTTTTTTTTTTTTTTTTTTTTTGTGACGGAGTCTCACTCTGTTGTCCAGGCTGGAGGACAGTGGCGCAAATTTGGCTCAGTGCAAGCTCTGCCTCCCATGTTCACACCATTCTCCTGCTTCAGCATCCTGAGTAGCTGGGAACTACAGGCACCCACCACCCCCGGCTAATTTTTTATATTTTTTTAGTAGAGACGGGGTTTCTCCATGTTAGCCAGGATGGTCTCGATCTCCTGACCTCATGATCCACCCACCTCGGCCTCCCAAAGTGTTGGTATTACAGGTGTGAGCCACCGCACCTGGCCTGAAATATTTTTTAATCCAAATATAAACAGATACTCCTTTCTGCCATTAATAAACAATTAGGGAAAAAAAAAGATAAAAGCCTGTTTTTAAGACCATTGTCCATATGGCTTACACAAGATAACTTCCTGAAGTGACCTCTAAGACGAAATAGTTGCAAAGTATTTCTGTGTTCAATTAAATTAAAGCGTGGGCAAAAAGAAATTATTAGTTGTAGATATTTAAAATCAAATCAGTTTAAACAAAACACTGTCAACACAGCAGCCAAAGAACATAATCAATCAAAAGATGAATAAATATACACAGTTATACAGCACTACTACTACATAATGATGATTATGATGGTGATGATGAGGATGGTGATGAGGAGGATGGTGATGATGGTGATGATGATGATGGTTATGATGATGGTGATGGTGATAATATGGTTGATGAGGATGGTAAAAGTGTTGGTGATTTTGATGATGTTGGTGTAGAGGATGGTGAAGCCATGCTAATATGTTGATGCTGATGGTGATGATGGTGTTGGTGATGAGGATGCTGAAGGTTACGGTGATGATGACCAGATGACGATGGTGCTGCTGATGACAGTGATGATGGTGATGGTCATGATGATGACAGCAATGAAGATAACAAATACTGTGATGATTGTTTTGGTGATAATAGTAATAACTGTAGTGATGGCCTGTTTCTACATTGCAATCTCTATTTCTCCCCCAGTCTCCATACAAACAGAACCACCTTAGAGACATTTCAAACTTACCATATTCAAAATGCAGCTGCTGCTTTTGATACAATGAATGCCCTTCTGTCGCATTTTTACTATCTTAGGAGAATTCACACCATCTCCTCATCATTTAATGAGCCAAATGTGCTAGCTGCTGATCCATGTGTCTGAATGGCTGCCTTGAGGAATTGGGGTCCTACAGTGAGCAGCAATGCTGGACTAGGGCAAGGATGAATAAAGAAGGGATGAGTTCAAGTTGTTGGGGGAAAACAGGGCAGCCAACTCTATCTGGAGCTCTCAGATGGGCTTAGTGTTGGTGAAGATATTTCCAAAGACATTTTGAAGACTTGGAGGTATGTTATCAGGCAGAACAGAGCTTCTAACTAAGAGCAATTTTGGACCTGCTGTACAGGACAGCCTCCAACCCACACAATGATCTGGCCCCTAATGTGAACATTACTGAGGTAGAGATAACATGAGGTAGACTATAGAAGTCTATAGAAAAAGAGAATCTGAGCAAATTGTGCTAGGGGAACACTGAAGAATGTGGAGCAATTGAACAAATGCCTGTGCAGACATATTGGTACAAAATTGCAATGGAGCACCAATGGGACAGGAAAAAGGGACAAGTCCTACAATATACAGTTCTTGACCATCCCTGAAGTGCACCAAAGCTACAGAAGTTGGTGTGCGTGAATTGTCTCATTGATCCTGTTTGGTAATTACCATGTTGACTGCTGGAGTCCCATGAAGGAACATTTTTAAGCAGCAAAGTGACAAGCTCTGATTTGCATTTTGAGATTAATGACTCAGACAACCAGTTATTTGTTAACTTGCTGGATTCAGCCTAGGAAGACATCTAGAGGGTGTAATTTGATTTATTTTGCAGAGGGATGATTGGCCTCTACATTATCTTGGTACACTGCCTGAATTTCTGAACACCACAGAATTATGTATTTGGCATATGGCCATCTCATTTCTAAGACCCATCAAAGATGTGAGAATGGATTAGATGTGGAACAAGTTGAAGATTAGATTAGTTTATCAGATGATTAGCATGCCATGCTAATTTATCAAGACATGGGATATTTAAAGAAGGGGAGAGTAACATATGTATGTAACATATAGAGGGAAGATAGGAGACCTTTGTCTCAATTTCTTTTTTCATAATGAATCAGTAAACCTATTGGTAGATAAAGTTTAGTTTTAATTCTGCTTTCTAAGTTAGGCTGCAAAATATTTTTTATCAGTACTCTCTGAAACTGACTGTCATGTCAAGACTCTAAAAGAGTATCCATAGTTATATTTAAAAATAAAATATCATCTTTTCATCTTATGTAGAACAACGTCTGTTTACTACTGCTTGGAATACAAAGAGGAATTTAGCTGTGGCCATTAGAAAGTGACAAACAGTGTTTCTTCCACTATGCCATAATTATAGTGAGAGGAAAGCATCAAAAAGAAAGTTCTTTTATATACAGTTGGCACAAAAATATTCACATATGTAAATAATATAAATAATGCACCATAAAAAGAAAACCTTCCATTACTATTAACAAAATTAATCAGTTGTCATTACCATGGGATTTAGGATACATCTTACATGTTCTTGGTTAGATTCATGAGTCAAAGAATAATGCCCAATTGATGAAAGTGGGCTGTAATTTTGTGCTTTTAAAACAATGGCCTCTGGCCAAATATGGGCAAAATAAACAACATTTGATTTATTACTTTACACTGATTTCTTGCATCCTGCTGGAAAAGAGAGATGACTTACAATTATAACATATTTTTCCTGCAAGATTAACATCATTGTTGCCAGTTTTATAGAAGAAGCAGGAAAGTGGGCTTGCAATGATTTATTATGAATGCATGAAACAATTAATGCTACTAGCAACAGAGTTTTAATAGGAAAAAGTTAAAGCACACAGTATTAAAAATAAAAGGGGCTGGGTGCAGTGGCTCATGCCTGTAATCCTAGCAGTTTGGGAGGCCCAGGCGGGCAGATCAAGACCAGCGTGACTAAAATGGTTAAACCCATCTCCACTAAAAATACAAAAATTAGCTGGGCATGGTGGTACATGCCCGTAATCCCAGCTACTCAGGAGGCTTGAGGCAGGAAAATTGCTTGAACTTGGGAGGTAGAAGTTGCAGTAAGCCGAGATGACACCACTGCATTTTAGCCTGGGCAACAGAGCAAGACTTCATCTCAATAAATAAATAAACAAATAAACAAACAGAGCAAGACTTCATCTCAAGAAATAAAAAAATAAAATAAAAGGGAAAAGTTGGTATCAAAATTGTGTCTGATTTAGGCAAGGTTTATACCTCCATGGATGGCTTTTTCATAACAATAATTGTATTGACATTGGGGGCTTTTCCGTGTTTCAGAGATTTTCATGTGGATTTCCAATATGGTAAAATATATAATATTGTTATATGAGGGAGTGATGGAAAATCCCATCAACGTTGGCATTTTTTAGAAAGAAAAGAAGCTTAGGGAATATTTTAATGATTTGGGGCTAGGTCTGGGGGGGTTCATGCCTGTAATTCCAGTGTTTTGAGAGGCTAAGGAGGGAGAATGATTTGAGCTCTGCATGTTTGAGACATCATAGGCAACATAGCAAAGCCTCATCTCTACAAAAAACAAAAAGTGAGCTGAGTGTGATGGCAAGCATGTGCTGGCAATCTCACCTACTAGGGGAGGCTGAGGTGAGAGAATCACTTGAGCCCAGGAATGCCAGGCTTCAGTAAACTGTAATCACATCACTGCACTCTGGACTGAGCAACAGAGCAAGAACCTGTCTCAAAAAAAAAAAAAAAATTGATATTTTCTTTCCCCCACAGTTGTCATATACAATGAAAACTGTATATTTAAGCCAAAATAGGTTTTGTAAACATTTAACTATTAAAAAAGAGTCAGGCTTGCACATAGATACATGATATTGCTTTGATTTCTTCAGTTTTCACCTGCCCTGGTATGAGACCCATGAAGTAAGCATTCTTCTGGGCACAGAAATTATACTCCTAAACGTATTATTTATTAATATATAATGGAAAGAGAAACATTTCAAAAATAAAGACAAATTAAGCTTTAATGAAAAGCAATCATACACTGATGAATTTAAAGTTTTGGAGCAAATACTATTGTGTTTGATATCTATTAGTCTATTTAACTAGTGAAATATGAGCAACGCAAAATCAAACATCAATAGAAGGTTCCAACTAAGCTTGTTTCTCATATGGTTTCTCTGCCAGTTCAGACCTCAAGAGTACCTCCTGTCTACAAAGTAGACTCTCTGCCCCACACACTGATTTCCAGCCTTTTCTGTTTCATGGGGTGACTTGCTGACCTTCTATGCATGGGTAATAGTACTCTGTTGACAGGCAAGAGTTGTGTCTTCCACTTGGGTCTTCTAATCTGCTAAAGAAAGCAACACACAAAATATAGCTTACAATAATTATCTGTCAAATTTACGTCAATCACAATGTGGATGGTAGATCAGTGGTTTCTCTTATGTCTTGAAAGGAAGACTTCAATTTTCTCTGCAGCCGTGGTACTTTATAAATTATTTCCTCTTCCGTCTTTTAAAAGTCACTCTTATTTACCACCCCATTAGCCACGGATTCAGTGAAATGCCCACGCATGCAGTGTTGGAGTCACACATTATTTCAGAAGACCACACAGCAGTAGGTAGTATTAAATAAATGTCTGAAATGTGAGCCAGGAATGTGTTTTTACTGGACTGTCATTTTCTTGCAGGCTCATTTGTATAATTCACTCCAGTGCATCTCAGTTTTATTTCCTATTATGCAAAATAGAAGATAATGATAGGTTAGCACATTCTCTGCTGATACTATTTACATTCGTGTAAATAGATATTGCTAGGGGTGTGTGCCTCAGACTATCCCATCCTTCATAGGGCCCCATGTTTCAATTTTCTAATAACCCATCTAAGACACCTAGGCACACAGGGGAGAATACTCTGATTTAAACAGTCCACCATAAGCCATACACAGTGGTGCACCATGTGGTCCCAGCTACTCAAGAGGCTGAGGCCAAGATCAGATGAGCTCAGGAGTTCAACACCAGCCTGGGCAGTATAGCAAAAGCCTATCTCTAAAAAATAAAAATAAACTCACCACTCTGAGTTTTACATGTTGTAAAAATCTCCCACTGGCTCCCGTCTATTATGCCTGGTTTAGTTTGAAACAAAATCATTAGTTTTAATGTAGCAAAATTCCATCGACATATTTTTCTTTATAAGAGCTTCTCCTAAGTAGCACCTGTTAGAGAAATCCTGTTCTACCCCAACATCTAAAAAACATTTTCCTGCACATTTTTCTATAAGCATCAGAATTTCATTGTTCATGCAGACATTTTTAATCTATGCAGAGCATATTTTTATATATGGAGTTAGGTAGGGATCTCATTTTTTTTTCCTGCAGTAAGGAAGCATTGCTTTTGACACATGAAAGAAACAAGGTATTTTTTCCCAGTATTTGTTGTGTCAGCCAGGGTCCTGATAGGAAAAGATGGAATGCAACTTGAGAAATATAATAAAGATGGGGACAGTATATAGGGCACCGACACAGGGTAGTGGAGCCCTTATGTGAAGTTGCTGATACCCACTGAGGTTGAACTGGACCTACCTACGAGGGAGGGAACTGGATTTCATATACATAGGCCTTACTCGCCTTCTGTCCTCCAGATTACCTACTAGTATCTTCCTTGGCTGAAACCAAGGGACAGCCAGAAGGCAAGAGTGAACTCACTTATTTACCTTCCACAGTACAGAATAGTGGAGATGAGAAAGAGTAAATCTGGAAGGGGCCAGATCCCGCCCCACCCCCCACAAAAATACAAGTTTTAAAATTAATCATATATACATCAGCCAATCCTAGGGCTTTATATTTGGCCCTGTTCATTTGCTGATCTGTTTCTGCAAGATGAAGAATGACTCAAATATTACAAATGACATATGTTTTCCATCTTCAACATTCCCCTTGCTTTTGGTAGAATTTATTCTTTCATGTACATTATGGAATCGATGTGTCAAAGTGTGCAACATTCTTCTGTCTTTGCTGGGAATTGTATTTATTTAAAAGTTGGTTTGAGGAAAAATAAACATCTTCTAAGCTTATGTTATCTCACTTGTAAACTGGCATAGTTTATTACTTGTTGAGATCTGATCATAGCTTTATTAAATACTTTAAGCATTATGTATTAATTAATTATTATTAGTAGTATTTTGCAATTGATACCTTCAATTACATTTTGTACTCCTGGTATAAAATAATGTTGTTTTTTTACATTGATGAAATGTTCAACCATCCTTTTGGATTTTCTATTATTTGTAGCAGCTTTTCTGTTAAATTACATAATTTCCACAAAAATGGTGACATTATCTGCAAATAATGACCATTTTCTCTCTTTCCTTTTAATACTTGTAAATTTTAAATCCTTTCTAACTTCTACCATTGTATGACCCATTGACATCTGGTGTGAGGATGAATGCTATTGGTACAAAATTTTATTCCCATTCATGATTTTACAGGAAATGGGTCTAACATCTTTTTTGTAAATACAATGTCAAGGAGAGATTTTTGACATACAGTCATTTTCAAATAATATGAATTTCTTGTAATTACCATTTATTTTCTAAGTTTTTAAAATGCTTTCTTTTGATCATACATATTGATTATTGCCAAATAAGCAGTTGGCATTTCTACAGCCGCTTATACAGCTGCTTATATCATAAAAGAATTATAATTATTCTTCATAATTAGTGTGCTTTTATAATTAATAGATTTATAAGGTATCTATTCAATTTAGAAAAAACAAATTTTTCATCATAATAGGAACAAAATGGCCTCTCGTGTTATAGTGGAATATATTGTATATTCTAAAAATAGCCACTATTCTACTAAGTTTAGTTTGTAAATATTCACTTAGGATGTCTACATCTACATTCATAAGTGAATTTGATTTATAATTTTATGATGTTAAACACTCTATACTTTTGATATGAATGTTAAACTATCCATACAAAAGGATTTTGATAGCTTTATTTAATTTTATATTTTCTGCAGAAAACTTCAATACATAGGATTATTAAAAATTTTCTGAAAATTATCTTGGGTGACAAGTTTTTGTGTGGGAGATTTTTAGTTACCCTTTCAATACTACTAATAGTTTTTAGTTTAAGTTTATTTCTTCGTGTAATGTTGCTTTTTTCTTGACGATTTCAATTTAGCTTTTTAATATCAGGTTTTATACTGTTAAAATATTATTTTGTATTTTTTATATTTTGATTTACTTGGTGTTTTAAAAGTGATTTTCCTCTTTTCCTTTAAAGACTATTTGTTTTCTTAATTTGTCTCCCTTCCTTGGTCAGTCTTGGCAGAAGTTTGTTTATATTATAAAGCTTTTCAATAAACTAGTTTTCATTTTGGTAATTATATCAACTCTTTTTTCTCTATTTCACTAATTTCTGCTCCTATCTTGATTATATCCTATTTTCAGATTTATTTGTATTTATTCTGTTTTCTCTTCTTCCTGCCCTCTTCTTGACTTGTCTCCATGGCTTCTTTATTTCCAATTATTCTTGTTGCCTTGTAAAGGTATTTGAAGTTTTAATTGTCCCTTTAAGCACATCTTCAATCTCATCTGACAAATTTTCACATGTGACATTTGAATGATCCTTGGTTTCCAACTATTTTTGTTTATATTGTATCATAAAAGCATGTGCACACACCCACACACAAACAAATACATATATGCAAACTAATGACAGAATACTAAACATATATATGTTTATATGTGTGTAAACATAGATATGTGTATATATATATATGTTTAGTGTTCTGTGTCCATAGCTTTCAAGCACACACCAAATGTTTACAAAATCTACCTTTCAAAAAGATACAGCAGCATACAGCATTGTATTCTATGACCATAATTCAATAGAATTAGAAATCAATAGTAAAAAGCGTTCAAAATAATGATAGAACACTAAACATATATGTACATTTACATGTACATACATGTTTACGTGTGTGTGTGTGTATATATATATATCTGTGTTCTGTGTGTGTGTGAGAGTGTGTGATTTGAGGTGCATATATTTCCATAGATAGCCACCGGATCACACATGTCAGTTATTTCAGTCTTCTATATCTTATTTATTTTTGGGGTGGCAGGTGGGGGACTCTGTCTCACTCTCTCGCTGGAATGCAGTCACTCAGTCTCGGCTAACTGCAATCTCTGCCTCCTGGGTTCAAGTTATTCTCATGCCTCAGCCTTCCAAGTAGCTAGGATTACAGGTGCACACCACCATACCTGGCTAAACTTTTTTTATTATTATTTTTGAGACAGAGTCTTGCTCTGTTGCCCAGGCTGGAGTGCAATGGCGCGATCTCAGATCACTACAACCTCTACCTTCCGGATTCAAGTCATTATCCTTCCTCAGCCTCCCAGATAGCTAGGACAACAGGCGCCCGCCACCGTGCCTGGCTAATTTTTGTATTTTTAGTAGAGGTGGGGTTTCACCACGTTGGCCAGCCTGGTCTTGAACTCCTTACCTCAGGTGATCTTCCCATCTCATCCTCCCAAAGTGCTGGGATTACAGGCATGAGCCACTGTGCCCAGCCAACTTTTGTATTTTTAGTAGAGACGGTTTCACTGTGTTGGCCAGGCTGGCCTGAACTCCTGACCTCAAGGGATCCACCTGCCTTGTCCTCCCAAAGTGCTGGAATTATAGGTATGAGTCACGATTTGTGGCCTGTATCTTCAATTAGATTTTGTCTTATAAGTTCATCACACCAAGAATGTTGAGTTTTATTCTCTTGTAACATTTCATCTTATCGTTCCTTTGTCTGGTATATTTAATGCATATGGATATACTATGTTATATATATAGTATGTATGTATAAACATGTACTTACCTTTTACATGTTTTCAAGCTTATTAGGAAGTTATATGAAAGTGTCAGTTGTACCTTTTTAATCTTCCATTCCTTTTCTACTATTTATTATCTATTATTGATATTTATGATTTTGGTTTGATACTAAATTTGCTTACTATGATTTTTTCTTTACATATTTCTTACATTTAAAATTTTTAGTCTCTTCCTGTTCGTGTATCTGTTTGTTTTAAATATATCTGTTTTCAACAATATGTTGCTAAATGTATTTTAATCACATTTTATCTGTTTATCCTAATTATATTTCTGCAGTTATCATTATTATAGATTTCATTTCTGCCACTTTGTTTTATATTTTATATGTATCAATCATGCTTTTTAAACTTTAACTTTTTTTTTTTCCTGACTTCCAGTGTATAATTTTAAAAGTTTCTCTTACTGACCTCATTATTATACTCCTTTTTTGCTGACCTCATTATTATACTCTTTTTTTATGATTTTTTTTCCTCCTTATAGTTTGGATTCATCAAATTTCCTGTTTTATGTTGCACTTATATTCTAATGAAGATACATCGATTCTTCTTATTGGCTATCAAACTTTTCAGTATCCACAATTTTCCTCAGAATAAGCTATAGATTTAAGATTTTCTCAACTCTTTGGCATCTCTCTCTCTCAATCACCCCACACTGTGTTAGATTCTAAGGGAATTTGGGCTGTAGATCATGTTAAAATTTGATTTTAGAATATTGTGTCTTTGGAGTAATGTCTTGTCATTACTTGTATTATACTGCTGTATTCTGGGTTTATTTCTCTCCTTCCTTGCAGAAATACGTTGTTTCAAGATTTCTAAGAATTAAATAGATTTGGATTTAAGCTATCATTTAAATAATAGTTTGGCTGGACATAAAACCTAGGCAGATCTTTTTTCCCCTGCACTTGCTGGGGATGAGAAGCCACTGCTTTTTGTATCCTACACTGCTTTGTTGTTACCCCGATTTTCAATCCATTGCACATCACCTGCTTTTTCTCATTGGAAGAATTAGACTTACTTTGTTTATATTTGAGATACTCAAAAATCAGAATTTAGTTTTGCTTTTTTCTGTTTTAAATCAACCTGTTCCTTACTTTATGAGAACTTTCCATTTTAAGCCTTTTTTTTTTTTTTTTTCCCTCTCATCCTGGGAACTTCTCAGCCTTTCTGCCTAATGTAGTTCTTGCTAACCTTTTTCTCTTTGTTCTCTTTCTGGGTCTTTTTTTTATAGGACTGGCAACACTTCTACTTCCATCTTCCATACTTCAGCATTTGGAGGATGTTTTTCCTCCATTTTTCATCCCGGATCCATTTTGGGAAAGTGTCTCTCTGTCTTTTGCCACCAATATGCATTGTTTGTAGGTATCTTTCCATTTCAGCCTGTTCTTTGTGCTCTCCACTTCAACAATTTCATTTCTCCTCCCCAGTTTCTCATGTGACTTCCTTTGACACCCTTTGTTCCAACTTTATATCTCTATAATTGTCTCTCTGTCCATTGGACGGATATTTAATCTACTTATTTTGAGTCCCATGTTGTTTGCTTGGGTCATTTGATAGTTGTTGTTATTTCATATATGATGTTACATTTGTTTAAGTGTTTTGCTTTTTGACTGGCTCTGAAGTATTTCTTGGGAGTTTTTTGTTGTCGTTGAGGACAGTAGATATCTTGGAAGATAATGAGTATCCAATGGCCAGTCAAAAGCCCACCCTCAGCTGGGCATGGTGGCTCATGCCTGTAATCCTGGTACTTTGGGAGGCTGAGGCGGGCAGATCACCCGAGGTCAAGAGTTTGAGGCCAGCCTGATCAACATATCATTAAATTAGAGCTTTAAGTTATATCACTGATTTCATATGCCAGGGAAAATTGTAGGATGTGGCTTACAAGGCAATCTCACAAGAAGTATGACTTTTGTCTTATAAACAACAACCCAACCTTGGAGTTTGTTCCAGTAAATTTCATAAATATAAAATAAACTATATAAATAAAGTAACTAATATCCTACTAAGTCTTTTCCCTCACACATGCTTTTTTTGCCTAAAGCCATTTAAAGTCTCTGAGGATTTAAATCTATAATTCTGTCATGGAGTGGTAGAAACCCAGAGAATATACAAACGTTGAAAAACTTTAAGAGTCACTGGTTTAACAGAAGTTGGCTGGGCTTACTGGCTCACGCTTCTAAACCCAGCACTTTGAGATGCGTAGCTGGGCAGATTACTTGAGGGCAAGAGTTTGATACCAGCCTGGCCAACATGATGAAACCTGTCTCTACTAAAAATACAAAAATTAGCTCGGTGTGGGGGTGCAGGCCTGTAGTCCTAGCTACTTTGGAGGTTGAGGCAGGAGAATTGCTTGAATCTAGGGGTCTGAGTTTGCAGTGCCCCGAGATCACAGCAATGCACTTCCAGCCTGGTGCAACAGAGTGAGACTCCATCACAAAAAAAACAAAAAACAAAATGACAACAACAACAAAAAAAAAAAAAACAGTAAAACAGAAATAGATCTAATTTTTCAGACTAGAGTCACTCAGATATGGATGGATAAGTCCATCCACTATTTGTGTATTAAGCTTTTTTTTTTTTTTTTTGAAACAAGTGTATTCACACTTGGATTGACTGTTAATATTCACTCCAAACTAGGACATTGCAAAGAACCCTTAGGATGTTATAATTCTAGGCATTTTTATAGTCTCAGAATTTCAGATGTATTGCAATGTTGTAATTTTTTATAGTTTCTTGTCTTTCTGTAACACCTAGTAAGTTCAAAAACTCGAACTATAGGTTTTCTTGATAAATACCAGCGTCACTGCTTTCTATGTTTATATTTTTCTTTTAATACATGAACTGAGTTAAAAATTAAATATACATATGTAAATTATTCTTTTGAAAAAATATTACTTATAATAGTTTTTAAAATACATGTTTATTTAATTTTAGATTTCTGCTAAATTTGTGAAGATTGTGGAAAGGATTTTCCTTATACCCCACCCTTGAATTTCCCTTCTATAAATATCTTAAACATCATTATTATACATTTGACACTATTAATGAGCCAATATGTACAATTTTTTTTTGACTAAAGCCCACTCATTCTTCAGATTTCTTTGGTATTTTCATTCTGTCTTTTTCCTTTCCTCAAACCCCACCCCAGATCCCACATTACATTTAGCGGTCATGTCTCCTTGGGCTCCTCTTGATTGTGATGATTTCTCCTTCTCATTTTGTCTTTCATGGCCTTAAGAGCTTAAGGAGGACTAATCAGGGGATTGGTAGACTGTCCTTTTGTTTGGGTTTGTCTGATGTTCTTCTCATGGTTATTCTGGGGCTATGGATTGTGCAGAGGAAGACCAGAGGTGAAGTGCCACTTTCCTTACTTTGTATCAAGGGCACATACTAGCACCATGACATTGCAGTTGATACTGACCTTGATCCCATGGATGAGGTGATGTTGGCCAGATTTCCCTACTATCAAGTTACTCCTCTTGCACACACACTTTCCATATTGTACTCTGTGAAAAGATGTCACTTTGTGCAGCCCACGCTTAAGAAATGGGGACCTGCTATTCCCCCCGGAGGGCAGAGTATCTACAGAAATTACTTGAAATTATTTTACATAAGAGATGTCTCTATTCTGAGCCACTCATTTACTCCCTCATTTACATATATCAGTATGGTCTTATGGATATTTATTTTATACTTCAGGTTGAAATCTAATATGATGTTGTTTATCTGCATAGATTTTGTGTTTGTTTTTAGTAGATATGAGGTCTCACTGCTTTGCCCAGGGTGTTCTTGAACTCCTGGCCTTAAACTTTAAAACTTTAAAAAAGAGGGATAGCTTTTTAAAAATCCTCATTTTTACTTTAGATCCAAGTGTTAAATATGCAGATATGTTACAAGGGTATATTGTGTAATGCTGAGGTTTGGGCTTCTGTTAGGTTATTCTGTGTCCAAATAATAAGCACAGGAAGTTTTTTAGTCCTTGTCCCCCCTCAGTAACAGCTTGTAGGAAATAATTTGAGACTGATCATTTTTAATTTTTAAGCGCTGAACATGCAGTTATTTTATCTGGAAGGTAGACTAGAAAAACAAAATTATATTTGACATTTTAGGACATAAGTGTTTTCTCATTAATCTTGATGTACACAAAGCCAGATTATCAATGTATTTGTTCATAACTCTAGCTTGTTTCATTAAAATTATTTTCCTGCAAAGAAAACGCCTTTTTGCTACCCTGAATATTTAACAATTTTTAGAATATTTTATCTTTAAGAGCTATAAACATGTTTTAATATCCCAAGGTAAGATATGGAGATTTTTGTAGTCTGTCCAGCCTGCTGTAGCAGAATACCTTAGACTGGGTAATTTATAAACAATAGACATTTATTATTATTATTTTCATTGAGACAGGGTCTCTCTCTGTTGCCCAGACTAGAGTGCAGTGGCTTGATCATGGCTCACTGCAGTCTTGACTTTGTGGGCTCAAGTGATCCTCCCACCTTAGCTTCCCAAGTAGCTGGGACCATAAGTGTGTGCCAGCACACATGGCTAAATTTTATTTTTATTTAACTTTTAGTAAATATGAGGTCTCACTACTTTGCCCAGGGTGTTCTTGAACTCCTGGCCTTAAACAGTTCTCCTGCCATGACCTCCCAAAATGTTGGGATTACAGGTATGAGCCACTTAACCCAGTTAAAAACCGACATTTATTTCACACAGTCCTAGGAAGTCCAAAGATCAAGGTGTTAGCTGATTCTTTGTCTGGCGAGGGCCCATTACCCCACATGGCACCTTCTTGGTTTGTCCTCAAATGATGGAAGGGAAAAAGCAGCTTCCTGCAATCTCTTTTATATGGACACTAATCCTATTCATGAGAGTGGACTTATCACAATGTATATTGGATTTCAGCATATGAATTTTGGGAGGTTACCACCGTTCAGACAATAGCAAGATACATTAGGTGTGGGGTGTTCTGGACTTGAGTGAATCTGTGTAAGTCCTTCACATGTGCTTTGCTTTACTGCTTGGGGTAGCTATTTCTGCCTCAAACCACCTCAGAGGGCTTCAGATTTCAGTGACACACCTGTCACTTTTAACGCACATCCTTGAACCTCCGTCTGTGTGCAGATTAAGCAACAGGTGATTTTAAGGTTCAGGCCTAAGGTTTTTTTATTATTGCCTTTCATTTCCATTTCTAGTTCTTCCAAAATCCTTCAAAATGACACCTGAGAGGAGACACTCATAAACTTGTTAGCCAGGATTCCAAGGTACATAGAAGCTGTTTCTCCTGGGTGAATATTACAAATGCCTCCAAGGGCAATTGAATTTCTTTCTGTCTTTCATGGATTTTTACTTATTGTCCAGATATGCTCCTCCTAGTGAGAGGGTCACTTCTGATTTTTCCTGCCTCCACAGAACAAGGGCTTCAGAGAGGAGACACTCTACAGCTCCTTTGTTATTAAATTATTAAATGCATTTCTAGTATGAAGGCAGCCTATTAGAAAAATCCAGTCTGCTGCATATCTGTTTATAGGGTTTGAGCCCAGTCAAGTGAGGATGCACAGAATTCCACCATTCTGACAGCCCAGCCCCCTTGCAATTGGAAGGGTCTCCAAATTCCTTCCTTGCAGCTAGGGTTACTGGCTATGAGTGACAGCCTCTTGTGCATAGGGAGTGAGGGCGGAGAGGGACCAGCAGAGCCCTGGAATGTCCTTTCCACTGGACATTGAGCATCTAGACAGCTCAGACTCTGGAATAGCTTGTACTATAGGTGCATGCTACCATGTATGGCTAATTTTTATTTTGATTTTTGTAGACATAGGGTGTCAGTATTTTGCCCAGATTGGTCTCAAAAATCCTAACGTCAAGCGATCTTCCTGCCTTGGCCTTCCAAAGCACTGGGATTACAAGTGTGAACCACTGTGCTTGGCCATAACCTATAGTTTTTGTTAGAGATTATTAAATAAGGATGAGATTAAAATGAGGTTAGTCTCATGCTGCTTAAAACAGTGATATGCTTAGGAGCAGCTGCAGGAACATCTGATCCAATCTTGGAGGCAGCCTGAAGGGCTTCCCAGGGAAAGCACAATTTAAGCCAAAACCTGAGAGATGAGCAGGGATTGACCAACTAATGAGCAGACCCACACACCAAATTCTGCAGTCAGTTCCTTGCATGACATGGAAAATTGATTTCTACAACTATGCATTACTTTTCTCCCACCAATCCCCCGCCCTGCTTTATTTTTTATCTTTATTTCTACTGGGTCTCTGTCACTCAGGCTGTAGTGCAGTAGAGTGATCTTGGCTCACTGCAGCCTCGATCTCCTTGGCTCAAGTAATCCTTCCACCTAAGCCTCCCTAGTTAGAATAGCTGAGACTGCCTACGCACAACACCATGTCGGTCCATTTTTTTTTTTTTTTTTCTTTTTGTAGAGATGGGATTTTGCCATGTTGGCCAGGCTGGTCTTGAAATCCTTGGCTCAAGTGATCAGCCCACCTTGGGGTTACAGGCAGGAGACACCATTTTTATTTTGCATGTGTGCGGTCAGTCATTCTACAACTAATAATATTTAATAATAATTGAAAATATCCTGTAAATTCCAAAAAGGTAAGCTTAAGTTCTCTTGAAAAATGAATTTCTGTGAGAAGGCTTTGGTGGTTTGACTTGAAGCTGATAACAACATTAGTGTTGGGCATTTGGCTACACACCTGTCACATTCAAAATCCAATCTATTTTCAATCTTTATTTCGGTGGCAGTAAGTGCTGAAGATTTTAATCCACTATGTATTTTCCTAACCCAGATTCTACTCAAAGCAGAGGTTTAGAGAAATCCCTTGTTTATTGCAAATATCATGCCAAGAATAAGGATGAGGAACCAGCACAGTGATGAAGGGAGAAATGTAATCACTATTTACAATAGCCAAGTTGTGGAGTCAACCTATGTATCCATCAACCATGCATTGGATAAAGAAAATGTGGTACATATACACCAAAGAATACTAGGCAGCCATAAAAAAGAATGGAATCATGTCCTTTGCAGCAACGTGCATGTGGCTGGAGGCCATTATCCTAAGTGAAATAACTGAGAAACATAAAATCAAATATCACATGTTCTCACTTATAACTAGGAGCTAAACAATGGGTACGCGTGGTTGTAAAGATGGAAACAACCAACAATGGAGACTCAAACAGGGGAAAGGATGGGAGGGGGTGAGGTTTGAAAAATCACCTATGGGTACAGTGTTTACTCTTGTGTGATTGGTACCCTAGAAGCCCATATGTAACCAGTGTACAATATACCCGTGTAAGAAACCTGTACATGCACCCCTGAACCTAAACTAAAATTAAAAAACAAACAAAAACCACACAAAAAAATTGTATTGGCCACAGAGGAGAGATGCCTGCTTGACCCAGTGAGGTTGTGTGAAAACCCTTATGATATATGTCCCCATACCACTTTCCCAGGTGAAAATGGAGGACCCACATTCTCCTCATCTTTCACCCTTAATAATGTACTGGTGTTGACATCTCCAGGCTACTTGGGGAGTGCTAAGTAGGTTTTAGTGTGCATCCCCTGTAAGGCATTGAAGAAAATTCAGGAAATCAAGAAAAAGTCAAGTTTCCAGGTATGAAGAGAGGCTGCACCTTCATGAAGCTGGTTGAAGTCTGGACAGAGCAGATCACCACAAGAGTGACTGGAATAAGCCATGTGGCCAAGAGGCATCCAGTGCAGCCATCAAGTGAAACAGAGCTCTTCCAGCCGTGGTAGAACTAGGGTCAAACTATGTGAAAGTGTTCAAAGATTCTTTGCATTGAATTCAAGCTCATCATTCACTTGCGCTCAAATCTGTGAGACCATGTTTATATTGTAAAGAAAGGATAAAACATAAATTCATATTTCAATTTTTAGGTTATCTGAATGAATGGATTTCAAGAGTGCTTAAGTTTTTTCCTAGATGTTCACAGCTTTTCAAATCATCTTCCTCAGAACACTGAATCCTGCTAATTGAGTGATTTTCTGATTGTCATGTACTCACACAATTGACTAAATGTCTTACTATGCTTTCTTGATAAGTAGTGTCTACATGTGAAGAACCTATCTATTTAATCTATCTACCTGCCTATATATCTCTATTTCTCCATCTAGTCTATCAATCTATCTTATCTATATAATCTCTATGTATCATCTATCTGTTATCTATCTATCTATCTATCTATGTCTATCTTCTCTCTTTCTCTCTCCTCTCTCTGAGTTGAGCAAATTACTTACAAGTTTTTGTCATGTAAGTGAGCAAGACTATATACACACACATATAAGAAGGCTTGAACTACAACATTAAAGTGGCTGCAGATTCAGTGTCTGGTGGGGACCCACTTCGTTGTCCATAGACAGGGCCTTCTCACTGTGTCCTCACATGGTAGAAGGGGCAAAGGAGGGGGCTCTCTGGGGTCCCTTTTATAAAAGCACTCATCTCATTCATGAAGCTCCATAGTTATGATCTTATCACCTCCAAAAGTGCTCGCCTCCTAATAGTGTCCCCTCGGGGATTAAGATTTATATCTTTTGTTTTAAATTTTTAATTTCTATATGAGTACATAGTAGGTGTATATATTTATGGGGTACCTGAGATATTCTGGTGCAGACATGCAATGCGTAATGATCGTATCACAGCAAATGGGGTTGTCTATCTCCTCAAGGACTTGTCTTTTTTGTTACAAAAAATCCAATTGTATTATTTCAGTTAAAATGTACAATCAGTTTACTATTGACTAAAGTCACCCTGTCATGCCAGCAAATACTAGGTCTTATTTATTCTTTCTGACTATAATTTTTGTACCCATTAACCATCCCTACTTTCCCCATCCTACTCCCACTATCGTTTCCAATGTCTGATAACCATCTTTTGATTCTCTATATTTATGAATTCAATTGTTTCAATTTTTAGCTCCCACAAATAAGTGAGAACATGGTATAACGGTCTTTCTGTGCCTCGCTTATTTCTCTTAACATAATAACCACCAGTTTTATCCATGTTGTTGTAAATGACAGGATCTAATTCTTTGCTATGGCTTAATAGTACTCTATTGTGTATGTGTAGCCCATTTTCTTTATCCATTCACCCGTTGATGGATGGTTAGGTTACATCCAAATCTTGGCTATTGTGAACAGAATTGCAACAAACATGGGGGTGCAGATATCTCTTTGATATACTGATTTCCTTTCTTTGGGGGTTTGGATGTAAACATATGAGTTTTGAGAGGACAACATTCAGACTGTAGCTTACTGTACTATCTATCCATTCATCCACCTGTTTATCTATTCCATTTCTAAATATTGCATGGCATATTTTCTTAATTCTTTCCAATGTCTTATTGAGTTTTAATATAAGTTTACGTTTCTGATAGGCCACATATGGGGGCATCCTGAAAAGTACATCTGAGGCAGGTCAGGAGTTTGAGACGAGCTTGACTAACATGGTGAAACCTCGTCTCCACTAAAAATACAAAAATTAGCCAGGTGTAGTGGGGGTTGCCTGTAATCCCAGCTACTCAAGAAGCTGAAGCAGGAGAATCACTTGAACCCGGGAGGCAGAGGTTGCAATGAGCTGTGATTGTGTCATTGTACTCCAGCCTAGGGTGCAGAGTGAGACTATGTCTCAAAAAAAAAGTACATTATCTTTATATTTTAAATGTTTTGGGGTTTTTTCTTTATTTTTTTCATATTTAATTACATTTCTTTCAAATGACTTCTTTGGGAGACATGATTTTTGTACCTCCTGGGACTGCCACAATTCTCCTGCCTCCTGGGATGTGATCGATCTCTAGTCTGCCTCAAGTATAAAGATGATATTCATGTTGATGACATTGAGAAGGATGAGGAGAAAGGAGTTGATCAGAGATCTATATTCATGGTATACTTGTTTGCCATGTCTGCTTTTCCTCTTCAGAATGTAAACTCCAAGACTGTGGGTCTTTGTTTTCTTCGGTACTACCTTGCAGAGTCTAGGTCCTATTCAAAGCTTAATATTTGTGAAGTGCATGAATGAATAAGTGGATTATAATATTATCACCACCATTGGTATGGCTTTTGTTTCTCTATCTGTATTGTCCTCTCTACTTTTCCTTAATTGTTTAATTCCCACACAGATTGCCGAAGATTGCTTTGCCAACTGTCCCTGGGTAGAGATAAATTTCCCTCCATGGTGCTTTCACTGGACTCTACCTGCAGCTATATATTATCTTGCATTTTCTAACACCCAGCCCCACCACATAATAAGACTTGATTGATTGAAGACCCTGAGTTAGCTTTGCATAAAACCAAGGTGCTTTCCACACAGACATTCACAGACATTTTCACATTTCATACAGCAACTGATGAACTAGGCTGGAAATACACTTTTTACTGGCTTAACAGAGAAGAAAACAAAGCTTAGGGAGACTGATTATGCAGGATTTAATTTGTAACAAGCAAAGAGAACACTATTGACTTCAAGTGGACATCAACACATTATCATCTGATAATTTTTCCAGCATCCTTTGCCTCATCTGTTAAATTATAAACTAATGCTGATGTGTACAATTCAGTTCAGCTTCACAAATATTTAATGAACACTCGCTCTATAACAGGTATTATTATATAAATAGTTCTTTATGATGTAAGAATGTTTAATAGATACTTTTTATCCATTCAACTTTGAAAGGCTAATGCCTATTCATAGATACCAGGAAACACTTGAATGAATGAAGACATGTTTTCTGCTGTCAAAGAGAGATCAGACACCAACAAGTGGCCAAGAAAGAACAAAGTAATTTTGATCAACAAAACTTATAGAAGAAAATAAGCATTCTTTGTTGTTACATATACTTCAGAGCCATTTTAGTGCTCAAAGTTTGATAGAAATTGATACACAGGACTTGCGCCTCTGAATTGGCTATCCCGGAATATTCTATGAGCTACAACCAGATTTAACATTAACCTGTAGTTACTTGTGGTTTATTCATCTATCCACCTAAACACTATGAGCAACTTCAATGTGCTCTTCATGGTACTCGACTTTAGGCATTGTATATGGAGCAAAATAGACATATTTTCTTATTTATTGTGGCTTATACTCAGATGCAGCATTTCTTCACCAGTGGTAATTTTGCTCCTGGGGACATTTGGCAATGTGTGGAGACAGTGAAGGTTGTCATGACTGGGTCTTGCTTCTGGTGTCTAATGGGTAGAGGCCAGAACTCCTTCACAATAAAGAACTATCTGACCAAAGAATATCAGCAGTGCCAAGGTTGAGAAACTCTTCTAACGGTTGGAGAAAAATGATCAATGGATCACCTACAATTATAATTACAAACTGAGCTATGTGTTAGATGCTAGTAGAGCTGATTTCCAAGGTTACTGATCTAGTCATGAGGATACATATTGATACTAAGGACATGTGGTTGAAGGGGCAGGAGTGATTTATTAGGGTAAGAAGTTCATGGTGAGCAGAGGGACTGTCATGCAAAGACTCTAGGGCTTGAAGGAGCCCAGTGCAATCAGGATCTGAAGTGACAGGTGTGGCTTGAGAACAGAGGCAACAGGGAGTTAGGCAGAAGGGGAAGCTGGAAATGCAGGCAGGGGTAGAAAATAAAAATATGCCAGCCATTTATATTACACAATTCTGTAGACTTCTTTCTTCTTTCATTCTTGATACTTTTCTATAATAACATTCAAGCATTGGATCAGCACCCTTTGTTGTCTTCTGTAGCCCAAAGGTTGACCTTGGAGACACAAAGGCAACTATGACAATGGTTTCTGCAATAGGGAGATCACATTCTCACTCAGAAGACATTTGCAGGGTGTGATTAGTGATTCTCACATACATGTCAATTTCTTCCTAAGACCTTGTGCTTTTTTAGTTTTTATTTTAATATTATTATTGTTATTTATATAGTTTATTTGAGAGAATTTTGCTCTGTCACACAGACTGGAGACCAGTGTTGTGATCATAGCTCATTGCAGCCTCCAACTCCTTGTGTCAAGCAATCCTCTTGCCTCAGCCTCCCAAATAGCTGGGACTACAAGCATCCACCACCACATCCAGCTTATTGTTTTATTTTTTGTAGAGAAGGCCACCTCTACAACTTATGTTGCCCAGACTGGTGTCAAATGCCTGGGCTCAAGCATTCCTTCTGCCTGAGTCTACCAAAGTGCTGGGATTCTAGATGTGAGCCATGAAACCCTACCTTCTGGTTTTTAATTGGCTTATTTTCTTCGCACATTTCAGTGAAGCATTATTCATTTATCGTTACTGAGGTTTTACTTTTTTTTTTCTTTCCCAGAGTTAGATTTCAGACAACTCACCTTTGTTACCAATTTGAAATGCTAGGTGTCAATTCTTAATATAGTTGTAAAGGGCCATGACTTGAGGATATGTTATTTTTTTGGGCTTGAGTTTGGATTGGTTTGAGTTGAATGCAATTGCTAAGCCATTGAATAAGGGAACATTGCTGAACTAGAGTGACATGGATTATTTCTTATAGGTGAGAGTGCATTTGTGATAAAGTCATTGTTTTAGGATACATAAGGGTCATGGTGTATTTTCTTGGCTAGTGCTATGAATTCATTTGTGCTATTTCTTTTGAATTTTTGTATTTCTCTACTCTCCATCTTATTAAACCAGGTGTTTCAGGTTTGAGGTTCTGCACATTTTTCTCTGGGGTTACACAGAGGGACTAAATAGGTGGAGTTTAGGGTAAGGGGATATTCACAGTCCTGCCCTCCTGCAACCACAGCAACACCCCAAAGTCTCTCATAAGACTGTATTTGTTCTCCTACTTACATTCTTTGACCACTATTATGAACGTTTTCAATAGTCTATCCAATGAAAACAATGTTGTCAATGACTGTCTTTAGTAAGTCTGTAGTCAGATTCATATCTTTAAAATATGTACACTGTGTGAATATTTCAAAGTATATATCATGAAAATAAATAAGAAAAAAAAAACAAGAAAGCTGAGATAGCTCTATTAATATTAGACAAAGATACCTTCAAGAAAAGGAGTATTTCCATAATAAAAGAGAGATAGTCATAATGATACAAGGAAGAATCCACCTGACATAACTAATAATTTTAATTTGTGTACACCTAATAAGAGAGCTGTAAATTACACAATTAGACAGCAATAAATGCAAAGAAAGACCCATCAATAATGATAGTTGGAGATGTTAAGATGTTACCAAAATAGATGAAAGATGAAGTTGGAAAACACACACACACACACACCCCCACACACACAGATACATACACACATAAATACAGGGAGGATACACACACACACATACATGCAGGGAGGATATGAAAATTTTCAACAACACTTTCAATGCCCTTGGCAAGTTTGTACTTTGAGTCCAACCTCCCTTCACAATTCAACAAAGAGACAAACAACCCACAATTTTACTGCATTTCATGCTTAGGTTCCCGGTGTCTCAAGGCCTCTGGCCAGCCATGTGTGTACAGGAACACACACACATCAAATAAACAGAAAAATGAATGTATAATCGCAGACTGTGATTAACACCATAGATGAAAATCAGAGAGGGTGTGCAGTCATTAACAGGCAAGCTGACCTCACCTTTGATACAAAGACACAATGGTGTTCAGGCGAAAAGCAATGAATAGGTGTTACCCAGTTGGGGAGATAAGAATGGTGTTGTAAGAGTAAGGTAAATTTGTGCATAGGATTCCAGTTGGCACAGATTTTTTAGTGCAGAAACAGGAAGTGGAAGAGGGACAGGGTTGAGGATGTATAATTCAACAGATCATTCAGGTCCCTGTTGGAGAACTTTAAGCAGGGCTCTGTCAAAGTCAGTTTGGTCATTTTGATAGATGACTCTGGGTGGGGAGTGATGGCAGAATGAGATGGACACATATTAGGCAGTCACTTTCATCTAGCAGAGACACTGACAGCCTGGACCATAATGACGAAGATGGAGAAAAGTTATATGAACCTATTTGAGAGATATTTCAGAAGGAAACCAAAGATGTGATACTGAGTTACCTGGAATGTGGGAAAGGAATGGAAAGTTGGATGACCTTTCCATCTAGTTTCTGTGTAGATTCTGTGCATGATCCCTTGGCTTAAGACATAAGCACTGTGAGATTACAGATAATCTATGTATAGGTTCATGTAAAGAGTTTTCCCTTTTCTTAGATTTCCATCTAAATTGAGATTATTGTCTTTCACTGCATGTAATCTCATTACTACCTGATTTGGAATGCTATTTCCTTATACAAGCATGTTGTGAGAATAATGCTTGGTGCCAAATGTTACGCAAATAGTATTGATTTAAATGTGGTAACATAGATAACTGTTAACATATGTACAATAGATAACACAAGTATATAACATATAAATATCATATAATAAATGCTAATTAATATAAATGAAATATACTGGGGAGGAAAATCTGAAAGGTGTTAATGACTTAGGGACCTTATCAATATATATCAATCATTCTCACACTGTTATGAAGAACTACCTAAGCCTGGGTAATTTATGAAGAAAAGAGGCTTAATTGACATGCAGTTCTTCATGCTGTATAGGAAGCATGGCTGGGAGGCCTCAGGAAACTTACAGTAATGATTAAAGGTGAAGGGGTAATAAGCACATCTTACCATGGCAGAGCAGGAGAGAGACCGAGCCAAGGGGGAAGTGCTACACACTTTTAAACAACCAGATTTTGTAAGAACTCATGACCACCGGAACAGCCAAGAGGAAATCCACCCCTATTATCCGGACACCTGCCACCAGGTCATTCCCCCAACATTGGGAGCTACAATTCGATATGAGATTTGTGTGGTGATATACAGCCAAATGACAACATAACCTCTCATAATGCTATTTCCTTCATGATAAATATCCTTTGAGGACAAAATGTCATTCAAAATGTGATAATAATGTTGATAATAATTAATGCAAGCCTAATAAACATTCTCTGTATACATTTTGTAATACATTATAATATGAATTATATTCAGTAATAATTTCACTTAAAGAATAATTTAAAATATAACAGGCAGATAACTATAGGTAATAGTTTAAAACATAACACTAAAACTTGCATGGTTTTGGTATTTCAAATTTTACGTGGATTCTACTATATTTTCAAGGACACAACGAACATAACTGAAGGCAAACCTTGAAATTTTACTTTCTTAAATCTGATTACTTTCTTAAATTTTACTTTCTTAAATGTGATGAGTTGTGTTAATTTATTTGGAATAATTAAACTCGGCATTATATATTCTTTTTTATGATGTCATTAATAATGTTTAAAAGTCAATAACACATCTATTGCTACTTTGGTTAAAAGCTACATAGATAGTAGTAGCTATGGTACTTGGATGAAGAAAGCTGAAGTTTATTATTTTTTCTTTCTAATTTTAATCCCTAAGGGTCTTTGATAAAAGACTTACACAAACCCCCCTTTAGTAACCTAATCTTGTAAAATAATCCTGTTCTTAAAATGGTGATAGAGATTTGCTTGGTTTATGCTACGTAACACCATAATAACACATTAAGACTTGATTCTCTTTATATCATGGAGCAACTCAGGTAGTGTTACAAAGTGCTGTTACTCAATAAATGTGGTGAAGAGCAAGCTCTCCAGAGCAGTGCCATGCCTGTGTCTGATGCTTTCCAGTATGGAAAACTGCTCAGATACTAATGGTTTGTTTCAGGCGCATTGACAGCCTGATCATAGGCTCTAGCCATGTACCATGAAAAATGGCTTCTCCAGGGGCTTAAGAAAGACGATGAAGAGCTTTGCATTTTCTCTTGGCATTTCCTGCTATTGTTAAAAAGGTCACATATGCAATTTAAAAATGTTCCATGCATGGAGCATGACAAATGCCATGTAGAAGATAAAACTGCTTTCATTGACATTTTTGGCCAATTTCCAAACGGTACCATTTTCCACATTTTCCCCTTTGTGGATTTGCAAAATTTGGCTTGTGCAAAATGCCTGCCCACAATACAGTCTAAGTTGAGAAATGCTACATGTTAAAAAGCAAACTGTGTATAGATGAAAATGGCACATTCAGAATAAAAGTAAGAAATTAAATGCCACCAAAAAATAGGGAAAAACTTGTAAATGAGTCTATCAAAACTATTAAGGAATCTCAAAATGAAAGAAAGGCTTAGAACTCATCAATAACAATGTCCAATTGCATTCATATGTAAAGAAAGTAAAATCAACTTTATGTTATTTTAGTTCACTTTATTTTATTCTTATTATCCTTTTACCTAGTTGAATGGCAAAACTAAATTTAGTTATCTTTGGGCATTGAAAAATGAGTACTCTCACAGTTTGATAGATGGAGGAAGAATTAAGGTAGAGTTTTAGAATTTGAGTATTATACAATAAAATTTAAAAAGAGACCCACTTTACTCCTCTGGAAGCACTTTTGCTTCCAGGAACCTATCCCACAGATATATGCAGAAAGATGTATGTACATAGATGATCATTGCAACTGAAATTTATCTCATCAGGAAAACGTGTAAATGAATTTTTTTGAGCACTTAGAATACTAAAACTATCTTTCCCTTGAAATTGTAGAGGCAAAGCAAAATGGGAAGGCAGAGAATAATACATAAATTTATGTAAGCATGTATACATACTGGTATATACACATAGATATGAATGCACAATTGTATGCATAGACATATGTATACATACATGTGTGTGTAGGTGTATGCTTTTGTGTAGATTTGTATACAAATATGTATATTTTACTGCACAGAAAAATGTCAAGAAATAAATTATTAGCAATGTTTAGAATGGGACTATGTTACTGTGCCCTTACAGAGAGGCCTTGATTGGCAGAGAAAATGAAAACTATAACTGCTCCTATACTTAAGAATTTTTAAAATCCTTTGTAATGAGTTTGAATAATTTATTTATATTACAATTATGCAAATCTTCTATGTGTGTATAAGAAGCCATTAGAAAAAGATGGTTTCATGTGATAGAGGAAACTAGCATAAGTTAGAATTTTGACTCAGCTGATGAGAAAGTATTTGCCCAAAGCAATCTAATCAAAGCTCTGTTGCATGAGCCTGGTGTGGTGAGTCACACCTGTGACTGCTTTGTTTGGGAGACCAAGGAGTGAGGATCACGTGAGACCAAGAGTTCAAGACCAGGCTGGTCAACATAGTGAGATCCTTTCTCTACAAAAAGTTTAAAAAATTAGCTGGCCATGGTAGCTCATGCCTTGGGTCTCAGCTATGCAGAACGCTGAGGTGGGAGTATTGCTTGAGTCCAGGAGTTTGAGGGTGCAGTGAGCTATGATCAAACCACTGCACTCCAGCCTGGGCAACAGAACAAGACCCCATCCTTTAAAAAAAAAAAAAGAAAAAGAAGAAAGAAAAACGCTGGGCATGGTGGGTCACACCTATAATCCCAGCACATTGAGAGGCCAAGGTGCGTGGATCACTTGAGGTTGGGAGTTTGAGACCAATCTGACCAACATGGAGAAACCCCATCTCTACTAAAAATACAAAATTAGCCAGGTATGGTGGCCGGTGCCTGTAATCCCGGCTACACAGGAGGCTGAGGCAGGAGAATCTCTTGAACCCAGAAGGTGGAGGTTGCAGTGAGCCAAGATTGTGCCATTGCACTCCAGCCTGGGTAACAACAGTGAAACTCCATCTCAAAAAAAAATAAAAATAAAAATAAAATAAAAATTAAACACTTTGTTGTGTGGAAAAAAGACATATAGTTAAACAAATATAACCAGCCCCTTATTTCTGAGGAGAAAGACTGATGCATTGTAGAAAGGATAATACAATTTTGAGATTTAGGTAAGGACTATCAGAATTTCCAGGAAGCTCTGCTGTGGTTCATTGTTACAGGGAAATTACTCAAGGGAATATATGACTTGGAATCATTTTGCTTTTTTGTTACATTTCCTATTATTCATTGCTTCTTTGGACTGGTGAGAAGCCTCTCAGAGAAATAAGGAATACTGCACATCCTCCATATTTTCTCAGCTTTTGAAAATTAAGTTTTATACACTTAAGGGCAGCCACAACACATGAAAACATTTTATGCTGGGCGCGGTGGCTCATGCCTGTAATCCCAGCACTTTGGGAGGCCGAGGTGGGAGGATTACGAGATCAGGAGATAAAGACCATTCTGGCTAACATGGAGAAACCCTGTCTCTACTAAAAATACAAAAAAATTAGCCAGGCGTGGTGGCGGGCACCTGTAGTCCCAGCTACTCTGGAGGCTGATGCAGGAGAATGGCATGAACCCAGGAGGGGGAGCTTGAAGTGAGCAGAGATTGTGCCACTGCACGCCAGCCTGGGTGACAGAGCGAGACACAGTCTCAAAAAAAAAAAAAAAAAAGAAAAGAAAAAAAAAAGCTCATGGGTAGGAAGAATCAATAACATGAAAATGGCCATACTGCCCAAGGTAATTTACAGATTCAATGCCATCCCCATAAAGCTACCAATGACTTTCTTCACAGAATTGGAAAAAGCTACTTTAAAGTTCATATGGAACCAAAAAAGAGCCCGCATCGCCAAGGCAATCCTAAGACAAAAGAACAAAGCTGGAGGCATCACACTACCTGACTTCAAACTATACTACAAGGCTACAGTAACCAAAACAGAATGGTACTGGTACCAAAACAGAGATATAGATCAATGGAACAACAGAGCCCTTAGAAATAATGCCGCATATCTACAACTATCTGATCTTTGACAAACCTGAGAAAAATAAGCAATGGGGAAAGGATTCCCTATTTAATAAATGGTGCTGGGAAAACTGGCTAGCCATATGTAGAAAGCTGAAACTGGATCCCTTCCTTACACCTTATACAAAAATCAATTCAAGATGGATTAAAGACTTAAACGTTAGACCTAAAACCATAAAAACCCTAGAAGAAAACCTAGGCATTACCATTCAGGACATAGGCGTGGGCAAGGACTTCCTGTCCAAAACACCAAAAGCAATGGCAACAAAAGCCAAAATTGACAAATGGGATCTAATTAAACTAAAGAGCTTCTGCACAGCAAAAGAAACTACCATCAGAGTGAACAGGCAACCTACAAAATGGGAGAAAATTTTTGCAACCTACTCATCTGACAAAGGGCTAATATCCAGAATCTACAATGAACTCAAACAAATTTACAAGAAAAAAACAAACAAACCCATCAAAAAGTGGGTGAAGGACATGAACAGACACTTCTCCAAAGAAGATATTTATGCAGCCAAAAAACACATGAAAAAATGCTCATCATCACTGGCCATCAGAGAAATGCAAATCAAAACCACAATGAGATACCATCTCACACCAGTTAGAATGGCAGTCATTAAAACGTCAGGAAATAACAGGTGCTGGAGAGGATGTGGAGAAATAGGAACACTTTTACACTGCTGGTGGGACTGTAAACTAGTTCAACCATTGTGGAAGTCAGTGTGGCTATTCCTCAGGGATCTAGAACTAGAAATACCATTTGACCCAGCCATCCCATTACTGGGTATATACTCAAAGGATTATAAATCATGCTGCTATAAAGACACATGCACACGTATGTTTATTGCGGCATTATTCACAATAGCAAAGACTTGGAACCAACCCAGATGTCCAACAATGGTAGACTGGATTAAGAAAATGTGTCACATATACACCATGGAATACTATGCAGCCATAAAAAATGATGAGTTCATGTCCTTTGTAGGGACATGGATGAAATTGGAAATCATCATTCTCAGTAAACTATCACAAGAACAAAAAACCAAACACCGCATATGCATATTCTCACTCATAGGTGGGAATTGAACAATGAGATCACATGGACACAGGAAGGGGAATATCACACTCTGGGGACTGTGGTGGGGTGGGGGGAGAGGGGAGGGATAGCATTGGGAGATATACCTAATGCTAGATGAGGAGTTAGTGGGTGCAGCGCACCAGCATGGCACATGAATACATATGTAACTAACCTGCACAATGTGCACATGTACCCTAAAACTTAAACTATAATAAAAAAAAATGGCATAAACCTTTAAAGCCACAAAATAAAATAAAATAAAATAAAATAATAAATTCCCTCAAAAAAAAAAAAAGAAAAGTTTATTTCTTCCTCAAACCTTCTTTACCTAGCCTCACTCAAACCAACTCTTAATTTTTCCTTTTTTTTTTTTTTTTTTTTTTCCCCAAAGCTATGCAGCTGACACGCATCTGCTCACTTGGCATAATTCAGTTGGCATCCAGTAAGTTTAAGAAATTCTATCTGGGATTCATGCAATCACAACCCACATCCAAAAAATAATAGCAGCACTTATAATAAATAATAATAGTGTTTTTTGTTTGTTTGTTTTTTTAGTATTCACATAGGTTTTCTCCCTGGATTTTCACAACATTGAAACAAAATAGACAAAATAAATGGGCTTCTCTTCAGCCCTGAGTTTTGCCTACTCTTAACCCTTTGGAGAAAAAATGGCACTGAGCTGTCAGTCAGTCGCCCTGTGGGAGAAGACACCAGTGTAGATGGCTTTCTGAATATATTGACTTGATTTCTATCACCAACAATGGCATATTCAGGCTGTGCTCCATGCCAGGTGCCATGTGGTCATGGAGTCTACCACACCAGAGGTATTCTCAGAAGTAGTATTGAAAACACATAGGCAAGCATTGCTTAAGACTGTATAAACATAAGCTCTGTCCAGACATGGAATACAGTCGGAGTTTGCTAGGATAATCCCAAATACCAATACATACCAGAAAACTTACTATAGCATGAGTATTGAAGGCAAAGATGCTTTTGGTATGTAACTAAAATAATAGCATGAACCCATCTTTTAGTGTGAATATTGAATAATTAATGTTACATACATGAAGCTAGCATGTACTGGAAGGACTCAAAGTAACTGAAAACTATACATTTCTTCACGCCATTTATTTAAGACTTCAGCTCCTTTACACAACCATACTCAGTTACCTTTTGCCTGTTCCTGACTTACTAAGGGAAGATGGTGTGGAGCTACAATTTATAATCCAGATAATGATTACTAGAGTCCATACTCTACCCTGAATACTGAAAACTGCAATAATGTCCCTAACTTAAACTTCCTCTTCTGTTTATCACTTCTTCCTTCCCTCTTTGATTGTTCTTCCATGAATCCTTGCAAGTCTCCAAGCACTGAGTATCCTTCCATCCACCAAATGTCTGATATAGATGGCTGGGTGTAACTTTAAGTCTCTCACTAAGATGATCGATTTTCTCCTCTGCTTGTGCTGGGCTCACCCTCTCATTTCTCAGCCAAGATATCGATTTATTGTGTCCCATAGCACTGCTAGCATTAATGGAATTATTGCATGGTTTGGCCTCATTTTTAGTGTGTGGTTTTTAGAAATATCTGAGATCTTAGTGTTGGTTTGCAATCTGTCTTAGTCCCTTCTGTGCTGCTATGAAAGAATACCTGAAACTGGTTTATAAAACAGAAATTTATTTCTCATAGTTCCAGAGGCTGGCAAGTCCAAGATCAAGGCACCATCATCTGGCAAGACCTTCTTGCACATCATCAAATGGCACAGGGGTAAAGAGCTGAAGAGAGAGAACCCACTCCTGCAAGCCCTTTTTGATAATGATATTCATCTATTCATGAATTTAATTAAATTCAAACTATTCATGTTCATTACCTAAACATCTCCCATTACCCACTAACCCACAAAACACTGTCTTATTAGGGGTTAATAATATTCATGACAATGCATGAATTCTAGGGACACATTCACACCATAGCAAAATCCATTTACACTCTCTCCTCATCAAGGTTTATGTGTTTTCCAAAGTGAGTCAGTTCAAGTTTTTTTGACCTTTCCTCTTTTGTTTTCATTAGATCTCATTTTTAGACTAACAGATTACTTTGTTCCTATAACTCATGTGTCTTTCAGAATCTGGGCCAGTTTCCACTACCCAAGTGGGATCTAGGAGTTAACCCCACCGTCAACCCAAGTACTCCTCCTGTGTCCAATGGCCAGTCAGCCTCAATCCTGTCTTCTCTTGAGTTATGACATATTTTTCACCTTCCATTAATAGTGAGTCTGTTGAAATAGGAATTTATACTTCCTTCTTTGTCCTCCATTTCCCCAAAATCCGTTCTCTATCCTTACAATTTTATGCTAATAAATCTCATTAAGGTATGACCAGTGATTTCTACATTGCCAAACCCAGTGGCGTCTTTTTAGTGATGATCCTATATCAATATGATAGGCACTTATCACTTGCAGAATTCTTATTCCTTTTCATTGTATCACTATGCTCTGGTTTTATTCTACAACTCTGAGAAGTTCTTTTGTATTTTCTTCTCTTACTATTCTTAAATGTTGACTTTTCTCAAGGTTTGTTCTTGACTTCATTCTGTATATTGTATGTCTGGGTAATTCATTGCATCTTCTTATCTTCCAACTATCTGCCTCTATGTGGATGATTCTTGAGTCTTTATTTTCAGCCCAGGCCACTAGCTTCATTCAGTTACAGTGTTTGTAATTTTAGCTCCTGTTAGAAATCTCTAGTTGAGTGTCACATATACACTTCAAACACAACACATTCAAATACTGAGAAATACTCTTCCTCTAAAACCTATTCCTCACTTTGCACCCTCCTGTTGGCTAAAGGTGCCCCACATCCCAGAGTGTCCAAGATAAAAACTGATTTTACTTCTCTTTTCTCACCACTTATGTAAATAGATATCTGCCTCTCATCATTTCTGCCCTGCAAAACATCCCTAGCTATGTGCTTTCTGCCTGTGGCCCACTGTGACAGCTTCCTTCTCTCAGTTTAGATTGTTATGCAGTCCATTACTCTTCTGCCTCCTACCATCAGGCTACTATTGGAGTCATCTTCCTGATTCTTACATTCGATGACTTCAATGGTTAAGTGATGCATTGCAATCTTTCTTATATGATTTTCTGCTGCTACAACAGAATACCTGAAACTGTTATAAAAAATAGAAATGTATTTCTAATAGTTCCAGAGGCTGACAAGTCCAACATCAAAGCACCATCATCTGGCTAGTCCTTCTTGCACCATCATCTGGCAAGACCTTCTTGCACAAAGGCAAACAACTCAAGAGAGTGAACCCACTCCTGCAAGGTCTTAAAAATGTATCATGGCAAAATTTCTTGAGTGGCCCCCTTTTTACCACCTGAGAAAACCTAAAACCCTTGGGACAGCATAGAAGACTCCTTAATCTGCTCATGTCTCCCTTTTCCAGTGTTAGCTCCTTTTGCTTTCTTTTGTATACCTTGTGCCCTTGCCCATTGAAACAAACAGCTCACAGTTCCCCGAGCATACCTGCCTTTCTACCTGCCTGGGAGCTGCCTTCTAATAGGCTGTATATAGGCTGTATCTTGATGACTTCCTCTCAACTCTCCCTCTGGAAAGGTCCCAGTCATTCATTTGTTAAGGCCCAGTGAAAATTTATTTCCCTTCACAAAATATTTTTAGGTATACATATATATGCATATGTATGCTATCTGTCTATTAGATATATCTTCTTTTTGGCCTTTATTTTTTTATTTTTTTTATTTTTTTGCAATAGAGTTTCAGTCTGACACCCAGGCTGGAGTGCAGTGTCATGATCACTGCAATCATGCAGCCTTGACTTCCTGGGCTCAAGCAATCCTCCCACCTTAGCCTTCCGAGTATCTGGGAATACAGGTGCATACCACCATGCCCAGCTAATTTTTATATTTTTTTGTGGAGACAGAGTCCCATTGTATTACACAGTATGGTATCAAATTTCTGGGCTCAAGCAATCCTCCTGCATCATCCTCCTAAAGTGCTGGGATTACATGCCTGTGGCCACTGTGTCTGGCATTATCCTTGTTAATTTAATGCCTACCTCACTTGTCTTTTTCAAATAATACTTAATGAATGATTTCTGGATTGATACATCCATGAATGAAATGATAGTTTGCCAAAATACAGAATATTAGAGCCTTGGTGTCACCTTGAGATTATTTAGATCAGAAAAGGGGATTTTTTTATATTAGAAGGTTATTCACTGTATTATTTTTAAAAAGTTTATTTATCTCAGGTGTGTTAATTGTTGAGAATGTAACAGAAAATAAGATATGAATGGTCTAAGTGTTTAGGCATTATAATAAAGTTGAAGAAATGAGAAGAAATCCCATGGTGTTTCTTCTCATGCATTGATAATAAAACTTCTTTATTGATTGCAACTGTACATTGGCAGCACCGCCCCAAAACTGGAAAATAAGATCAAATTCTCCTTTGTTCTTCTTTCATCACCTTGCATTTTTATTTTCTTGGGCTTATTGTTATGAGTTTGGTTTCTAGCTTTTACAGCATAAGAAAGAAGTGGAAATCAAGACGGAAAGAAGTTACTATAGTGAGAAGGTGTCATGTCCTGCAGGCCAGTCATCTCAGAGTCTGACTGCAACACCCATGACATAGGCCATTCTTTTTCTTGCCCACGACCCTTTCCAAACTAATATCACCAGACTTATATTCCTGTCCTCTTTATAAATGGGGGCTGTTGTCTAGCAGGCTAGCTTACCGGAAAAAGGACTTTCTCAGACGTGCTTTCTCATCCTGATGGTTTCCTTTACCAGAAGTGAGGCTGCAAGCTTCAGCATGCGTTTATAACAAAAAAGAGAGATTGACTTTTTTCATTTAAATTCCATGTTTCTGCTTGGCATAGTGGCTTATGCCTGTAATCCCAGCACTTTGGGAAGCTGGGGTGGGAGAATCGCTTGAGAACAGGAGGAGTTCATGACCAGCCTGGGCAACATAATGAAACTACTGTCTCTACAATATAGTTTTTTTCTGAGACAAGATCTCACTCTGTTGCCCAGTATGGAGTCCAGTGGCACAATCTCAGCTCACTTCAGCCTTAGCCTCCCAGGTTCCAGTGATCCTCTTGCCTCAGCCTCTGGAGTATCTGAGACCACAGGTGTGCACCACCATGCCCAGATATATATTTTTTTATTTTGGTAGAGATAATTTTTTTATCTTTTTGTAATTGTTGCATTTTTGCCATGTTGGCCAGGCTGGTCTTGAACTCCAGACCTCAGGTTGTCTACCTGTCTTGGCCTCTCAAAATGCTGATATTACAGTGTAAACCACTGCGTCTGGCCTCTGAAATTTTTTTTCCAATTAGTGTGCTTGTAGTCTCAGCTACTTAGGATGGTGAGTCAGAAGGATTGCTTGAGCCTAGGAGTTTGAGGATACAGTGAGCTGTAATCACCCCACCCTGGGTGACATAATGAGATGCTGTCTCTATAAAAAAATAAACAAGTTATAAATTTTCACATAATCATAAACATGTGATGATGTGGATACTTCATTTTCACATTTAGGTCTTTAATACAGTGATACCTTCTCTTTGGGCAACAGTCATCTTCACTCTCTACTGTGTTGATAAAGTTTCCACTTTGCCCTTGAAGATTTTGTGGCTTAGGAGGAAACAATTAAAGGGATGTCCTTCAGCAGAACAGCCACCCTGTTTAGGAAGAAACTAATTATTGTGTGAAAGGGACAGGGTGATGTTATTGGGTAATGATAGTAAGAGATAAAACCAGTTCTCTTGAGCTGTTACTTAGATTCCATAACTGAGGCTGATTTTGCATCCTTGGCACTAGATGTTATTCAGCTGACAGCCATGGATTCCCAGGGGTTCCAAGAAACCCCCAAACTATCTGTCACCTTTATGAGTAGGTAAGAATGTATTTTTCTTGGAGAGGAGTATCTCCTCAAAGAAGTCTGTGATGTAGAAGAAAAGATGAAAAATCTCTGCTTTGGATTCGGAATGTCAGGACTACTCACTTTGAACTTAAGGAGAATTTCTTCTTAGTATGTACGAGATTAAACCATATGGGGTTGCCATTTTCTTAGACCCATATAGTCATTTTCATATGGCTTTTATTTGGACAATAAGATCATTGTGTAGTCCTTTTTTCCTTTTTTCATCTCTCAAACTTTTTCTCCTCTTGGGCATATTGTTCCAGGTTTCCTTTGTGGTTTCTAGATCATAAGCATTCATGCAGTCACATTACATTCCCTCCTAAATTGTAAGCTCTCCAAAGAGAGGGGATATAGCTGCTTTATGTTCTCACCCAACTTTGAGTAGGGACAATAGCAGGAAACAGAAAGCATTTTCACAGAAAGGATGGAGTCCATTTGTGTCATATGGATCTTGTTTGAAACTTTACCTGTGTGGCCTGGGGTGAATTAATACAGCTGTCTTTAAAATCTAGAACTGAAACCTCAGCGGATTGCCATAAGGATTCCCAGAAGTTAGGAGCTCCTCAGTAAATATAAGTATCCTATTCTCTTGTGTAATGAAGCTGACCCACAGGATGATGCCAATTATATCCTTGGTATTATAAGCATATGAACAACAGTTCATATTTATTGAGGCCTCACTATGTGTAAGACACAATTGTGTGCTTTGGGATATTTGCTCATACATGAAACAAATGTTTAAATAAAACAGCGTGCCCCACACTGGAGATGCAGCTGTCATTAGCATTGACACCTTCCCAGTATCATGGTGCCCATGTCTCCATGTGGGTTAATCTAAAGATAGGCTCAGGCATATTAAATTGGGAAGGTTGTCTTAGGATAATTCAAGCAGGATTAAGTCAATAGTGAATGAAGAGCTAGATTAAATGGGGAGTTTGGGACATGCATCTCTGCTAGATGAATTTGAGCAGGAAACATAGGCAAGACTTATCTGCTTTAGTTTTCACAGTAGGACCATGAGATTACACTACTGTTTATTAACTCTATTACAGAGATGTGGAAACTGAGATTAGGATGATTGAATAACTCAGCCAGATTAGGAATAGGGCTGGTAGTCTTTAATGCAAGTCTCATGGGCTATGCTGCACATACTCTTAACAACTTGCTACCTTCATGGTAAAAGCGAAGAACCAACCCAATTCCCTTTGCCATTCCATTCTTGCTATATTAGCCTATTTTCACACTTTTATAAAGAAATACCTAAGACTGGGTAATTTACAAAGGAAGAAGGTTTAACTGATTTACAGTTCCGCATGGCTTGGGAGGCCTCAGGAAACTTACAATCATGGCAGAAGGTGAAAGGGAAGAAAGGCACCTTCTTCACAAGGCAGCAGGAAGGAGAGAAGTGCTGAGGAAAGGAGGAAGAACCCCGTATACAACCATCAGCTCTCATGAGAACTCACTCACTATCATGAGAACATTAGGGGGGAACTGCCCCCATGATCTAAACACCCCCCACAGGGACCCTCCCCCAACACATGGGGATTACAATTTGGATTACAATTCTAGATGACATTTGGGACAGGACATAGAGCCAGACCACATCACCTACCATTTAATTAGCTTACTCAACTATCCTGCAAACATTCCTTAGGGAGCAAAAGGGACACACTCATAAATGGTTTTAACGTATTTTAAAAGTTATCAATATTGTAGTTTAATCATAATTTTTAAAATGGTGCATCTCATGTCATTGGCTAGGATCAGCAGATTACATGCTGTATCTTGGGGTCAATAATTGCTGCAAGCACTTTATTGGAGTTGCTGTTAGTAGTCATGCTGTCTACTTTGTCCTTTCTTCTCCCATTTCAACCAACCTGGCAGGGATTGACCTCAGTAGTGAGTTGCTAGACATCAGGAGAAGTCAGAAGTAAGTGGAAGAGGGCCTGCTGTCTAGAAGAACCTCCCCCCACCCGCCTGGCCCATTGCAGTGACAACACAGATGCATGGGAGTAGGTTAAATAATTCTTCTCTCATTGATCCATTCATTCATCTTTCATCCATGAATTAACTATTCATGACTGATTGTTGTTGACTCTGAGCATACCACAACAAAGAGGATGCACAAACTGTCCTGCTGTTACTTTAGTTATGGGGACAGAAGATAAAGCAGTGATCAAATGCATGAAGGACAGAATTTCTGATTGTGATCATAGTTTTGAGGGAAATGAAGCAGTGATAACATCTAACGTGGGTTATGAGGATCTCTGAGATGGAGTGTCCAGGGCATGTCTTTTTGAGGGTGAGGAATTTAAGCATCCCAGACACAAGTTCTGACCCAAACATTAGCCTTTTCATTGTGAGAAAGGGCCTCAGGAAATTTAATAAATGTAATGGTAGGAATTCACGATAACACTACAAGAAACCAAGCTTTGTTTGTGAATGGTGGGGTTAGAAGGGGTTTGTTGCTAGAAATCCCATTTGCAGGTTCTCAGGCTGGGGTTGAAGTAGAAGCAACAATCTCTTGTCTTTTGCCAAGCAAAGAACAGTCCCTGGTATCTGGCAAAAGAGAAGTATCTTCCTCTGAATCCTGGTGTTGGCCATAAGCCAAAGTTCTATATTAATTTTCCTTTTTGGTTGAGTTGGGAAGCAGTTGGATGATTAGCTAATTTTTGCTGAAATAGAAGGAAGGCAGATTAAAAATATAGAAAATAACTCCTATTTAATGATTAAAAAATGAGATTAATCAGACAAAGTTGTAATGAAAGGTGAAATAATTTTGTTTTATAAAACTGTAAAATTTTAGGCTGGGCATGGTGGCTGACACCTGTAATCACTTTGGGAAGCTGAGGTGGGAGGATTGCTTTAGCCCAGGAGTTCAAGGCCAGCCTGGTCAATATAGGGAAACTACATCTCTACAAAAATTATAGAAATTAGCCAAGCATCATGGTATGTGCCTATGGTCCCAGCTACTAGTTAGTCTGTGGCAAGTAGAATTGCTTGACCCTGAGAGATCAAGGGTACAGTGTACTCTGTCCTGGTTGATAGAGTGAGACCCTGTCACACATACACAAAAAAACTATAAAATTTTCATATGTAATAATATTGAAGCTAAAGTGGAAAATGTCATAAAATATATTTTAATCCTATGGTATAAATTTCTCTCTGTTCATTAGTTACAAAAATTTGAGCATAAACACTTTCAAATACAAACCTGTGCAAATGTCATAGATGGCAGGTGGTATATCACTTTATATATTTAAGCTGTATGTGGGAATAAAAGGATAAAAATAAAAGTTAAATTTAAAATTCTAATGAAGGAACATATTAGAACTACATTATGGAGGACTTTGTTCATTTATGGTCTGAGCACAGATGATGCTAAACATGGGTTGTCAACTTCAGTTGGCATCCATTTAAAATGAACACACTAAACACCTTGAGAAGAAACTGCATGAAAAGTAAAGAGCATTATCCAAGTGAACTTCATATCTCATCATTTGCCTGTGTTTATATATTAATAAATACCTACGTAATTGGTTTAATTAATCAGTATTTTATTTTGGTGTTGAAATAATGAGTGGCTGAGCATGCCAGATGTATTCATCTGATACATTCTTCCAGTCACAGGGTAGGCTGCATTAGGTGGTAATGCTTTACCCTGAATTCATCTGTAAGTTATGAAGGGAAGTCCATAACTCTGATCTCAGAGCATTTATTCCATTGTTGATAAGCCAAGCTGTTGCTCTCACTTAGTTGTTAAGGAACAAGGCTAACTGGACCTTGATATGTAAAGTATGTAAAATGTGTCCTTTCACGAAACTCTGAAACAAACAATGAGAACAACCAGAAAAAAATGCTAGAGTCATACAAAAGCTGTCTCTATTTTTTAGTGATCATTCCTCAAGCTCTTGTCAGCCACTGAGTGACCATAGATGGATTTGCAGTTGTTGCCAGTGTGGCTGATTTTGATAGGACTAACATAGGACCAGTGTAGGGAGCTATTTATTAAGATGTTTTTGTTAGTCAGTGTTTACATTTTGGGTGTTCTCTGATAACATACATTAATTCCTATTGCAGTATTTAATAAAGTGTAACTGTGCCTGTTCCACATGTCTAAACATATTCAAATATGGAGACTTTGTTTTGGTCTCTATTGCAGATACTAAATATCATATTGTAATTAGAGCTATACAGAGATTTAGCATGTAAGACTGGCAAGTCTTAGAGGCTAGCTTTTGTGATTCAGTAAGAAGGTGGTGATTGGAGTGAACAAATCACGTGGGGCACAATTTTGTGTTTCTGGCTTGAGTGACCAGTACTTTCCTCTTCCCTGCCTCAGTGCAATTTCACATTGTCTTCATTTTGTGAGATCACCCTGTGTCTTAGCCCATTTAGTTTTGCAATTAAGGAATCTCTGAGACTGGGCAACATACAGAGAAAAGAGGTTTATTTGGCTTATGGTTCTGCAGGCTGTACATCAATCATGGCATCAGGATCTGCTTCAAGGGTACAGATCCTAGTGAGGGCATCAGAAAGCTTGCACTCACGGTGGAAGGTGAAGAGGAGCTGGTGTATGCAGAGATTACATGTCAAGAGAAGAAGCAAGAGAATGGGGGGAAGTATGTGCTAGGCTCTTTTAAACAATCAGCTTTGGGGGGAATGAAAAGAGCAATAATTCAGGTAATTCAGCAATTACCTCAAGGAGAGCATCAAGGTGCTCATGAGGCATCCACCTCTGTGACCCAAACACCTACCAACCAGGCTTCACCTACAACATTAGGAATCAAATGTCAACCTGACACTTGGAGAGGACAAACATCCAAACTCTAGCACTCTGTCTCCTTAGGTACATCTTTAATCTTCAGTGACTTACCTTCAGTGACTAAGTTCTCTTTGGAAAATGCAAATGTAGTCATGTTTCTTTTTTGCTTGTAATGTCTTACTGATTTCCTGTTCTTTATAGCTTCATGTTGCATCTTCATCAGTTGGTGAACCAGTTGATGAAGACAAGATCAGCATCCTGAAGTATCTTCTACACTTTACTTCAAGATTCTCAGAATGCATGTTAACTTTACTGCACAGTGCTGTTTGCCCTGGTCTGGTGTATCTCTGTTAACCCCAGTGCACTTTTCTCTGATCTTCCTAAGGCTCTTACCTTCTTAGTTCCTACGGCAGTATTTAATAAAGTGTAACTAGTGCCTGTTCCACCTTGTCATTAGTCGTTTCTGGGACTATCTTGCCTATATGAGTATGGGCTACTGTGGGCAAGTACAATGCCTGGCATGCAGCAAGCTCTCTATTAATGATTGTTTGGCTGCTAGAGTTCTCTTTGCTGTTTTCACATCCATTCTTTTGTCATCCTCTTTTCCCTAGTCGTCTTTCCCTGTACCTTTGCCCTTGTTTCTCCATGAATCAATATAAATAGTATAAGCTTTGTGCAAAACAGACCTTCACGCTTGTCTTATGTCTTCATTGCTTTCTTCTGCATACTAAAAGGCCATTACCTTCCTCTCTCTGACTCTCAATTTCCTAATCTGTATAATTTTGATAGTTATCTCCCCTGTCTGCTATTTCTGACGTTGGCGTGAACACGAATATGCGAAGTACCAGACTTTCACTCCTGTCTCATGATTGCATTGCCTTCTTCTGCATACTAAAAGGCCATTACCTTCCCTCTATGAGTCTCAATTTCCTCATCTGTATACTTTTGATAGTTGTTTCTACTGTCTGCCATTGCTGTGACAATGGCACAACTCAGATATGCAAAGTACCTTTGGGCTAAATGTGAACAAAACCTTCAACCTGCTGCATGATAATCTCACCTTTGCTTGACTGGCTAGCTCTGTTTTCTTGGTAGTTGGATGAAGAACATGCCAACAATGTTATGGACAATATTGCTTACAATATAGATGATCCCCTATTGGTAAATAGCATCATGGCCAGGAAAAACCATAAAGACTTGAAAGAACCTAGTGGGAATACCACCCCACCTCAGGCTTCCTGGAGGGCAAGTTTTGGAGTCACTTTGCAGCTGCTATGTTCACTCTAGGGACAATGGAAACTCTGCTCATGGAGTATTTACAGGGAATATTGGCTGCTGTGAAGGCTGGGACTTCAATGCCAAGGAATACCCAACTCCTGTGGATATGGACCTTATAGAGATCTTTGCATCTCAGCTAACCTTTGTGGAGTAGATGGTTCCCACATGCCAGCTGCAGCCTTCCTGATGAGCTGAGGGTCTTGTCTATATTGTTTTGAGTTGGTTGGCACCATGTTGACTTTGAGGAGTCTTGTTATTCTGCATGTTTAGTGTAACCTAAGAAGATCCTTACTGAATATTAAAGAGCAAAGACAAGTGTCCCTCTAACAGAATACTGGCTAAACAATTGGTATTCTCTCTGATGCTTCTTACCTGCTTGAAAGCTCTTTTCTTTCATCCTTCATAGTCACTTCTTACATCTGACACAACCTTCAGCTTTGCATTATTCCTTCATTATCTTTGTTTGCCCCACATTTCTTAAAAACATAGTTTTTAAATTGTGACCAAATGTACATGACATAAAATGTACCATTTTTATATGTACAGTTGAGGGGTATTAAGTGCATTCACATGGTTTTGCAAATGTACCTTTTTTTGGTCATCCTGTGTCCTTATTGTACTCTTTCCTGGTTTATGATGCAGTGTCTTATATATGATGTAATAAATGTCCCCTGGGTATCTCAGCCTTGTATACTCTGGTCTTCTGTTATATCATGTACACCTTGAGGGTAGAGATTGTGCCCTACTAATCTTCCTCCTTCATCACATGAAATATTGTCTCTGCACAGTAAATATTCTTCAGTCTCCTTTCTGTCATGTTTTTCTGTATACCATGACACTTATTTGCCAAGGATCACTTTGACCCTCTAGGCAAAATTTCACCATTGGTAACAATGCTAAAGTTCACATAAATCTTAAGTTGAATCTGAATTTTAAATATTTGAATATGTTTTGAGTCCCAAATTTGTCCAAAGCATAGCCACAGTGCCCAGCTATTTATTTTCTGAATTTTTTTTTGGTAGAGATTGGGTCTTGCTATGTTCCCAAGGCTGGTCTGGAACTCCTAGGTTCAAGCAACCCTCCCTCCTTGACCTCTCAAAGTATTAGGATCACAGATATGAGCCACCATACATGGCCAAAGTTTCATATTATTTTAGAAGGTGATGAGTGTTCTGAAGTGAACTAGAGAAGGATACGTGTTATCAGAGTTGCTGAGGAAGTTGCAGTACTTTAAGTAGGGTGATCAGTGACAACATCAATGAAAACAGAATGTGGCAGTCGAGAATTTAAAGAGTTAAGGGAAGAAGCCACGATGATATATGAGAAGGATGTTCCAGGCAGAGGGAAGAGCCAGTGCCAAGGCCCTGGGGTGGGAACATCCCTGTTCTCTTTAGCACAGAGCAGTGTAATTGTCTGCTCTCATGCTGCCAGTAAAGGTATACCCAAGACTGTGTCACTTATAAAGGAGAGGTTTAATAGTCTCACTGCTCTACATGGCTAGGGAAGCCTCACAATCATAGTGGAAGGCAAGGAGAAGCAAAGTCATGTCTTACATGGATGGCGGCAGGCAAGAGAGAGCATGTGCAGGGGAACTTTCCTCTATAAAACCATCAGATCTTATGAGACTTACTCACTGTCATGAGAACAGTATAGGAAATATCCATCCCCATGATTCTGTTACCTCCCATTACTTCCTTCCCACAATTATGGGAGCTACAATTCAATATGAGATTTGGGTGGGGACACAGCCAAACCATATCAAGCAGTAAGATACCTGTTGCCAGAAAAGAGTGAATAGTAGGTATCAGAGTAGAGCAACACTATTGAGATATTTGTAATTCTGAGAACCAGGAAGAACAAATGGAAAGATTTCACCTGATAAATCATGTGTCAGAGTGTGTTTTAAAGCAGGACTTTGCTTAGCTGAGGCTTACCTGTCAGGGCAAGGATGGGATGAGGGAAACCAGTTAGAATACTGATGCAAGAGTCAAGATGAAAACCTACAACTGGAAACTGAGGAGAAGTGGCTCGGTTTTTTAACACATTTGAAATAAAATTTGCTCATGATTTGGATGTGGAGTGTGGGAGATGGAAGGAAGTCCAGAGTTTTTGGCCTAAACACTGGAGAAGGTAGAGGTGATCACAGGTGACATTGGAGGATGAGCTGGCAGAGATATTCTTCAGACATTATTAGATTTGAATGTTTGAGTTTGAAAAGTCTATGAGACATCAAACATAATATATCGCATAAGGACATGTATGACAAAGTCTGAAGTTCAAGAGAGAAATCTGTGCTGAAGAGAAAAAATATCAGCCTAGATAGTGTCGATGGTATCTAAAGTTATGAGGCTGAATGAAATTATCAAGAGAGTTCTGTGGACAGAGAAGGCAAAGGGCAAAAGACCAAGGCTGGAGTGACTGGTAGTCATAGGAGGACCTGGAATGGAAATGAAAATAATTGTATACAGTGTAAAAGAATATCTGGTAACATTGAAGTCAATGGTTGAAAAAGGCATTTCAGTGAGACAGAGGTAGTCAACTAGGTGTAATTCAAATAAGTCTCAAATGAGCATCTATTGCTAAGATTTCCACTACAGAGGCAACCAAAAAGTGTCATCATGCTTTTGTCTGTCTGATTGTGGCAGCTGAGATTGAATAGAGGTAGGAAGAGGTGAAAAAAGAATGAGGAAAATAGAAGACATAGCAATGCAAATGTCATTGTTGACCTTTACTGGAAAAGTAATAATTTTAGTGGAGTTTGGGGGTAAAAGCACAATTGGAGCAGCTTTCAGAGAGAATAAGGTCAATAAAATTGGGATCAATATGGATAAATATTTTCAAGGATATTTTCAGAAAAGGAGGCATATATATTAAATATAATATTATATCATATATAATATATATGATAGGAGGTAACTGAATCATGGGGATGGAGTTTTCCCATGCTGTTCTTGTGATAGTAAGTCTCATAAGATATTGTATTATATATTATATATTAATATCAATTAGTTAATATTAACATTAATATTATATTATATATAATTATATATAATGTTTGTGTATTTCAGATGAGAAAATTGTTTTATCGCTTTTAAGGTGGGGAATCTAACCACATGTCTGTGTGCTGTAGGGTTGTAAAGTTTATTTCTCACTCATGTTCAAGGTTCACTAAGGGTTGACTGTGGCTGTTTCTGTGTCTTCTTAATTCTGGGACTCAGGCTGATATAGAAGACTCATTTCTTATTATTATTTTGGCAAAGGGCAAAAATGTGCATAACCGCATTTTTATCTCTTAAGGTCCTCACTTGCAAGTAGCCCTTTTAATTTCTGTTCATCTTTCACTAGCCAAAGCAAGTCAAATAGCTATAACTGAAGTTCTAAACTGAGTTAGTGTAATTCTTTCCAGTTAGGGGCAGGGCAATATTGAAAGAGTGTATTTGTCCCTGTGAGAGGGGAGGAAATTTCTTTATACAATAATACAACATACAAGAGGAAAGCAATTCTGATGATGTAGCAAGAGAGGAGTATTTTGTTGTTGGATTGTGGGGAGTCGATAGAATTTGAAGAGTAAGAGTCAGCTTTAGATATGATTTATTTCATTCCTCTCTTATGAAAAGAGGGGGCACAGAAGATGGGAATGTTATTGTCACATGGGTAAATGGGTTGGTGGTGGTTTGTGTATGTTTTCTTCAGATTGTTAGAATTTTTTCGGTGTAGTAAGAAGCCAGGTCATACGCTAACAGGGAAGACGGAGCAGGAAGGATTGGGGATTAGACGAGGGAGAAGAAGGTGCCAACTATTTAGCAGAGCCTTTGAGAGAATTCATCAGAGAAGTTTATTATTCCAGGCATCTCCATGAGCCTACTGGAGGTTTGTGGTCCTGAGTTTAACATGAGACAAGTCAGCATGATTGAATATCTTTTTTCACCTGGCTAATTGGCAAAGGCGTAGCCACTGCATGCTGGGTGGAGAGGTAGATTTCACCAGGTTTGGTGTTGTGCCAAGGAAGAGTCAAAAATTAAGACTGGATTAGAACTGAAGGTGTCTGAAGGATGGTGGATCTGATATGACTCCACAACTCTAAGAAATGAAGATCCAGTGCCACCATCCCCATCATGGAAATGACAAATGAATCAAACAAAATCATTTATCACTTTGTACAAGATTCGGAGGGCTTGTGTGTCTATGATCTCAGGCCTCAGAAAGAGTAAATTGGTTATTTTTTTCTCACATAACTCTGTGTGTGTGCATTAGTACAATTTTTTATTTTTGCCCTAGAATGTAAACATAAATTTGTCAAATTAAAGCAGTAAATTGGAAAAAAAATATACAGTTTTGTATTATCTGTAGAAAAAATGTTACCACAGCTATGTAGACTATGAAAATGGAAAAATTTATTATGTATTTAATTTTTACCCAAGAGCAGTAAAATGAAGACACCTATATAATTAGGCAGGTGACTGTTAAAATATTTGATTTTTTGTTGAAATTCCTTGGCTCAGAAAACAGGTTTCATGCCATGCTGAAAAATTACTTAGTTTGATGAAAAAGTGAACAAGACATGACAGTGAAATCATATAATGTTCAGACAGGAAATAGCAAAAGTCTATTTTTTCAATAACTGGCTGGAGTAAGTTGTCCTCATTTTGGGTCAAGATCTTATTTTGGTGTCTCAGCTGAAGATACCCTCTTCACAACCTATTAGGTATTGTGACATTGATTAAGTATTATCAAGCAGAAAGTATTTGTAGGAAATTCTTTGTACTGGGTAGGTAAGGCAATCGCTACCACAGGGGCATAGATTTTGAAACATTTCAGGAGGATCCAAAGTCTTACTGAGAAACCTAAGGCAGTCAGCAATTAGAGGATAAGATAATGGATGATTAACTACTACTGTGTGTGGGGTAGACAATTAGAGAACAATGCAACACACATGTTTTAAGGTGCTGATCATGAGTTTGAACAATGGTGAAAAATGGAAGAAAACATCACTGGCATGGGCTGACGCTGTCAGGGGTGGTGTGTTTTCTCATGTGCTGTTATCCTCTCATCAGTGTTGAGTTGGATAGTATTCCCAGGAATGGCTGCTTGGCTTCACTTCTCTTAACAGAGAATTGCTCTACCCCATAAATCTGCAGACACACCTGGATCTTGAATTTCCATTTTACTCTGGAAGATGTACAGCTGCAAACAAAATCAAATCACATTTAGCGCCTTTCTGGAACTTCCCCAAGTACTCAGTAGTCATTCTAGCTCACATCTTAAGTCCCCTAGGGTTCAATAAGTATACTAAATGCATATTTGAACCATTTCCAAAATCTAATTCACTTTGATCAACAGTTGTTTCCTATGAATTTGCTGTGTTTTCTTCAATATAGAATACTTTCTGTGATTAATCTTTCAGTAGACCAAAGGTGAGGTAGATTACATTAAATTCTAAATCATGAATGATTCATTCTTTTACTGAAAGTAAACACATCTATCATATTGACTCCATATCATATTCTGTTGTATATCCTCACTTAGATGTCTTTATTATTTTTTAGACAGCTTATATGATTGTTTAGAGCTTCAGGCAGTTTACATAGACAAAATATCTGAATAAAAGTACAATGATCATATTTTATTTTGTCAGTTTAAAATGATGTTTAATGATTTTAATGCCAGAGAAAACGTGTGTGTGTGCATGTATGTGCAAACATATTTTAAAGTAATGGTTTACTGAGAGGATTTTTTTTCTCTTTGTATGACTAAGATATCTGAAATTCTGCCAAAAGTTGTTGAAATACGCCCTTCTTAAAATGTCAATATGTCTATAACATATTTTTATGATATTTCAGTATTAGATATGTTCATTACCCCATGTACTAATTAGGTCTTATCTTGTGATGATGAGTCATTAGACCTATTATATTGAAAATATTTTTAGGTAGAAATTTATATAGTCTCTGAGTAAAATCTTATGTTGAGTATGTGGGTAAGTTGCCTTGGGATCACCTGATTGTATTTTTATTGTTGCTGACTTTTCATCATTTTATTAATTTGGGAATAAGGACTTCTTTTTTATGGTGTAGTTCTGTATCACCTTCCCTTAGATTATATTGTACAATGAACAGGCAGAAGATACTAAGATCTTATTAAAACTAGAACTTTGAACCTAAATGGGGATTTATGAAGCTAAATTAGCCTAATTGCATATTACAATGACCACAGCATATTAATCAAACATGTGACCCTTACATTTGCAATTTAATGATCTTTAATATGAAAAGCATTTTGTAATATAATCTGCTTGATGAACATTTGCTATTTTTACTAATTTTTACTTATCTAATTGTTAATTCATGCAATTTATCTAATTCTTAGTAATCTATATGATTCAAGCCTCTTATAGATTTTTATCTCTACCCAGTTTTTCATCCAGCTGTCTTTCTGGTTATCTCTGCCTTGGTGTGCTTGAGTATTATTTCTGATTCTGTGACTCCAATGTACTTTGAAGTGTCTGAACTTGAGGTGGCAGAATCAAGGTACTTCTATAGAGGCCACTGAATTCCTTTTCTCATGATGAGGTACAGGAACCATTTCTCAAAGCTGCCAAAACACTGCCCCTTAGTCTATGCAAATCAGCCAGTACAAATGCATGTGACTCAATCAACATCATGAAACCACTTTTTGGAATGCCTGATGTTGACAAAATGTGATCTTGTGACAATGTGATACATTTATTTAAGCCACCTTGTGGTATCAAATTGGCACCATTGACAACATACTTCTTAGACGCTAAGTGCAATAATTTGTTGCCTCTCATTTTCCTACACTGCTTTACTTCATTAAATCTGCATCATTAAAAATATTTATAGCATTGCTGAAGTCACTTCCCAGGAGCTAAGGAATGTCTCCATCTGTATGCTGATCCAGTTCCTGCTGGCATTTGCTTGGATGCAGAGGCCATCCATCTCTTGCCATTGATATTTGTCAATTGATGCTTTTTTTCCTTCTTTCCTGGTGACTTAGGAAAGGTTCTGATGCTATATCTGCTACAGATGCCACCATGGCCAGCTAATTTTTTAATTTTTGTTTTTGTAGAGACGGAGTATTGCTGTGTTGCCCAGGATAGTCATCCACTCCTGGCCTCAAGTGATCCTCCTGGCTAGTCCTCCCAAAGTGCCAGGATTGGAAGTGTGAGACACCTCTCCCAGCCCCAGTGCTTGATATTTAAGAGCTTCAGGCATGGAAAGATTTTGTCTGCCTGCCACAGCCTTCCATCATTTTGGGATGTATTTGCTTGAGACAGCTGAATATGTGACAACCTGAACTGTGGTTGCTGGCAATTGGAAAATAGTAGATTGTTCTGTTGATCTGCTGGGAGAAGTACAGCAGCCTGCAGAGGAATAGAAGCCCAGGGGTTTTATCTGGCACAGAATTACTCTAGAGAGCCATGTAAAAAATTTAATTTCTGTTTTTATAATTTATTGTTATTATTTTTAGAGACAGGGTCTTGCTCTGTCTCTCAGATTGGAGTAGGATAATCATAGCTCACTGCAACCTTGAAATCCTCAGGTTGAGTGATCCTCCCACCTCATCTTCTCAAGTAGTTGGGATGACAGGCGTGCACCACTATACCTAGCTAATTTCTCTATTTTTATTTTTGTAGAAACAGTATCTCTCTCTGCTGCCCAGTCTGTTCTTGAACTCTTGGCCTCACGTAATCCTCCCATCTAGTTCTCCTGAAGTCCTGGGGTTATGGGTGTGATCGTGCCTATCCATTTGGTTGCTGTTTTTAAATTTGTACCTTTATTGTCATGCTAAATAGGAATTCTGATGGTACTGTTGGCTGAATAGGGTCAACTGGAACACACATTTTTGTTTTACAGGTAAATACGATGAAACTTAAAATGTAGCTAATGTTATTCCTGAAACGAATATGTGAAGTTCTAATTTAGGGACAAAAATTAAAAAAAAAAAAAACATGTTGCATGTATTAAACACCTTGTTGGCTATGTTTCATCTGTAATTTCATTTGGAGGTAGCCATTGCTTCTTAACTCATGCTAACCGTGCTTTAGAGCTATTGATTTTTAGCAGCTACTATGCTTTCATGCTTGCAGATCATTTATCTCTTTGGAAACTCTATTTGATGACAAAGCTGGCTCTGTTACAGAGTAATGGTAAAAGAAATGACTTACCAGAATTTCAAGTGAAATGTGCAACATACATGATGATGCATGGTGACTGCTATAACTATTTCCTAATGTTGTTATTTAACAGCCATGAAAGCATCCAACTGAAATAGGATTGAATGGCTTAGTTAGCTCAATGTTTTTGAAAGCTTTCTCAGTAAAGCATGGTGCCAGGCACCAAGTGGTTCCTTATAGAGGAGCCAGAGTTAATTTTGATGATGTTTTAAAAACGCTGCTAGAAATTGGGTGGTGTTTTCCAAATGATCTTCCTAGTAATTATTTATGCTATGAATCAGAAAGGTTACCATCTCTCTGGATGGAAATGGATAGTCATATGTGCACAAATTCAGGGATTTGGCCTCCTATGATAAAGCCCTGTCTTCCCCCTCATTTATGTGATGATTGTGCACTATCTGAATGATGAGAAACCCATTGGCCAGTTTTCACTTGTGCATGGCTGGAGGTGCTTGCTGCAGCTCTGTGATGTCCTGAGCCAGCATGCTTGTGGAGTTCCAGTCTGCTGCATGAACAATTGAAGAAACATGATCTTCCTAAATTTTTCACAAGCTGCTAAATGAGTGATTTGTGTTTCTTTTGAATTCATGCTGCAACTGGAAATGCTTGCTCCTTCCCAGGTTATTGCTCAATCTACATGCCATTTGAGGATGCAGATAATTACTGAATCTTTATGGAAGCATCCCATCTTAGTCCAGATTTCCCTTTTCACAGACCAAAAGGTCAAAGTCAGACTTGGCAGACAACACAGCTTCAGTCTCATGGGGGGATTTCTTTGTCTTATCAACCTCAGTCATGGGCTTTCCAGCCATTATAATTTCACATGTAATATGGAGGGTATTGTTCCAAGAAAGTGTGGTGCCTCAGTAGGGTTGGAGGAGGCACATGCAGCTGATATAGCTAAAGAAGAGTGTGTTAAAAGTGGAAGGAGGCAAATTAAAAGCACTAAGGAAAGTTTCTTTTACACACCACAGAAAGGTTTACAAAACATCGAGGAAGCTTCAGACCCAATCCAGGTACTGCTTTTACTTCTGAACTATGTCATAATTTGTGATATCAGAATATTCTATGGAATCTATGGATACCTGCAGAAATAGTTTGCTGTTGTTCCCATTCTGCATTATACATTTATAAGCAGTTGCTGTATCATGGGATACATAATGTTCTTTAATCCTAATAGGGGCATCAGTTCTAAATATAACCAAAACAATTGTGAAAGGCACACATGCACAGGTTGGCATATAGAGATGGAGATGGCCGATACGTTGTGTTTTGTACAGATGGGAATGCTTTCTGTGTCCTGCCCCCACACTGCAGGACAGCTGACAGGTAGTCCAAATGCCCATGTAGACAGCTGGACTCCAGACAGCTTGCTGGTACTGTCTGGCACGCCTTCAAGTCCTGACTTTCTTGGGTCCCTAATGGAATTTACATTACCTGAAATTTCCGGGAGTTTGTGAGGCTGGCTAAACAGATTCCCTAAATAACTGGAGATGTGCAGTCAGAGAGCGAATAGACAAAGAAGGATGCGGTGGCTGTCAGTGTATTCATTTTCTTTTGCTGCATATTTGATTACTGCAAATTTAGTGGCTTAAAATGACACACTTTTGTCATCTCACAATTCTTGTGGGTCAGGTTTCTGGGCATGTCTGAACTGGATTTAGTGCTCAGTGCCACACGGGGATGAAATCAAGGTGTCGGCTGGGTAGCATGATTCTCTGAAGGTTCATAGTCCTCTTCCAAGCTCACTCAGGAATTGGCAGAATTAGTTTATTTCTGTTGTAGGATCGAAGTCCCCTTTCCTTTCTCTCTGTCAGCAGGAGCTGATTTCAGCTCATAGAGGTCCCCCAAGCAGCTTGTTGCCATGCAGCCTTCTCAGGGACCATCTTCCAATATGTTCATGCATGCATGCCTGCATCTTCATGTCCAGCAGGGGAATCTCTTGCTCCAGTCTGCTAAGAAAAGGAAAAATCTTAGATAACATAACCAAGGCAATAGCATCGCATTCCATTTCCTAGGTAACATAACATACTCACAGGATGACTTCTAACAACTTCATAAGTCCAGCTCATATTCACCTTCCTGGGATTAAAGGAGGGCATGGCTTATCGGGTCCTTCCAACTTATAAATACTCCAATATATAAATTTCCCAGGGCTTCTATAACATATTACCACAAACAGGGTAGCTTAAAACAACAGAAATGTATTCCCTCCAGTTCTGGAGGCCAGAAAACCAAAATCCAGGTGTTGTCAGGGTTGGTTTCTTCTGCACCTTCTGAGGGAGAATCTGTTCCTGCCTCTCCTACTTTATGGGGGCTGCCAGTAATTTTTGGCTTTTCTTGGCAGTGTCACTTCAATACTGTCTTCATCTTTCCAAGGCCTTCTTCTCTGCATATGTTTCTGGATGCTCTCTTCTTCTAAAGACACAGTCATTGGATCGAGGGACCATTGCAAATACATGATCATTTTATCTCTAAGGAGATTACATAGTCACATCTGCAAAGACCCTGCAGTAGTACCTCCTTATCCATTGTTTTGTTCTCCGTGGTTTCAGTTCCCGGTGATCATTTAATCTCTTGGCTTAATCAGTTAACTCTTGAGAGATTAAGAGTTAATCTCTTACTGAGCATAATTTATAAATTAAACTTTATTATGGGCATGTATACATAGGAGAAAACATAGTATCTATAGAATTTGGTACTAGCTGCAGCTTCACATCTTGGAGCCTATCCTCACGCATAACAATCTGGGGTGTTATGTATTTCCAAATAGGGTCACATTCTGAGAATCTGGTAGATGTGGGTTTCTGCAACATTATTCAACACAATACACCCTGTCATGCTTTGCCTGTGACCTGACACTGCCCAATTCTCTGGTATAATCTTGCAGCAGACTCTCCTTTACCTTTTCTGGAATATTTCCTTACAACTCTCTTTCTGACTCCTTGACTCCCAATTCAGATCATCTAAAACTAAGAGTAATATTTAGGGATTATCTTGCTGACCATTAGAGAAGATGGGGTCACTAACAGATAGATAGATAGGTAGGTAGGCAGATAGATAGATAGATAGATAGATAGATAGATAGATAGATAGATTGATAGATAATAGATGTGAATCGATAGATGGAAATGGATGGATAGTAAGATGATAGCTAGGTGATATATGTATATATAGACAGATAGATAGAAAGATAGATAGATAGATAGATAGATGATAGAGATGGATAGATATAGATACATAGATAAATGATAGCTCATAATGGATAGATATAGGTAGATAGAGGTGGAGAGATAAAAGACAGAAAGTAAGACATATAGATATAGATAAGCAGATAGGTGATAGATAGATAGATAGATAGATAGATAGATAGATAGATAGATAGAAGGTAGAGATAGAAACAGGTAGACAGGTATATAGATGATGGGTATATAGATGAGAGAGATAGATAGATAGATAGATAGATAGATAGATAGATAGATAGGCAGGCAGGCAGACAGAGAGACAGATACATAGGCAGGTAGGTAGGTAGAGGACAGAGGGATAGATAGGTAGACAGAGAAATAGATTGTAGATTGGAGAGACGGATAGATAGACATCTTAATTCCTGTGCGCCAATCCTTCTCTCTATAGCTAATTATAATCATACATGTATATGGTTACATTTCTATTAGTAGCATTTCACAGTGGGAATTCAGTGATTTAGTGATTACTGAATTAATTGTTGTATGAGGCTCCCTGACAGCAAACACTGAGTCTTTTTGTTCACTATCCTCAGTGCTATCATTTTACAGTAAATGGTGGAGGAAACGTAACTTCCTACCAAAAGCATTTTGTGGCGCTGAAATAGGAGAAAGTGAGATTCTTTACTCCATTTCCAAAATCATGGATACTGGCTCCAACATCAGAATTTACATGGTGCCTAAAGAATTCATCCTATTGCATTGAATACATTCATGCACATGAGTATTTTCTGAGCAATTTTGGTTTCCAATGAGATACTCATCTCCAGACAGCACTGGACCTTACTAAGATGACTAATTATTAGTTGACATGTGAATACTATGTGCTAGGTGAATGTGTGAAAAATGTCATTGGCTGGAAGGGCTTTTCTCAAATTGTCCAACTTTGCAGCCGTGGACTAATAACCATTTTTCATGAACCAACTCTGTCTCTTACATATTTGTTTAGGTTGGGTTAAAGTTTATTTCAATTGAACGTGTACATAGAGTTGTTGTATTTAGGAGACTTTCTGAAATAATTCTCAGGCAATCCCTTGAGGTAGAAAAACATCTCCTTGCTTTACTGTAAATCCATTTCCATGCTTTTTTCTATTCATAGAGGCCACCTGTATTCCTTGGCTTATGACTTTAGAGACTGACACTTGTTGCCTACAAGTGGCTAAATGCAGGAAGGACAGTACCCCTTTGAACTTAATTTGTTTCCCATTGGATCTATGGAACCATTCCCTATGTGCTAAGGCCATAAAATAATCCCTGAGGAGATGGATTACTGTTCAGCTTATTGAAAGAGTTAGCATAAATCTACCCAGATCTCTCCTTAGATTTTTGGCTGTTCTGGGTTGGCAATCATGTTCACATCTTTTCCTTTCTTTTTTTTTCATTATTTTTAAATTTAAGCATATTTATGCAGTAGTTAGCAATGTTTTGATACATATAAGGCATGCTGATCAGATCAAGGTATTCGGCATATCCATCATCTCAAACATTGATCATTTATTTGTATAGAAACTTCCAATAGCCTCTTTCTAGCCATTGGATACGATACATCCTTGTTAACTACAGGGTTATAGAATACTAGAACTTATTCTTGATATCTGGCTGGAATTTTGTATTCTTTCACAAATCTTTCTCTATCCCTTTCCTTTCCTTCTTTCCTTCCCAGCCCCTAATATCCTACGTTCTATTCTTTCCTCCTATGAGATTAACGTTTTAGATGAGAAATTCATAACAGGGGATACTACCTAAATACTATGTTGGGAAGTTACCTGTTAGAGGACTGGGTCCTCTCTTAAGAAGTGACTTCCCAGTATAGTATCTAGGTAGCATCCCTCAGCCTGCAGACTCCATGAGGCCAAGAATGCTTTTAGTGTGGCCCAACACAAATTTGCAACCTTTCTTAAAACATTGTGAGTTTTTTTGTGTGATTTTTAAAAATTAGCTCATCAGCAATTGTTGGTGTATTTTACGTGTGGCCCAAGACAATTCTTCTTCTTCCAGTATGACCTAAAGAAGCCAAAAGATTGGACACCCCGGCAGAGGGAGGAGGTTTTATCTAAATCATGAAAACTGGTTGGAATATTGGCCAGCAGATGCCGCCATGGCAGGGAATTGGGATTTCTTGTTAAAGGTGTTACCATTTGAGCATATTGTAACATTATTTATTACTTTCTTATTTACTCTTTTTCATGCTGTTAAGTATTTTGGGGTGAATTCAGTAATTTCCCATCCCTTCAATTGAATGTAGTAGTAATAGTAATAACAATAACAATTCTAAACCTGGAGAGATTTTATAAATACCTAAAATTGCATGTAATTATGAAAGAAATGAAATCATTAAGCTAGGAATCACTCTTTTAGTGAATCTCAAAATAACATGCTTTTTTTAATGAAAAAAAAGCTAATTATTTAAGGTAAATCTGTAAACACCTAGAGGTACATTAAGCTTACATGTTGGCCCAAAGTGATGGTTTATGAATTTGTGAAAGAGTGAAAGGATTGGCTTAGAGTCATTACTGTATGGGATTAAATACTTGCGTTCAACAAAAATCTCATCATATAATCACCACACAGTATTATTTTCTGAAGAAACATAATGCTAATGCAAACATAAATGGATATTAAAATGGAGACAAATTAGAAATCATCAGGATGTGTTTTTAAAAGCTAGGTAGTATTTTTTGATTATAGAATTAGGTAAAGGCTCTGAATCCTTGAGAGCAACAACTTGGAATACTTAAAATTATCTGTATTATTAACAATGGAGGACTGTGTTCAAAACACAAGATATCTTAAGAAGAATTTGCATCAAGTTTGGCATCAGAATCTTGCCAGGTGAATTGGCTGTATTTTTAAAGTAATATTGTGATGTTTATGGGACCCACCTGCAGTGAAATAGGTCTCTTTCATTCCACACCTGGATACAGCAATCTCTTTGCATTGCTCTTCTTCTTCTCTTCTGAAATGCCATCCTTCTTTGTGAACTACAATTTCTAACACTTAGTCCGTGCCTTCTAAACAAAAGTGTCAGTTCTCTGAATGCCATTTATTCTTCGTCGAATAACATGTTTAGTTATAATTCTTATTTTCTTTACTGCATCAAAGATCTTAAGACATAATCAATGATGTATTCCTCTCTCTGTTTTATATTTCATTTTGTGTGAGTAAAACAAAACTTCCTTGCCAGAGATTAACTTAAGACCGTGTTCTGACTATTTGTTTAAAAGATGATGTTATGCCATGAAGTGTTTGACTTCTAGGTTTGAACCCCAAAACCCCAATAGCTTGATCTCATTGACTAAGTTATTTAAGGATTCTGTGCTGCAGTTGCCTCATCTATAAAGTTAGGACAAAAATACTACCTTACCACTTTTAAGAAGGCTACAAAGTATTTGGAATAGTGCCTTGAATGCATTAATCAAATACTGCAGTTCAATACTTAATATTGTCATTATTAAATATCTGTTGCCATAGGAAGACCACTGGAATAGGAGTAAAAAGGGAAGGTGCAAATTTTCACTCCAGCACCAGTAGCATGTATTATAAACACAATGATACAGCATAGTCCTTACTATATAAAAACCAGGTGGGTCACTAACTAGTGCTAGAATGTTCTAGGGAAGTCATTCTTATTTTCTCTTCTTCAGGCTCTTAACCTATAAAATGCAGATACCAAGTAAAAGGAACTAGGGCTTCTTGGAGAAATGGCTGATTTGAGAACTGGGGCAGGAAATATAAAAGGTAAGCTTGTAGTGTGTGTTGTAGTGCCAGAAAGGAGGACAATGCTAAGCCCGCATGCACACGCACACACACACACACACACACACACACACACGCACAATGACATGGTCATGACACTGCATACAAGGGCCAACTTAGAGAGCATTCCATGGCCCTCTTTGGGACAACTGGAGTAACAAAATAAATAACGTAGTTTTGAGTTATAACTCAAAGTGTAGAATACATATCCACAATCCAATATTTGATGTAGATGACTGAATAAATTAGCATGATATAGTAATTTCCTAATGCTACTATAGAAAATTACATTATTTTTGGCATAAAACAGCACAAAGGTATCTCACCATTTTGTTTTGTTAGACATCTTCATTTTAAAGGTTAGAAGTCCCACATGGGTCTCCCTAGGCTGAAATCAAACTGTCCATAGAATTGATTGCTTTTGAGACCTGTTGGGGGAAATTCATTTCCTTGTTTTCCATTCATAGAAGGCACCTGCATTTCTTGGCTCATTCTTTTTGCTTGATGTGCAAAGCCAGCAGTGCAGTGTCTTCAGTTGCTTCTCTGACTGCACTCCTGCTTCCTTCTTGTTCTTGAAGGAACTGTTATGATTATATTGGGGCCACCTGGATAATTCACAATAATCTTATTTTAAAATCAGGCAATGCACAACTTTAATTCCATCTGCGAACTCATAACATATTGGCAGATTGAGGAAATTAGGATGTCGATATCCTGGGGGAAGTATCATTATTTTCCTTACCACTGGAGAGATGAGAAGAATTTCTCATGAAGAGGCATTTAAAATAATTTATATAGGTATTTATCCCTTAAGAAGTTGGAGTATAAATTTTTATTTATTTATTTATTTATTTATTTTTTACTCTTTGAATTCATTTTTACATTTTGGAGATGAAGTCACTCAATATTGCCCAGACTGTTCTCAAACTCCTGGCCTCTGGCAATCCTTCTGCTTCAGCCTCCCAGTGTTTTGGGATTATAGGTATAAGGCACTGCACCTGGCCATAAATCTCCTTTTTTTATTATTATACTTTAAGTTTTAGGGTACATGTGCACAACGTGCAGGTTAGTTACATATGTATACATGTGCCATGTTGGTGTGCTGCACCCATTAACTCTTCATTTAATGTTAGGTATATCTCCTAATGCTATTCCTACCCCCTACCCCCACCCCACAACAGGCCCCAGTGTGTGATGTTCCCCTTCCTGTGTCCATGTGTTCTCATTGTTCAGTTCCCACCTGTGAGTGAGAACATGTGGTGTTTGGTTTTTTGTCCTTGCGATAGTTTGCTGAGAATGATGGTTTCCAGCTTCATCCATGTCCCTACAAAGGACATGAACTCATCATTTTTATGGCTGCATAGTATTCCATGGTGTATATGTGCCACATTTTCTTAATCCAGGCTATCATTGTTGGACATTTGGGTTGGTTCCAAGTCTTTGCTATTGTGAATAATGCCGCAATAAACGTACGTGTGCACGTGTCTTTATAGCAGCATGATTTATAATCCTTTGGGTATATACCCAGTAATGGGATTGCTGGGTCAATTGGTATTTCTAGTTCTAGATCCCTGAGAAATCGCCACACTGACTTCCACAATGGTTGAACTAGTCTACAATCCCACCAACACTGTAAAAGTGTTCCTATTTCTCCACATCCTCTCCAGCACCTGTTGTTTCCTGACTTTTTAATGATCACCATTCTAACTGGTGTGAGATGGTATCTCATTGTGGTTTTGATTTGCATTGCTCTGATGGCTATTGATGATGAGCATTTTTTCATGTGTCTGTTGGCTGCATAAATGTCTTCTTTTGAGAAGTGTCTGTCCATATCCTTCGCCCACTTTTTGATGGGTTTTTTTGTTTTTCTCTTGTAAACTTGTTTAAGTTACTTGTAGATTCGGATATCAGCCCTTTGTCAGATGGGTCGATTGCAAAAATTTTCTCCCATTCTGTAGGTTGCCTGTTCACTCTGATGGTAGTTTGTTTTGCTGTGCAGAAGCTCTTTAGTTTAATTAGATCCCATTTGTCAATTTTGGCTTTTGTTGCCATTGCTCTTGGTGTTTTAGACATGAAGTCCTTGCCCATGCCTATGTCCTGAATGATATTGCCTAGGTTTTCTTCTAGGGTTTTTATGGTTTTAGGTCTAACATTTAAGTCTTTAATCCATCTTGAATTAATTTTTGTATAAGGTGTAAGGAAGGGATCCAGTTTCAGCTTTCACATACGGCTAACCAGTTTTCCCAGCATCATTTATTAAATAGGGAATCCTTTCCCCATTGCTGGTTTTTCTCAGGTTTGACAAAGATCAGATGGTTGTAGATATGCGGCATTATTTCTGAGGGCTCTGTTCTGTTCCATTAATCTATATCTCTGTTTTGGTACCAGTACCGTACTGTTTTGGTTACTGTAGCCTTGTAGTATAGTTTGAAGTCAGGTAGCGTGATGCCTCCAGCTTTGTTCTTTTGGCTTAGGATTGTTTTGGCAATGCAGGCTCTTTTTTGGTTCCATATGAACTTTAAAGTAGTTTTTTTTCCAATTCTGTGAAGAAAGTCATTGGTAGCTTGATGGGGATGGCACTGAATCTATAAATTACCTTGGGCAGTATGGCCATTTTCACAATATTGATTCTTCCTACCCATGAGCATGGAATGTTCTTCCATTTGTTTGTATCCTCTTTTATTTCATTGAGGAGTGGTCTGTAGTTCTCCTTGAAGAGGTCCTTCACATCCCTTGTAAGTTGGATTCCTAGGTATTTTATTCTCTTTGAAGCAATTGTGAATGGGAGTTCACTCATGATTTGGCTCTCTGTCTCTTATTGGTATATAAGAATGCTTGTGACTTTTGCACATTGATTTTGTATCCTGAGACTTTGCTGAAGTTGCCTATCAGCTTAAAGAGATTTTCAGCTGAGACAATGGGTTTTTCTAAAGATACAATCATGTCATCTGCAAACAAGGACAATTTGACTTCCTCTTTTCCTAATTGAATACCATTTATTTCCTTCTTCTGCCTGATTGCCCTGGCCAGAACTTCCAACACTGTGTTGAATTGGAGTGGTGAGAGAGGGCAACCCTGTCTTGTGCCAGTTTTCAAAGGGAATGCTTCCAGTTTTTGCCCATTCTGTATGATATTGGCTGTAGGTTTGTCATAGATAGCTCTTATTATTTTGATATACATCCCATCAATACCTGATTTATTGAGAGTTTTTAGCATTAAAGGTTGTTGAAGTTTGTCAAAGGCCTTTTCTGCATTTATTGAGATAATCATATGGTTTTTATTGTTGGTTCTGTTTATATGCTGGATTACATTTATTGATTTGCATATATAGAACCAGGCTTGCATCCCAGGGATGAAGCCCACTTAATCATGGTGGATAAGCTTTTTGATGTGCTGCTGGGTTTGGTTTGCCAGTATTTTATTGAGGATGTTTGCATCGATGTTCCTCAGGGATATTGGTCTAAAATTCTCTTTTTTTTGTTGTGTCTCTGCCAGGCTTTGGTAGCAGGATGATGCTGGCCTCATAAAACGAGTTAGGGAGGATTCCCTCTTTTTCTATTGATTGGAATAGTTTCAGAAGGAATGGTACCAGCTCCTCCTTGTACCTCTGGTAGAATTCGGCTGTGAATCCATCAGGTCCTGGACTTTTTTTGGTTGGTAAGCTATTAATTATTGCCTGAATTTCAGAGCCTGTTATTGGTCTGTTCAGAGATTCAACTTCTTCATGGTTTAGACTTGGGCGGGTGTATGTGTCGAGGAATTTATCCATTTCTTGTAGATTTTCTAGTTTGTTTGTGTAGAGGTGTTTATAGTATTCTCTGATGGCAGTTTGTATTTCTTTGGGATCGGTGGTGATATCCCCTTTATCATTTTTTATTGCGTTTATTTGTTTCTTCTCTCTTTTTTTAGGTTTAACTGTGCATGATATCTTCCTTCCAAAGAGTGTACAGTATTGAAAGGGTAGACAAACGGTATCTTTATAGTGGAGGAACCTGACAAACAATAACTCAGACAGATCAGACTCAATATCCACAGCGATAAACTATTTTTACTGTATGCATTCTTGATAGGCTGTGAGAAGAAAGGCATTTTCTTTCTCCCTTCCCAAAAATTCATAATTAGATCTCAGCTTAATCACGGTAGACATGAAAGACATCCCAGTTGTGCAATACTCTATAAAATGCCTGACAAAAATTCCTCAAAACCATCAAGGTTATCAGAAGCAAGGAAAACATGAGAAACAGTTATAGCCAAGAGGCACCTAAGAAGACAAGATGACTAAAATGTCACATGGGATTCTAGATTGAATCCTGGTACAGAAAAAGGACATGAGCTACAAACTATGAGAATCTGAACAAAATGCAGGCTTTACTGAATTATAGTGTTTCCATCTTGGTTCATTAATTATAAGAAATATGTCACACTGATGTCAATGTTATTAATAGGGGAAACTGACTGTCAGGCATATGGCAGTTCTCTTTACTGTCTTCACAATTTTCTGCAAATCTAAAACTTTCCAAAATTACAAGTTAATTTAAAACAAATGGACAAATGGAAATGAAGGTATTATACCTTTTTTTCTCTAATTCTTGGAGAGGCTTTGCAGATGCTACTGTGTAATATCCATAAAGTTGCCTTGAAAATTTCTTAAATTTTAAGTTTAAATGAGATTTTGCTTAAAAATAAAACACGCACAATGTCTAGTCATTTTTGTTTAATAATAATGCAAGTGATTACCTTGGTGTCTTCCTGGGTAAGATCTTTCTGTGATAAGTGGTTGGAGTCATAGAGTAAATAGTCAACACACTCTTGTTTTCTTGAGTAGCATGATTATATGGCCAAATAATTGACATGCAAATCATAGTGTCATCAGGGATACGTACAAATGTTCATGCAACACAGACTTCTTCTAATGAGTACGGTATTAAACAGTTCAGTATAGCATTGAGCTGAGGAACATGTCATAGAGATTCTGGCACTTGTACTTGGTGCTCAAAGGTTTTACAAAGTTAGAGAGGAAATTTCTGGAGGGGAAGCTTAGAGACATCACATTCTCTGAATCAAGGAAGAGAATACTTCATGAGAAAAATCTGAGTGGAAGAAAAATGTTTGAGAAATCATGAAAAATACCACTGCCAGCTATGATATGAGCTAACATTTATGGATCACCAGTTGTATGCAAGAAAACATTTACATGTTACCAGGGAATCAGAAGGATTGAAAGAGAGTAATAAGCAATATTTATGTATATGTTATTTTTGTTTGTTTGCTTGTTTGTTTTGAGATGGAATCTTGTTCTGTCACCCAGGCTAGACTGCAGTGATGTAATCTTGGCTCACTGCAATTTCTGCCTCCCTGGTTCAAGCAGTTCTTCTGCCTTGGCCTCCTATGTCTTGGGATTACAGGCATGTGGCATCACACCTAGCAAATTTTCCTGTTTTTAGTAGAGATAGGGTTTCACCAATATGATTCTTTCAAAGTGCTCATTACATCAGAAAGTCCCTCGTGGAAATAGTTCCTCATAGAAAGGAAACAGTCTCGTGTTTCTTGGCCTTAGTTCTTTTAGGATGTAATGAGGATAATATTTTGCTTACCCTAACTACATAGGTATTTCACAATCTAGGTTGATAATCTCATTTAAAAAAAAATATATATATATATATATATATATGTATGATTGTGTGTAGTGTGTATATATATACACTTATATTGATTGCGTGTGATGTGTATATATATACATATGTGTATGTGTATATATACACAATCAGATATATGTGTATATGTATGCACATATATATACATACACACATATGTGTATATATATACACACATATATACATATACACATATGTGTATATATATATACCTGTTCAAAGTTATTCGGTTTTGAATACAACATTTTGAGAGGTATCTTAGGGCAATTAAAAGTCAATTTTATGTGTATATATATATATATATATATATATATATATATATATATATATCTGTAGCGGTCTATATATGCGTGTGTGTGTAGAAGTTATTAGGTTTTTGTTTGTTTGTTTCATTGTTGTTTTTTGAGATGGAGTCTCGCTCTGTAATCCAGGCTATAGTATAGTGTCATAACCTTGCCTCTCTGCAATATCCGCCACCTAGGTGCTAGGGATTCTTGAGCCTAGTCTCCCAATTAGCTGTGATTACAGGCATATGCCACCATGCCTGTATAATTTTTGTATTTTTAGTAGAGATAGGGTTTCACCGTGTTGGCCAGGCAGGCCAACAGATAGATGTGTGTGTGTGCGCGTGTGAGTAATACATATAAACATCTTTGGGTGTATTAGATTTTTAATACAACATTTCAAGAAACATCTTAGGGCAAATAAATGTCAATTTTCTTTTCAAAATGACTTTTCTTAATAAAATGTATTTAAAATACCTAGCAAAATATAATATTAAGTTAGTTCTCATTTTTAAATACACTGTGATTTAATCACAAGCTCACAGATCCTTAGAGATGATATTGTCTATCAGCTGAAAATTCAAAAAAAATGGGAGATGCTCATGTAAATATACTAAGATTTGTATTTCATTCCTGAAAACAGAAACACTTCAGTGGTAAAATTTGCAACAAAAAAAAATGCTTATGGAAGCTTAGACAATGCTCTAGGACTCTAATAGTAAGCACAGGAATATGTCAGGAAGCCATACAGTCTTTAGATTCATTTTGATTCCTACCTGAAAAAGTGTCAATTCTTGCTAAATGTAGCAAAGCAACAAAGAAAAATTATTATTCACCTGTTTCTCTCAGTGTTTTTCCTAACCTTAACCCTATTTCCTAACCCTATTTTAAGTTATTTCCTAACCCTTTCCTATTTCCATTATTATAATAAAGCATTTTTGATCTGGTAGAAAATTAGAATTAGACCTTGCTTTTACTGTCATCACAATAGCATTTTATCAAGTTTTTTTAAAAAAATAGCAAATGGCAGAATTATTATATATTGTATGTTAATCGAAATTATTTTTTACCATGTTATGAATTATAATTTATATCTATTCTCAAAACTAAAGAAGATGCAACATTGCATTTGCACACTTGAGAGGAGAATTAGTTCCACATGCTACATAGAGAGCTGTATTTATCATTGTTTTTCACAGCTGGTATGACTGTGACTATTATAATAGAGGTGAGCTTGCAAGCCAAAAATATGTGATTCATCCAACAGTTATTTACCATGTAACTTATATGTTCTGGATGTTTAGGTAGTTATTACAAATTAGGAAATATGGTGTTGAAAATCACAGGAAACACCTTTGTTTTCTTTTTCCTAGCCATTTAGCAAAGAGACCTAATTCAACAAGGTATCATGTTAAATATTATAATTCATTTGGTGATGAAAAATGCCAACTACAGTGAATAATTGAGGAACTCAAGTTTATTTAGGAATATAATGCTGGGATGAACAGGGAATGCCTTTCTTAGGAAATATAATTTAGGCTGACCAATAAAAATTTGTCTTACAGGAGAAAATGTGCCTTGCAAGTAGGGGGAACAGCAGAATTCCCAAAAGTCCTAAAGGCAACCTGATGATGAAATGAGTTAAGCCATGTTCACAGTGGTGTATTAGTTGACTTTTGCTACATAAGGAACCATCTCAAAGCTAAGCATCTCAAACAACTTTTATTTAGCAAAGCATCTCAAACAACCTCTATGTAGGTTATGATTCTTGGTTGGGAATCTGGGCTGTGCTCATCTGGGAGGCTCTTCAGCCTAGAGTCAACATCCAGGTCAGTTGGGTGCTCACTGGCCAAGCACTATCTCAACATGGTGCTTGTCAGTGCTCATGTGGAATATCATCCTCTAACAGGCTAGTGAGGACTCTTCATGGAAACTTGTCAGAGTTGCATGTAGATATGTTCAAGTTCTCTTACAGTGAAAGCTACATAGTGTCAGTGTCACCTCCCTGATCCAGAATGTCCAAATAAGTAAATCCAGAAAGATACAAATGAATGGGCAGTTTCCAGGGGCTGGGGGAAAGAGGAAATGGAGAGTGACCACTAACTGGTACAGTATATTTGGGGGCATGGGGAATCATGAAAACGTTCTGCCATTCGATATTGTTTATTATTGCACAGATCCATGAATACATTAAAAACCACTGGATTGCATACTTTGACATAGTGATATGTATGATACAGTAATTATATCTCAGTTAAGCTATTTATCAACCTATCTCTATCTAATCAATCTATCAACCAAATAAATTAAGACAGCCTATGTATAGAGACAAATAGACCAGGAGCCAGTCACTGTGGCTCACACCTGTAAACCTAGCACTTTGGGAGGCCAAGGTGGGTGTATCACCTTAGGTCCTGAGTTTGAGAACAGCCTGGCCAATGCGGTGAAACCTCACCTCTATTAAAAATACAAAAATTAGCCGGGAATGGTGGCGCAGGCCTGTAATCCCAGATATTTGGGGAAGCTGAGGCAGCAGAATCACTTGAATCAGAAGGCAGAGCTTTCAGTGAGCCAAAACTGCACCATTTCACTCCAGCCTGGGTGACAGAGCAAGACTCCATCTTAAAAAAAAAAAAGACAGAACAGAACAGAGGAAGGTAGGCAGAAACAGACTCTGGTAGATGTAAAACTTGGCATGTAAGTGAAGAGCCATAATACCTATGTAGCTGAAAATGGGAGTGTTATCTAAGGAAATAATTCAAATAACCTGTATACTATACCACCCAGATAAATAAATTCCAAATGATTTATGATCCACATGACAAATAAAACTTTTGAACTGTTAGAAGAAGAGTAATCAAATAAAATGTCTTTATGTTTTTGGATTACATAAATAATCCTTTTTTAAAAAAGCAGACATTATGGAGAAAATAGTGATAAATTATAATAAATATGCATCTTAATGAATTACTTTATATAATTAAAAATCAATAAAATAGTTAAAGGCAACAGAACAGATATCTCCAGTGCTCAACTGTGTAAGCTTGGGCAAATTATTTAATCTCCACATATCTAATTTTCCTCACTGTGAGATGATATTAGTTACACATCTCAGAAGGTAGTTATGAAAAATATATATTCAGAGCTGGGCATAGTGGCTTTCACCTGTAATGCAGCACCTTGGGAGGCCGAGGTGGCAGAATCACTTGAGGCCAAGAGTTCAAGACTAGCCTGAGAAAAATAGTGAGATCCTCTCTCCACAAGAAATTAAAAACAAAAATTAACTGGGTGCAGTGGCACACACCTGTAGGGGTCCCAGCTACTCGGGAGGCTGAGGTTGGAAGGATCACTGGAGCCCAGGAGCTGGAAGCTGCAGTGAGCTAAAAATGCTCTTCACCCTGTGTGACAGAGTAAGAGTTCATCTCTAAAAAACAAACAAATGAAATGCAAATTCATTATGCATAAAGCCCTTAGAACAGTATGCAGCACTGATTTGCACTGTTAAATGTTTGCCTTTACATCCTCAAAAAGAGACCATCATCCATGAATGTAAAGATTTCCTGCAAACCAATAACAGATGTTCAGCCAATCAAAAATTGGCTTGCTATTCAAGAAGGGAATTTAGAATGATCAAGACAACAAATACAGAAATGCACATCTGCACTATTTTCAAGGAACTTGCAAATTGAAATATAAACTGTCAATATATTATACTCATCAAAGTGACAAATATATTGTCTGATAATAACAAGTGTTGGGAATAGGATAAGGGGTGCAGAATTTTCTTACCTGCTAGTGAGTGTATAGCATAATACAACTTGTTTGGAAAGAAATACACCAGGATATACTGAAGATAAAATTAGTACTACCCTATGTATCAGTTAGCTACTGCTGCATAACAAAGCACTCTAAAATTCATTCCCTTAAAACAATAAGCACTTACTACTGCTTATCAGCCTATGAATGTTGTTAATTGTAAATTTATTTTGGTCTTGGCTGTGCTCATTGATGTGTATTTATTGTTGTTTTGGGGTGAACTCTCTCAGGTAGTTGGGGATTTGCGGGAGGTAATTTTGCCTAGGTTGGGGCCAATGGGTTCTTCTTTATGGCATCTATTGTATTCCAATCCACTAGTCTGCATTTTTCAGAGAGCAGTGGTAGAGTTTCAAGAGATTAAGAATATGTACAGGGGATTTCAGTTCTAGTCTTGGAAATAGCATATCATTATATTTTTTTTTCTTTTGAAAAAACACAATCATAAACCAGTCAAGATTCAAGGGGTGAAAATACAGACTTTATCTCTATGTATGAGGAATAGCAAATTCATGGGACAGATTGTAGAACTGGGGACCCCTTTTGCCTGTCAATCGACTACACCCTGTAATTCAACATTATCTATCTAGTAGTTATGTGCCCTAGAGCTGAGGTCTTCAACCTGGCAGAGGCCTTTTTAAAACTTTTTCAAAGTATGACTCAGCTGATTATTTTAAAGAAACCAACTTTCAGGTACTCAACCTCCATATGTTGTCTTTTCTAAGCCTTCCTGGTCACCAAAATCTCTTCCCATATCACAAAAGGATGACCTTCAGTACACAAGATGCGTTGGTACTGACCTGCCAGGGCTTGTAATAAAAGAAGTAACCATCTGAATGCTGCTTTCTGGGAAGCTACTTTACTGAAAGCTCCATAAATTAAGCCTCCCAGGGAGGTGTGGTGGCTCATGCCTGTAATCCAAGCACTCTGGGAGGCTGCCAGAGGTGGATCGCCTGAGGTTTGGAGTTTAGAGACCAGCCTGGCCAACATGGCGAGACCCCTTCTCTACTATAAATACAAAAATTAATTTGGCATGCTGGTGCATTCCTGGAATCCCAGCTACTCGGGAAGCTGAGGCAGGAGAATCACTTGGACCCAGGAAGTGGAGCTTGCAGTGAGCCGAAATCACTCACTGCACTCTAGCCTGGGTGACAAGAGCCGAACTCCATCTAAAAAAAAAAAAAAAAAGCCTGCCATCTTATACGTATTTCTATTGGTCCTGTACCAATGTTCTTATTTCAGAACATGAAAAAAGAAAAGAAGCCATAAGTTATCTAAGGCAATTCTTCCAAATCCAGAAATCGAACTTTCCTGTCAAAAACCAGTTTTTCAAAGTGCACATACATTGGGTGAAGCCCATCGGTAAATGATCCAATCTGAAAATCTTCTGAAAGTCATCTTTCAATTTCTTGGTGGTAGTACTATTCAAGTGGAGGTTCAGATAGATTTCAAAATGTCTGCATGGAATATTTTCCCCAGCTAGAGTCTTTTCTCTCAGTGTATGGAGGAAAGAGGAAGTATCCAGATTGAGTACCTGCTCTTCTCATCTTTCTTGGGCTACTCTTGTCCCTTCTGTGCCCTCCCCTTCCAACCTATGCTTTCCCTCAGAGCAGCCTGTTTTCTTTGCTCCCATAAATGTATTACTGGTCCTTGCTCTTCTGTGCATATTTAGCAGCCCTAACCCTCTTCCTCACCAGCCACCCTTCTATCCCCAGACTGGCCTACCAGAAACAGCAGAGTATCCTCAATTCGTGCATGCATTTTCCTGCCACGTTGGAATGATCTGTATGCATGTCTGTCTCTGATGTTCATTTCCTTTTTCAGCGTGGCTATGTATTTACCTCTTTTAGCCAGGACTGCATGGCATTACCTCTCTAAGCCAGTCAAAAGGTTCAATACATACTTATAGAAGGAATGGGCTTATGAGCAAATAAACTCATGTGTCATGGTCAGTCTGTGAAGACAGATCAGTCACCTCCTAGCTGCAGAGAACTGGGGATTGTAAATTCTCCCCCAGTTGCCTTTCTGCGTTGGATTACAAGATTAAGCCTGTATTCCTCTGTGGCCAAGTGATAAAATAATCAATCACACCCACATCTATCATGGCCAAGAAAACATTTATTTCCTCACCTCCTCCCATAGGCAAATTGCCCCGGGAGGAGCAATATGGAAAATAATGTAGTTCACTAAAAAAGCCTCTTTCTCTACTTAAGATAACAGTATCAAGTTGAAAATTAACCTTGACCTCTTAAAAGAAAGGAATATACAGTAAAATATGAACTACTAAATACATTTTAATATAATATCTCATGAAGAGCAATAATGCTAAGGTTCTTTTTGGCTATTTCCTTATATTCTTGCTTAGATAACAAGATCACATTTGTATCTGATGACTTTCTCTGATGATTTAGATATGTAAGTGGCAATAAAATTAATATATATTATAAACAGATTTAAATTATTTCCTGATGCATAATGTTAACAGCAGTAGATGTGACTGTGAGGTTTTTCCTTTGATGTTAATTTTGCTTTTACAATAGTCCTCATTTTCCACATTTTTAAATTTTCTTTTTGTTATAAGGTCTAGCTGTGTCACCCAGGCTGGAGTGTAATCACACAATCTCAGTTCACTGCAATGAGGTTCAAATGATTCTCCCATCTCAATCTCTTGAATAGCTGGGACTACAGGATGTACCACCATGTCTGGCTAATTTTTTGTGAATTTTGTAGAGACGAGCTTTCCCCATGTTGGCCAGTCTTGTCTGGAATTACTGAGCTCCACCTACCTCAACTTCCCAAAGTGTTGGGATTAAGGCATGAGCCACCATGTGCATATCATTTTCCAAATTATTTACAAAGTGTTTCTCTTACATTAATAACATAAAGTACTATTTTAGAAAGACTGACTTTGAAAATAACATAGATAAAGCACTAAATGTGAACATCAGAAGAACAGGTTAAAAAATGCTGGAATATTCTTCAGGATTAGGGAAATTGAGATTTTTTTAATAAAATGATATTTAAATCTTAATAATAGAATGGCTGTACTTTTGTTTGGAGTATTTAAATCTTCTCATTTAAAACCAGTTCTGCACAGAAGTTTTACAGAGATGCTAATTGTTGTATGAAATGGAATATTATTCTGGCATTTTGAGGAAGGGTAGACATAGAGAAGAGAAAGGAAACTCGCAGTCCACCTAGGTTTTATTTGGGCTTCTTTGTGTGTGTGTGTGTCCAAGCCACAAGCTGGGTTTATTCTTGAATAAACATTAGCCAAATTGTTTTTCCTGAACCGTCTATTACCTGCATGTACATAGACCATGGTTGTGTTCAAACTAGATAATCAAGATGACTTGTTTTGTTTTAGAGACATTTAGTTAGTTGTAATTACATGGACAAATAAAGCAGCAGTTTATCAAAAAAGAAAGAAAGGATTAAAAAATTATGCATAGGAAAGGCAGTATGTAATTTCTGCCTTTCTGTTTCTGGGGTGAGGCTGTGCTAAATAAGATTAATTTAAAATTGGGATTTGGCAAGTAATTTCTATCAAAATCTCAGCAGGAGGTTTTGTTGCAACTAACAAGCTGATGTGGAAATTTGCATGGAAAGTCAAAGGACCTAGAACAAGCAAAAAGACCTTGGAATAGGGGAAGAAAGTTGGAGGGCTTTCATTTACCATATGCAGAAACCTGAAACCGGACCCTTTCCTTACACCTTACACAAAAATTAACTCAAGATGGATTAAACACTTAAGACCTAAAACCATAAAAACCCTAGAAGAAAACCTAAGCAATACCATTTAGGACATAGGCATGGGCAAACGCTTCATGACTAGAACACCAAAAGCATTGGCAACAAAAGCCAAAACAGACAAATGGGATCCTATTAAACTAAAGATCTTCTGCACAGCAAAAGAAACTAGCATCAGAGTGAACAGGCAATCTACAGAATGGAAGAAAAAGTTTGCAACTTATCTAACTGACAAAGGACTAATAACCAGAATCTACAAAGAACTTAAACAGATTTACAAGAAAAAAACAAGCTCATCAAAAAGTGGGTGAAGTATATGAACAGACACTTCTCAAAAGAAGACATTTATGCAGCCAACAAGCATATGAAATAAAGCTCATCATCAGTGGTCATTACAGAAATGCAAATCAAAACCATAATGAGATACCATCTTATGCCCCGTTAGAATGACAATCATTAAAAACTCAGAAAACAACAGATGCTGGAGAGGATGTGGAGAAATAGGAATGCTTTTACACTGTTGGTGGGAGTGTAAATTAGTTCTACCATTGTGGAAGACAGTGTGGCAATTCCTCAAGGATCTGGAACTAGAAATACCATTTGACCTAGAAATCCCATTGGGTATTTACCCAAGTCTCTTTGGGTATATACTCAAATGATTATAAATTATTGTACTATAAAGACATGACTATGTATGTTTATTGTAGCACTATTCACAATAGCAACAACTCGTAAGCAACCCAAATGCCCATCAATGATAAACTGGATAACAAAATGTGGTACATATCTACCGCGGAATACTATGCAGCCATAAAAAAGGACGTCCTTTGCAGGCACATGGATGAAGTTGGAAACCATCATTCTCAGCAAACTAACACAAGAACAGAAAACCAAACACCACATGTTTTCACTCATAAGTGGGAGTTGAACAGGAGAAAACATGGACACAGGGAGGGGAAAGTCACACACCCGGGCCTGTCATGGAGTGGAAGGGTAGGAGACGGATGGCATTAGGAGAAATTCCTAATGTAGATGCCGGGCTGATGAGTGCAGGAAACCACAATGGCACATGTATACCTATGTAACAAACCTGCACGTTCTGCACATGCACCTCAGAACTGAAAGTATAATTTTTTTTTAAATAAAGGTACTATAAAGCTATAGTAATTGAGATAGTAGGCAACTCATTTGGGTATAAGTTTGGATTAATGATATATAATTAATTACAGTTGGCCCTTGAACAACACAAGGTTTAGAACCCCTGCACAGTCGAATATTCACTTTTAACTTTTTACTCCCTCAATACTTAACAACTAATAGCCTACTGTTGACTGGAATACTTACCAATAACATAAACAGCTAATTAACACATCTTTTGTATGTTATATATACAATATGCTGTATTCTCCAAATAAACTAAGTTAGAGAAAAGAAAATGATATTAAGAAAATCATAAATAAGAGAAAATGCATTTACCACTCATTAAATAGAAGTGGATCTTTTTGAAAGTCCTCATCCTCATCTTCATATTTAGTAAGCTAAGGAGGAGGAAGGAGAGAAGAGGTTGGTCTTTCTGTTTCAGGGATGGGTGGTAGAGATGGAAGAAAAAGGTAGATCTGCACAGCACAGTTCAGACCTATGTAGTTCAACAGTCAATTATAAACAGTTTAGAAATCAATCCTTCAATTTATAGTCAACAAGTTTTTTTAAATGCTGCGAAAACAATTAAAGGAGGCAAGGATAGTCTTCTCAATAAATGGCACTGAGACAATTGGTTATTCATATGTAAAAAGATGGATTTCAACCCTTAACACTTATTATACCCAAAAATTTACTCAAAATGAATGACAGATGAAAATGTAAGAATTAAAATTCTTAAACTTTTAGGAAACATCAACAACACAGGACAATGTCTTCAGGGCCATGGATTGGGAAAGATTTCATAAATGTGACTTCAAAAATACAGTAGTTAAAAGAATTGATCAGTTGAACCTCAAAAGGACAATCCTTTAATGAAAAGTATTGATCAGTTTAAAGTCATCAAAATGAAAAACTTTTGCATTTTGAAAGTTATCACTGAGAAAACCAAAAGACAAGCCATAAACTGGGAGAGGAGATTGGCTAACTATATTCCTGATAAAAGATTTTTATCTCCAAAATGTGTAAAACAAAACAAAACACTATTCAGTAATAAGACACAAATTATTTTTTAATTGGCAAAAATATATTATTAGACGTTTCACCAAAGAGAGTATACATGAGAAGATACTTAATATCATTAGTTATTAGACATTAGCTACATTAAAACTACAATGAGGTCAGGTGTGGTGGCTTATGCCTGTAATTCCAGCACATTGGGACGCCAAAATGAGTGGATTGTTTGAGGCCAGGAGTTTCACACCATCCCGGACAATAGGGAAAGATCCCATGTCTACCAAAATACAAAAATTAACCAGGGGCGGCCGGGCGCTGTGGCTCACGCCTGTAATCCCAGCACTTTGGGAGGCCGAGGCGGGCGGATCACGAGGTCAGGAGATAGAGACCATCCTGGCTAATACGGTGAAACCCCGTCTCTACTAAAAATACAAAAAAATTAGCCGGTCATGGTGGAGGGCACCTGTAGTCCCAGCTACTCTGGAGGCTGAGGCAGGAGAATGGCGTGAACTCAGGAGGCGGAGCTGGCAGTGAGTAGAGATCTCGCCACTGCACTCCAGACTGGGCGACAGAGCGAGACTCCCTATGGAAAAAAAAAATTAGCCAGAAGTAGTGGTGAAGGCCTGGAGTCCCAGCTACTTGAGAGGCTGAGGCACGAGAATTGCTTAAACCCATGAGGTGGATGGAGGTTGTAGTGAGCCGAGATCACACCACTGCCCACCAGTCTGGCTAACAAAGTGAGACTCTATCTCAAAAAATAAAAACAAACAAACAAAAAAACCCTACAGTGAGACACAATTTTACACCCATTAGTATGGCTATAACAACAACAACAAAAAAGATATTAGCAAGTGTTGTCTAGGTAATAGAAAAAATAGAGACCCTTTATATCACCATTGGTGAGAATGCCAACTATTACAGCTAATTTGGAAAATAATCGGCCAATTTCTTAAAACAAAAACATTAAACATAAATTTGCCTTATGAAACAGCAATTTCAGCCCTAGATATGTATGCAAAGAGATGAAAATATATGTCCATGCAAAAAATGGTACACAGGTACACAAATAATTGTTCATAGCAGCATTATTAATAATAATCAACAAGTAGAAATAGACCAAATGTCACTAAAAAATAAATGGATTTAAAAGATGTGGTATACCCATACAATGGAAAATAATTTAGCCCTAAAAAAGTATTGATGCATGGTACAATATGGACGGACATTGAAAATATTATGTAAAGTAAAAGAAGCCAGACACAAAAGACTACATATTATATGAGTTCATTTATATGAAATGCCTAGAAAAAGACAAATCTTACAAAGACAGAAAGTGGATCAGCAAGGCTGTCACTCCCACGCACTCAGCCAGGTCTGATTTTAAAGGATATTAAGCCCCATTAAATGGAAATTAAGTTTTGTTTGATGTATGGAAACAGCAATATCAAGTCTTGGTTTCAAAATATGTTTAACCTCTTTTGAGTTATGTAGAACTGGAAAATGTTTTTCACTCGCAAGTATTGGACATAACAGTATTTCCCCTCTGCCTTAATCCACTTATCCTAGAACCCTATAGGAAGGCAAAGACTGTTTTAATTGAGCGACACAGTTAAAGTTATTGATAGTGGGGTATGCACACATGGGCTACATCTGTCTATGAAAAGGAAACAATGGAGCCAATTTTTTAAGTAATTCAAGCAAAATTAAATGTTCACACCTTTTAAATCTGGAAGCTATAAAAAGCAAAATGGTGCTCTGTACACAAAGAGCATAGCCTAGTTTTTGCTATCCTTAAGCCTCTTCCTGCATTTTGCCTATATTAAATTTCCTATGCAGATATTATTGAGGTGATCAGGTAGGTGACTTCAATTTTTATTTTCTATAACAAATTCAAATTCAATAACTTTCAAGTAATATTTAATAACTATTTTAAACACAGAAGACATAGTCTATAATATTTTGTCCTGACTTAAATACTTATTGCAAGTAGTAGATGTTAATACAAGAAAACAATACTGAATAATGGGTAGTTGTTCTTTAAACATGGAGTAGAGGTAAATCTTAGTGATTTAGGGACATTTCTAATTTTTAGAGATTGTGCAATTTTAAGTTTCTAATGCATGCAATTAATGTCAATTTTCTGATATTTTGATTAAAGTCCTCCCATGTTTGCTGTATGTGCTTTTGCTTGCCTTATGAAAATTTCTAACCATAGTGTATCAGTAACATTTCAAAAATGTATTTAAATTATAATATGTTCAAATCAAAGTACTGTCAAATATGCCATATGCATTTCTTTTAAGAATGTGGGAAATACCTTTAATAATTTTATTTTCTCTTTTTTTAAAACTCACATTAGCATTTTTTTGCAGTAGCATCATTTTAACCCCCAACTGCATATCCACAGTATAGCTAATATTTTTTACAAGTAACATTTTGAATTTGTTCTTCTTGACATCTTTATGTTTATATGCATTTTGCATTTCCCTATCTCATTTTTTTGAAACCAAATGTAACCAATTTCAAGTTTTTGTGTTACATTCATTTTTTTTCTTTTACTAGGTAGCATCTTTCTCTTTTCTGAATTTTTTGCAAACATATTGTTTCTGAATTCTCTTTCATCCCTTTATTTTCCTTTTCAATATCACCCCAGGAACCAACATAAAGAGAAATGCAGACGATATAACCAGTAATGACCATGGTGAAGATAAAGGTATTTTTTGTTTTTTCAAAGCTCAACCCTGATGCATGATTTTATGTCTATCTATCTCTCTCTTTTTTTTATTTCAACCTGTTTTTCCTCCCCTTATTTAACTCTTGTACACTTTTGTGTGCTTCTTTATTTTCTTCTTGTATAGAAACCACTGTTATTTTTAACCCCAGTTACCATGTACTGGAAACAAATCACTGTGTGAAGTATAAACATTGTTTCTGTACATGAAAATAGTAATGAAATACTACTTACAGAGAAGCCCACCTTTTTTTTTTTTCTTTTTTTGGCTTTGTCACAAGAAGAAAAAATAGAATTTTAAAGAATGCATGTATAGTCTCTTTTATCCCTTCCAAATGTTATTTTGTAAGTTAATATACTACTTTGCAGCTTCAGTCTTCCTAATTAGTTTTGCAAACTGCAAAACTTTGCAGCACCTTAGAATAATTTTTTCATAGGACTGAAGTTTCAATTTTGTTTCTTTGGTTTGGCATTCTTTACAAACATATTGATTCCAACATAGTCATCCAATAATCTGCTTACAGTGAAGTACATCAAAAAGCATTTTAACAAGATGCTGTTGTTAACAAGCCCTGATTCTTTCAGTACTGCCTTTTACAACATTTAAAGAAAAAAATAAGAAGTAGCTCAGAACTGAAAAAGGACAAAAAGCTAGCTATGTGCATCTTTGTTTTCACACCACCGTTCTTTGAAAATATGTTTCTCCTTTAAATGTTTTATTGCTGTGAAGTTTCTTTTTAAGGTGACAAAATTGCTCAATAGATTATCTACCAGTAGTGGAAATATTTTTCATAAAGGTGGAAGGTCTGAGCAGTCATGCAGAAAACATAGACACTATTTTTATCCCCTTTGTGTAGAAGAAATTTGTTTTTGTTTTTGTTCTTGTTTTTTTAAAAGAGGAGAAACAACAAGAAAGTACTCAAGCCATTCCTCATTGGTAAGGCTCTATATGATTAGCTAACTGCACATTTTTTCCCATCTGGGTAGCAAAATGTATGGAATTCTATTTATTTTTCATAAACAATAAGGCCCTGGCTGGACCTTTGGGTCTCTGTCTGAAAGGCCAAGCCCAAAAGTGAGTGTTGCATTATCCTTGCTGGTCAAGCCCCATTTTCTTGAAAGTGTCTTTTGACCAGTTCTTGTAGTTGCTCCCCTCCTTGCTTATCTTCATAAATCAACTGTTCTCCAAGAAAAGAAGTCTTGCCAACACTCTTTTCATGCCTGGTCTTCCCTTAACATTTTGATTATTACTGAGCACATAGGGTTGTCACTGCCTCAAGTAGCTCTCTAAGAGGTCTTGATTCTGATGGTGGTAGAAGTTCAGGTACCTCTTCTTTGATAAGGGCTTCTAAATGCCTCACATTTTGTCAGTATTGAGCAAATACATAAAAATGAAATAAACTTTTGTTCTCTCATACCTTATACTGCTCTAATTTGTATCCTCTTTGGTGTCCTCTCACATACTTCCTTTTGATAATTAAGATCTGTTTTCACATTATTCCCAGTGAATGTTTATTACCATGAAAATGCCATCTAATTTTCTCTTAATATTAATAAGCTGTGATTTTTTGAATTTGCTTTAATGTAACAACTGGTATCACTCCACAAGTTCAAGAGAATCTTGTTGTATGTTTTATGAAAGGTAAGAAATGTTAATTTCCCATATTTTCAAAGGGAGCACTTTAAAGCAGCCCTTCAAAATCTCTACTTACTCTTTTTACCACAATTTACTAGCCAACAGCTGGTAGTGGTAAAAGAAATGAAGCCAAAAACAGGAAATTAGGAACCGGGAAGAAGAAGTGGAACATGAGAAAAGCCATTTCTTATTCATATAGCAGAGGACATTTCCCATAGAGTATGATGAATAAGTGATGAATGAAGATTTTTACTTTATATTTGAATTTTATATGAGAAAATAAAAGACACTTTTCTGCCGTGGATTAAATATCTGCAAATAAATACTCGGGTAACTTGACATTCTTTTGTGTGCTTTACTGTGACCATTGGGTATGTCATGTCATCTGTATGCACCCTGTAAAATTGTGATCATAATTCATTCAAATTGGAGCCACCATCCAAACGATGGTAATTCATATCCTCAGAATTCCTTTCTCATATTTCAAGTGTCCCTGTGAATTATGAGGGGAAAAAAATCTTTATTAAAGAAAAAAGTGAAAATAAATATGCATGGATACTTGGATTTTTCTTTTAGTAACAAAGATATTTAAATTATTTGTATACACACACACACACACACACACACACACACACACGTATCTGTACCTAGAAATGTTTATAGGGGAGGTCAGTTTTCTGAAGATTAAAT